>NC_000007.14:68567385-68870415 GCF_000001405.40 Homo sapiens
TTGGAGACCAGCTTGGCCAACATGGTGAAACCCCATCTCTGCTAAAAATACAAAAATTAGCCAGGCGTGGCGGTGCACGCCTGTAATCCCAGCTATTTGGGAGGCTGAGGCAGGAGAATCACTTGAACCTGGGAAGCAGAGGTTGTAGCGAGCTGAGACTGCACCACTGCTCCCTAGCCTGGGCAACAGAGTGAGACTGAAAAAAAAAAAGAATGAAAGAAAGAAAGAAATGCTGTAAGTAATAAATAATATAGTGTATCACCAAGAATCTCCCTTTTCTACTGAGACATTCATTCCCCCAGCTGGTAGTGTTGGCAGCTGATGGATTTGAGAGGAGTGTCTCTTTGGGACTTGCTGAGTCAAATAGATCAGCATAGCCCAGCTTCATGCCCCCTTTCTAGGGCAGTCTGTATATTAGGTTGGTGTGAATATAATTGCGGTTTTTGCATTGTTGAAATTTGCCATTTGATATTGGAATACATTCTTAAATAAATGTGATTATGTTATACATCATTTTAATGGCATTTCTTGCTTTTTTTGCTAATGATCTATTACTTGCTGTTTATTTTATATTTATGTTAGACTATGAAAATGATGTTAGACAAAAAGCAAATTTGAGCGATTTTCTTATCCGAGTTCAAAATGGGTCGTAAAGCAGCAGAGACAATTCGCAACATCAACAACGCATTTGGCCCAGGAATGGCTAACAAATGTACAGTGCAGTGGTGGCCCAAGAAGTTTTGCAAAGGAGACGAGAGCCTTGAAGATGAGGAGCATAGTGGTCAGCCATTGGAAGTTGACAACGACCAATTGAGAACAATCTTCTAAGCTGATCCTTTTACAACCATATGAGAAGTTGCCGAAGAATTCAGTGTCCACCAGTTTACAGTCATTCAGCATTTGAAGTGAATTGGACAGGTAAAGAAGCTCCATAAGTGGGTGCCTCATGAGCTGACCAAAAATCAAAAAAATTGTCATTTTAAAGTGTCATCTTCTCTTATTCCTGTGCAACAACAATGAACCATTTCTCAATCCGACTGTGACATGCAATGAAAAGTGGATTTTATACGACCACCGATGATGACCAGCTCAATGGCTGGACTGAGAAGAAGCTCCAAAGCACTTCCAAGAGCCAAACTTGCACCAAAAAAAGGTCATGGTCACTGTTTGGTGGCCTGCTGTTGGTCTGATCCACTATAGCTTTCTGAATCCTGGCAAAACCATTACATCTGAGAAGTATGCTCAGCAAATCGATGAGATGTACAGAAAACTGCAATGCCTGCAGCTGGCATTGGTCAACAGAAAGGGCCCAATTCTTCTCCTTGACAACGCCCCACCACAGGTCACACAACCAATGCTTCAAAAGTTGAACGAATTGGGCTATGCAGTTTTGCCTCATCCACCGTATTCATCTGACCCCTTGCCAACCAACTACCACTTCTTCAAGCATCTCAACAACTTTTTGCGGGGAAAGCACTTCCACAGCCAGCAGGATGCAGAAAATGCTTCTTAAGAGTTTGTTGAATCCTGAAGCACAGATTTTTATGTTTTGGGAATAAACAAACTTATTTCTCATTGGCAAAAAAATGTGTTGATTGTATTGGTTCCTATTTTGATTAATAAAATTCGCAGTCCAAAACCACAATTATTTTTGCAACAGTCAACCTTGAATGGTTGGTCAAAGTGAGATATAATGATTTATCTCTCTGCCTAAAGCTGGGAAATTCTGAAAATGCTTCCTTCCCTGCATCAGAGATCCCATAGAATAAGCTGAGGCATCTCTTGCAGCTGCATCACAGCCTAACATCTCCCACTGTCCTATCCTGTACACTTCACTCCCCAAAAGGTCTTGATCCTCAAAGTATTCCCCCCAGAATTTCCAGCATGCAGCTCTCCATCACAGCCTGTTTTCTGGAGAGCCAGACTTCATAAAGATGTTGTAAGGATTATGTAAGTGAAGACTTATTAGCTAGCACCACAGGGTGAGGAGGATGATCATGCTGATGTTGATGGTGTGATAAGTGATAGCCTCTGTTGGTCATAAAATGAGTCCTAGTGGATAAGAAACTGTCCCCAACCTATCTTAGAATGGTGCTCCAAAATGTTGGCTATTATTTCCTTATCAAGGCCAACTTTTGGTGATGGCATGAGTAAATACAGCGTTCTCCCCTATTAGTATGTCACATTCATCAATTTAAAAAAAAAATCTCAGATGTGGAGAAAGGGGAACTCTAGTACACTGTTGATGGGTAGGTAAGTTAGTATAGCTACTATGAAAAGCTGTATGAAAGGTCCTCAAAAAGCTAAAAATAGAGCTACCATATGATCCAGCAATTCCACTATTGGGTATATAACCAAAGAAAAGGAAATCAATATGCTGAAGAGATATTTGCACTCCCATGGTTATTGTAGCACTATTCACTGTAGCCAAAATATAGAATTAACCTACTCGCCCATCAATGGATGGATAAAGAAAATGTGGTGCATATACACAATGGAATATTATGCAGCCATAAAAAAGAATAAAATCCTATCATTTGCAGAAACATGGATGAAACTGGAGGTGACTATGTTAAGTGAAATAAGACAGGCACAGAAAGACAAAGATTGAATGTTCTCACTTGTATGTGGGGGCTTAAAAAAGTGGATCTGATGAAGATAGGAAGTAGACTGGTGGTTATCAGGGGCCAGAAATGTTGTGGGGAGGGATGAAGAGAGCTTAATTACTAGGTACAAACATAGTTTGATAGAAGAAATGAGACCTGGTGTTTCATGGAGTGATAGTTTACAAAAATCTATTATATACTTCAAAATAGCTAGAATAATAAAAAGGTCTCTAGCATAAAGAAAAGACATATAGTTATAGTGATGGATATCCTAATTCCACTGGTTTGATCTTTACAAATTGTATGAATGTATTAAATTTTCCCATATACCCTGAAAATATGTGCATTTATGATGTATCAATTTAAAAATAAAATTTAAAAAATCCTCTGGAGGAATGACTGGTAGTTTTATATTCATTCTCAATTTTACACTTACTAGCAACCAGTGAAGGATTTATTACATTTTGTATCCAACAAAAGTAAGTGTGAAAATATAAGAAAATTACATTTTTTTTGCCTCAAAAGGTATGTCCCCATAAGACAAGTGGGAAAATGACAAAGAGAAAAAATGACAAAGGGAAAAAATTTTACAGTGGAAATATCTGAAAGATAATACTTTAACCAAAAGACCAAAATTAGCTTTACCAGCTGAGATGTGTCAACACTGCATGCCTCCAGATATGATGCACTGAGAAAGATATAACATCACTTGTGTAATTCACTGAAAATACAGAGCCTGAATAAAAGCCAGAACATTCAACAAATCTAAATTGAGGGACATTCTACAAAATATCTGCCTAAAACTTACCAAAAGTTTCAGGGTCATGTAAGACAAAGAAAGCCTGAGGAAATGTCCTAGGTTGTAAAAGACTCAGGAGCCATAAAAGCTAAATGCAGTATGTGATCTTGGTTTGGGCCCCAAACCAGAAAGAGGACATTAGTTGGATAGTTCAAGAAATTTCCAAAAAGTCTATGGATTAGTTAATAGTTGTATGATGGTAGGGAGTTTTGGTTTTATTGTGGTGAGGTACTCCAATTATGGCCCATTCTTCCTGCTAATTATAACTATAAACTCCAGAACACACACACACACACACACACACACACACACACACACACACACACTACCCCAGGATTTTGTAAAGCAACCAAAAGCAGGCAGTTTGTGGAGGAGAGATGACCTCTACAACTGGGTGAGTCTCCCATCTTTGCGTAGATTTGCCTCAAATGTGGGCTCAATCTTGAAAGTTGTGTAGCATTAGCACAGGCTGCTAAAACTTCAATAGAAACTGCCATCTAGAAATTCTATTTGTTCAGTTTTTAAATCTACTCAGCCACCTCTGCAGCTTCTTATTTTATAGCCACAATCCAAATCTCCTTTTATTTTTTTAAACATATGAATCATAGTTATTTTATATTCTTGTCTGATGATAATTGTGGTGTTTGAATATTAGGGCACCTGATTCTATGGTTTTGTCTATGGTTTCTGCTGACTCAGACTATGGTGCTTCCTTGTATATTTCATAAATATTGACTATGAACACATCTCCCATGGAATGTTATCAATGGATATACTTTGAGACCTTCTTTTAAAGATGCACTCTACAAAGTTTTATGTAAGTTTCCACTGAGTATCTAGGAGACACTACCAACCCAGCATCTCTTTAAAATACATTCTCAGCTTGAAGAATTTTAGGCCAACCAGGTAGGGTAAATTGGGGCTGCAAATCTATATGAAGGCCAATTTGTAATCGCACATTCAAAGAGAAATTTAGACTGAGAGCAGTGGTTCACGCCTGGAATCAGCATTTTGGGAGGCCAAGGTGAGAGGATCACCTGGGCCCAGGAGTTTGAGACAAACCTGGGCAACATAGCAAGACCCTGTTGCTACCAAAAATGAAAAAATTTGCCAGGCATGGTGGCACAGGCCTGTAGTCCTAGCTACTTGGGAAGCAAAGGCAGGAGAGACGCTTGAGCCCAGGAGTTCGAGGTTACAGTGATCTACGATCATACCTAACTGCACTCCAGCCTGGGTAACGGAGTGAGACCCTATCTCTAGAACGAACAAACAAAAAACAGAAGCAGATTCATCTTTTCCTTCCATTCATAACAAAGGCAGATACAGGAATTTACTTCTTGTTCTCTTATGTGGGCAAGTTTATTTCTAGTTTATTCTTTTTTTTTTTTTTGTGATGGAGTCTCGCTCTGCTGCCCAGGCTGGAGTGCAGTGGTGCAATCTCAGCTCACTGCAAGCTCTGCCTCCTGGGTTCACGCCATTCTTCTGCCTCAGCCTCCCAAGTAGCTGGGACTACAGGCATCCACCACCACACCCGGCTAATTTTTTTTTTGTATTTTTAGTAGAGACGGGGTTTCACCATGTTAGCCAAGATGGTCTCGATCTCCTGACCTCGTAATCCACCAACCTCGGCCTCCCAAAGTGCTGGGATTACAGGCGTGAGCCACCGCACCCAGCCTCTAGTTTATTCTTAAAATGACAGTGTAGTCTTTTGAGACCACAATTCTATGTGTGTTGTCGGGGAGGCAGGTTCCTAGTAAACTCTACATTAAGCTAGATGCTAAGCTATGTCATTAGGTCCCTATAACTACCTAAAAACCACAGGGGTTTCTGGCAGATGTTTCCAATGCCAAAGCCACAAGCCAAGCTATTTTATTCTCTAATTACACCTTTCCCTTTGTGTTTAGCCTCTGAGGTTTCCTTAACTACTTGTCAGCTCAGAAATTATTTTAAAAATACTTCTAATAAAATATTTCTCGCTATTTTAAACAAGAGGGTTATAAAATCTGCCATGCTGCTAGAAACAGATATATCTTTATCACTGTTGACTGTAGACTATATTTTTCTGAATATCCTACGCTGACTTCAAGAATAGCCAGATCTGATGGCTAGTGTAGGTCAGATATTCTATTACCCTCATGAAACCTGTAATTTTGATTTATTTTTTAGCCCTTGCCTAACCCATAACTCTAGCCAAAGACTGACTGAATCTTGGACACAGAGAGACTTCTAATCATTCACTGGCTTCTGAGTCCTGCTACTCATTTGTAGCATCCTGATGTCCCTCCTGAGCCACCCACCTCCAAGACATCGCCACTTGGAGTTCAGTATTGTTGTGGCAGGTGCAAAGCAGCTATTCCCACTCAGTAAGGAAGATGTTGGTGCTGCAGCAGACTCACAGTCCCCAAAGGAAGGCTCCAGTTGTAGTAGTTCATTAATATTAAAGAAGATAATCACTGTGATAAGAAAAAAGGATGTCACATTTAATAGTGAAAACTTTCTAGAGAATGACGTACTGCAGACAAATCCAAACTAGGAAAACGAATAGAACCTCCCAAAACAATTCTACAAAGTTAATATTTCAAGCAACACCATTAGCTACAAATCTTGAATGCTGATGAGCTACTGTGTACAGAGGCTCTGTGACACCTGCAGCTCACCTGTCCCCAGGGAGGTGAGATGAAAGCTTCAGACCACGATTTCGTTAGTTGCCCAGTAGTGCCAAAAGACCTCAGCCTTTGCACCTGGCAGGTGCAGTCCAGCAGGGAAGTGAGACACCAACTCCAGGGCAGGGACAGACAGAGAATGGGAGAATATTTTGGGCACTTCCTGCAGATTCGGGAAGAAGGAAAGAAGGCTGGTTTTCTCCTTTGGGGATAGAGCTGTTCCAGCTTTTTATTTGTTTTGATAGCAAAGCGATGCATAAAATAAATGTGCAAAATGGGTGCTACATAAACAAATTGTAACAGCACTGAGCTCACCAAGTGTGAGGCATGTTGAGTTAGCCAAACAGCACACACATTCCCCACGGGGCTATAGCAAGCCGAGTAAGATACCTTGCAACGGTGGCCCCTGTGTGAATGTGTGAGCGTGTTTATGTCTATGCTTAACACTCATTCCACAGCATTTATTTTACACTTGTTCTGGAGCAAGCATTATGCAAGCGCTGAGGATGGAACGAAAGAAAAAAAAGGGATAGATTCTGCTCTGGTGAGCTCATTTTCTTCCTGGTGAGGAAGAAAAATGTGTAAACAGGTCATTGTCATACAAAGCATTATCTTGTGTATGTCTACGTTTTTGGTCTATGAACGCTTCTGTGTTCATCGGAGCAGGTTCCTTCCTTATAAACATGCTTGGAAGGGCCTCATGGTTCCAAAGCCACCTTTGCAACCCAATCAGTAAACCTGAATGGGTGTCCAAGGGGATCGTGAACAATACAAGCCAGGCTGCTTCTTAGTTTGGGGTTTTCGTTGCTTTGTTTTTTTTTTTCCTTGGAGACAGAGTCTTGCTCTGTCACCCAGGCTGGAGTGCAGTGGTGTGATCTCGGCTCACTGCAACCTCTGCCTCCTAGGTTCAAGTGATTCTCCTGCTTCAGTCCTCCAGTCCTCTGAGTAGCTGGGATTACAGGCAGATGTCACCTCGCCAAGTTAATTTTTGTATTTTTAGTGGAGACAGGGTTTCACCATGTTGGCCAGGCTGGTCTTGAACTCCTGACCTCAGGTGATCCACTGGCTTTGGCCTCCCAAAGTGCTGGGATTACAGGCATGAGCCACCACACCTGGCCTTTTCTTGCTTTTTGAGATGCGTGGGTGGTTTCTCTCTGTTGTCCAGGCTGGAGTGCAGTCATACTATCATGGCTCACTGCAGCTTCAAACTCCTGGGCTGGAGCAATCCCAGTGCCTCAGTCTCCCAGGTAGCTGGGACTACAGGCATGCACCACCATGTCCAGCTCATTTTTAATTTATTTTTTGTAGAGATAGGGTCTCACTATGTTGGCTAGGCTGGTCTCCAATTCCTGGGCTCAAGTGATATCCCCTCTTCTGCCTCCCAGAAGTGCTGGGATTACAGGCATGAGCCATGGTGCCCAGCCCAATAAGCCAGGGTTCTAATAGGGGAGGCTAAGGTGGGGACCATTCTCCAGGTTGCCACTACCTACCTTTCCTCTTGAGGAAAGTGAGAGTGCTACATAATAAGATAGGCAAGGGGCCTGGAGAATTGGTCAGGAAATTAAAGGAACCAAGGAGGCTGGACGCGGTGGCTCATGCCTGTAACCCCAACACTTTGTTAGGCTGAGGCGGGTGAATCACGCAGTCAAGAGATTGAGACCATCCTGGCTAACACGGTGAAACCCTGCCTCTACTAAAAATACAAAAAATTAGCAGGGTGTGGTGGTGGGCGCCTGTAGTCCCAGCTACTCGGGAGGCTGAGGCAGAAGAATCACTAGAACCCGGGAGGTGGAGGTTTCAGTGAGCCAAGACAGTGCCACTGCACTCCAGCCTGGGCAACAGAGCAAGACTGCATCTCCAAAAAAAAAAAAAAAAAAGGAACGAAGGAATATGTCTCAGCCTCTTAAATTAGTGTAGTTATATGGAAGTATATTAGAAGACCAGTGCCCGGAGTGGAGAACCTCGATGGATCCATGTAGGGCCTGAGACCTAACAGAGTCCTGGGCAAAGTTCCTACATATCTAGACATTGCAATGCAGCTCTCAAAAGGTCTTCCAGTTCCATGAAACTTACCAACTCAGAGTAGAGCCATAAACTAGCAATCAAGCATCACATGGCTCTTTCTCACATTCTTCAAAGCCTTTGGCTTTCTGTAACCATAATAGAGCATTTGGCTAAGACCGTACATGTGCTAAAACATTCCTGAGGTTCCCTTGGTGGATGAGGATTTAAATATGGCTCAGGTTCCACAACTGTGAATAGTTTTGCTTTCCAGGTGTCCTAGTCCATTTTCTGTTGCTTTTAACAGAACACCTGAAGCTTGGTACTTTATAAAGAAAAGTCATTTCTTTCTTACTGTTATGGAGACTGAGAAGTCCAAGGTCAAGGGGCTGCATCTGGGGAGGACCTTCTTGCTGGTGAGGACTCTCTGCAAAGACCCAAGGCAGTGCAGGGCATTGGTGAAGGAGCTAAGCATGCTAGCTCACATCTCTCTTCCTCTTCTTATAAACGAAACAGTCCCATTCCCATGATAACTCATTAATCCATGAATCTATGAATGAATTAATTTATTCATGAGGGAAGAGCCCTCATGACCCAATCACCTCTGAAAGGACCCACCTCTCAATACTGCCACATTGGGGATTAAGTTTCAACATGATTTTTGGAGGGGACAAATATTCAAACCACAGCAATAGGTGTATAGGTTGGAGCATTTAAAGACTTGTAAACAAAGACTAACTGAATGTTTTCTGAAGGCCCATTTTCTGTCAATAAAATTCTGAATCATACTGAGACAAAGCAAATGCCTCATGTATGCAAAGCACTTGTGTTATGTATCCCTACTCAAATGTATTTCATTTACTTATGCATTAATAAAAGCATTTATTTAACAAATAATGATGGCTCCAGTTACTGTATTATACAAGTAAGTATAATAAAGTCTTTTTGTTGTTGTTGTTTGACCTTTAATCAACAGCTTGCAAGGTCTTTTAAATTCTAAATTTGAAGTTCATGCATGGTTCTATTGATAGCTCTGCTAGTTTCCAAGTGCTGCCATAGCAAACTATCACAAGCTGGGTAGCTTAAGGCAACAGAAATGTGTGGTTTCACAGTACTGGTAGCTAGAAGCAAGGTGTTGGCAGGGCCGTGCCCTCTTGAACTATAAAGGAAAACCAGTTTCATGCTTTTCTCTTAGCTTCTGGCGTCACTAGAATCCCTTAACATTCTTTGGCTTGTATAACTCCAATTTCTGACTCTATCTTCCTTCTGCATGTGTCTCTTCTCTCTTTGTTTTGTTTTGTTCTGTTCTGTTTGTTTTTTTGAGATGGAGTTTCACTTTTGTTGCCCAGGCTGGAGTGCAGTGGCATGATCTTGGCTCACTGCAACCTCTGCCTCCCGGGTTCAAGAGATTCTCCTGCCTCAGCCTCCTGGGTAGCTAGGATTACAGGCATGTGCCACCACGCCTGGCTAATTTTGTATTTTTAATAGAGACAAGGTTTCTCCACGTTGGTCAGGCTGATATTGAACTCCCAACCTCAGGTGATCCGCCCACCTCGGCCTCCCAAAGTGCTGGGATTACAGGCATGTGAGCTACCACACCCGGCCTCTCTTCTCTTTTTGTAAAGACACCAATCATATCGAATTAGGGCTTGACCTCATAGTCTCATCTTAACATTACATCTGCAAAGATTTGGTTTCCAAATGAGGTCCCATGCACAGGTGTTAAGGCTTAGGAGTTAAAATGTATTCTCCCAAAATATATATTTAAGGAGGTGAAGGGACATGCAGAGGAAGCGAAAAAGGAAAGATAAATAATAAAGAAGGCCAGATGCCGTGGCTCACGCCTGTAATCCTAGCACTTTGGGAGGCCAAGGCAGGCGGATATCTTGAGGTCAGGAGTTTGAGACCAGCCTGGCCAACATGGCAAAACCCCATCTCTTCTAAAAATACAAAAATTTGGGCTTGGTGGCGTGCACCTATAATCCCAGCTACCCAGGAGGCTTCAGGAGATGAAGCCCTTCATCTCCTTAAACATATATTTTGGGAGGACACACTTTAAATGGTAACAGTAGCCCCAAAATGGAAGGGTCTGTTGATCTTAAAAAAGTGATATACTACTTTGTCTTGAAAAATGAGAAGGAGTTTGACAGACAAGGGAGAAAGAGAAAATCTGAATAAGAAAGACTGAATTGTTCTGTAGTTTATAAACATGAAACAGAATTGTGTGTTCAAGGAACCACCGTTGGTTCAGTGTGGCAGTATCGCAATACTTTAATGCACAGGCGGTGGTTGCTTGTCTCCCAGGTGGACTTCACTAATTACTTCTCCAACTATTTGCACTTGCCATTCTTCCATCAAGAAATGAAGTCTCTTTGCTATGGTCTGATTGTTTACATCCTGCCAAAATTCTTACACTGAAACCTAATTTCCATTATGGCGGTATTAAGAGAAGGGGTCTTTAGGAGGTGATTAGATCAGGAGAGCTCCATCTTTGTGAATGGGATTACTGCCTTTTTAAAAGAAGCCAGACGGCCGGGTGTGGTGGCTCACACCTGTAATCCCAGCACTTTGGGAGGCCGAGGTAGGCAGATCATGAGGTCAAGAGATCCAGACCATCCTGGCCAACATGGTGAAACCCTGTCTCTACTAAAAATACAAAACTTAGTTGCGTGTGATGGTGCATGCCTATAGTCCCAGCTACTCGGGAGGCTGAGGCAGGAGAATCACTTGAACCTGGGAGGCAGAGGTTGCAGTGAGCCAAGATAGCACCACTGCACTCCTTTCTGGCAACAGAGAGACTGCCTCAAAAAAAAAAAAGAGGAATCCAGAGGAAACTTGTTTACCTCTCCACCACACAAGGACACAGTTAGAAGATGGCATCACTGAACCAGCAAGCAAGCCCTCACCAGGCACTGAATCTCCAGATGCCTTAAGCTTGGACTTTCCAGGCTCCAGAACTGTAAAACATAAATTTCTGTTGTTTATAAGCTACCCAGTATTTGGTATTTTGTTATAACAGCCAGAAAGAACTAATACACTATTCTTCCCCTCCCTTGACTCTAGGCTGGATTAGTGATTTGGCTTTTTTGACCAAGAGAATGGGGAAGAAGTGGCATTTTGAGTCCTCTGACACTATGTCATAATCTTGCAGCTTCTGCCTGGATCTTTTGAAACATTTGAAACATTCACTCTTAGAAGCCAGACATTGCTATTTCCATTGCATCTAGACCAATACTTGCACAAAATAGGTCTCTAATAGGTATTTGTTGAAATGATATCTATTACAGAGACTGGAGAAGGAGAAAAGTAAAACAAGGCTTGATTCAAGTTTGCAGGGTTGTGAATGGCACTAGCCTTAAAGACCAGGAGCCTGGGAGAGAGCAGCTCATGAAGAAAACTTTAAATGATTGACGTCATGGCCCAGGCTGGGTAGAGAAAGAAACAAGTTCTCCAGAGGGACAATGGGCTGGCATCAAGTGGAAGGCCCTGGGAATTGCTGGTCTCCATGCAGTCAAAAGAATGTATATAGGGAGCCAGGTGCACTGGCTCATGCCTGTAATGTCAATACTTTGGGAGGCTGAGGCAGGAGAATTGTTTGAGCCCAGGAGATCGAGACCCACCTAGGCAGCATAGCAAGACCCAATCTCTACAAAAAATAAAAAATAGCTGGGTGCAGTGGCACATGCCTTTAGTCCCAGCTACTCAGGAGGCTGAGGCAAGAGAATCACCTGAGCCACAAGAGATTGAGGCTGCAGTGAGCTATGATTGCATCACTGCACTTCAATCTGGGCAACATGGCAAGTTCCTATCTCAATTAAAAAAAAAAAAAGAAGATACAAAGGGAGAGAAGGAAAAATACCTCTTCCTCCTGGGTTCAAGTGATTCTCAGGTCTCAGCCTCCCAACTAGCCGGGATTACAGGTGTGCACCACCACATCCAGCTAATTTCTGTGTTTTAAGTAGAGAAAGTGTTTCACCATTTTGGCCAGGCTGGTATCGAACTTCTGACCTCAAGGGATCCATCCACGTTGGCCTCCCAAAGTACTGGGATTACAGGCAAGAGCCACTGTGTCTAGCCTTCTCTGTTGTTTATCTTTCTCTCTGTTGTTTATCTTTCCCTCTTTACTTCCCCTGCATGTCCCTTCAATGCCTTTGTTTTACTAGACGCTCTGAGCTTCTTCTTAGACCTTCCACATTAGTTAGGGTTTTCTAAGGAAACAGAGCCTGTAAATATGTACATCTGGAATTTGCTTACGTGGTTATGGGGGCTGAGAAATCCTAGGATCTCCTTGTTGTCCTAGGCAACAAGATAAAGACCCAGGAGAGCTGGTGGTGTAGTTCCAGTTCATGTCTGAAAGCCTAAGAACCAGGAGAGCCAGTGGTGTAAGTTCCAGCCCAAGGGCAGGAGAAGACTAATATTCCAGCTCAAGCAGTCAGGCAGAGAGAAAAAATTCCTCCCTATTTTACCTTTTTCTTCTCTTCAGTTTCCCAATGGATTTGATGAAGTTCATCCACATGGAGGAGGGTAATCTTATCTACTCAGTCTACTAACTCAAATGATAGTCTCAGTGAGTAACACCCTCAGACACATCCAGAATAATGCTTAACCAAATATCTGGGCACCCCATGGCCCAATCAAGTTGATACATAAAATGAACCATCACACACCCTTTCTTTTACTTCCACCACTGCCCCCTCTTAATTGACCACCAAATGAGATGGAAAGTGTATATTTAATACTTGAAGACTAAAACTCTACATCTCATGTTTTTAATTTTACAATATAATAAGGCAAACATATTCTTTCTAGATTACAAAAACATCTAAATAAAGTTGCTTTTTGTATACATCTCTGATGATCTTTTTGTGGGGAAATCAGTGCTTCAGATTCTGGAAGATGTTTCCATACTTCTGGTCCATCCAGGTCTTCTGTTCATCATGTGCTCATGGCCAATTCTACCTAGGTCTGGATCTCCAGCATTGACCAGAACTAAATCTCTGTGTGTGTGTGTGTGTGTGTGTGTGTGTGTGTGTTTGTGTATCAGTTGAAACTATTGTATTAGTCCATTTTCACACTGCTAATAAAGACATATCCGAGACTGGGCAATTTACAAAAGACAGAGAGTTTTAATGGACTTACAGTTCCACGTGGCTGGTGAGGCCTCATAATCATGATGAAAGACAAGGAGGAGCAAGTCATATCTTACATGGATGGCATCAGGCAAAAGGAGAGTTTGTGCAGGGAACCTCCCATTTTTAAAACCATCAGGTCTCATGAGACTTACTCACTTTCAGGAGAACAGCACAGGAAAGAGCCTGCCCCCCCCACCATGATTCAATTACCTCCCACCAGGTTCCTCCCATGAAACGTGGGAATTGTGGGAGTTACAATTCAAGATGAGATTTGGGCGGGGACACAGGAAAATCATATCATCTATCAAGCATAAATTTTTTTAAATTCTGTAATTGGTTGCTTTGTTTTTCATAAAAACACCCAAGCAACTAATTGTTTAGTTATCTTTTGTAAATTGGCAAGTTTAAATCCAGCAAATTATTTCTCACTTCAAGTATTAATATTTGATCTGTCCACAGGTAAGAAAACTGAAGCAGGTATGTCATGCTTTTCCAACCATCACTCAGCCAATTAATAGTAAAGCCAGGCTAGTGGCTCTTTCTATCTGAGGTGTATAACTCTACCTGAGGGGTTCATCTTTGCTGGTTTTCTTGCTCCCACTGCCTGCTCTCAATTATTCCCAATACCATACTATACATAAATCTACATAATTTTTGACTTTTGAATAATAGACATGCTTGAAATTGAAATTGAAGGGCCAGGTGCAAGTGGTTCTTGCCTGTAATGCCAGTGCTTTAGGAAGTTGAGGTGGGAGAATCGCTTGAGACCAGTATAAAGAAAGGAGGAAGGAAAGAAGGAAGGAAGGAAGGAAGGAAGGAAGGAAGGAAGGAAGGAAGGAAGGAAGGAGAAGGGGAAGGGGAAGGGAAGGGAAAGGAAAGGAAGGGAAGGGAGGGAGGGAGGGAAGAAGGAAGGAAGGAAGGAAAAAAGGACAGGAAGGGAGGGAAGAAGGAAGGGAGGGAGGACAGGAAGGGAGGAAGGAGAGAGAGAGAGAAAGAAAGAAAAATAGAAAAGAAAGAAAAAGTATTATAGTATGGTATGTATATTTTACACATAAATCTAATTGTGCCACTTCCTTACTCAGATGGCTTTTTATGTCACACAGAATAAAATTCAAAACCTTTGCTATGACCTACAAGACCCTACATGATCTGGTTCTGCCTCTTTCTTAGACCTCATCTTCTACCTCTTCCCCGCTCACTCATCTCAGTCTAGCCACACCCACCTTTCTGCTGATCTATAAACACACACGAAGGTCGTTTGTGCCTCTGGGCCACCGCACTTGCTACCCTAAGGAAGCATTCCATTTTAAGAACAAAGTTTTATTTAAAATTCAGTGCATCACATAGTTAATTACTACAGGTAAAAACTGGAAAAAATACAGCTGCCAATTCTAGGATAGTACAATAAAATGCTAATGAGTCATTAAATTTAATGTTGTAAAACAGAACTAGCTAAAACCATGAATTTATCCTCAGAATATTCACAACCTAGTGGATGATAATAGGTTAATAAACAACTAGTGTAGTGTGATAAATATAACTATAAAATAATTTACAGCATGGAAATTGAGAAGAACTCAAGGAAAGGAGTATGGTATAGCAACATCAAAGTTGGGGTTTCACAGGTTGAATAGGAGTTTGTTATGCAGATAGGAAAGGAGCACTATCATAACATCAGAGAAAATGGCAAGTGCAAAGAGCTGGAATTCCAAAACAGCCTAATCTTTTGGGGGAGAAATAAGCACTTCCATTTGCTACAGCAGGGGGCGCAAGAGGGAGTGGGGAACCAGACCATTGTGTGGCTCTCTCTGGACCCTTCCTCGGACCTCCTGAAGGCTAAAAAAAAAGCATCCACAGCTGGATAAGAGTAAAAATTTGACTCCCAGCTACTTGGGAAGCTGAGGCAGGAGAATGGTGTGAACCCGGGAGGCGGAGCTTGCAGTGAGCCGAGATGGCGCCACTGCACTCCAGCCTGGGCAACAGAGCAAGGCTCCATCTCAAAAAAAAAAAAAAAAAAAAAAAAAATGTTGACAAAGAGACAAAGAGGAAGAAATGCAATCCAAAACCAGACCACGTGTGAATTATCAGATACGGGAAGCTCTGCTTCTAGGAAAGGCTCGGGCCCACCTGTAAGTTGTACAAATGCTGGTATGTTTGAGTTCTGGCACTTTTTTTTCTTAAAGTTTCCATCTCTCTGCTGAGATTACCTGTCTGAGCTTGCATTTGTCTACTTCTTCATTTGAATCTTGAATATATTAATCATGCATATTTTAAATTTCCCATCTTGATAGTTCCAACATCTTTGTCATAGCTGAGTCTGGTTCTGATGATTGTTTGGTCTCTTTGGACGCTTTTTTTTACTTTTTCTTTTTTTGTGTGTGTGATGGAGTCTCGCACTTGTCGCCCAAGCTGGAGTGCAGTGGTGTGCTCAGCTCACTGCAACCTCTGCCTCCTGGCTTCAAGTGATTCTCCTGCCTCAGCCTCCTGAGTGGCTGGGATTACAGGTGCTCACCACCACGCCCGGCTAATTTTTGTATTTTTAGTAGAGATGGGGTTTCGCCATGTTGGCCAGGCTGGTCTCGAACTCCTGATCTTAGGTGATCCACCCGCCGAGATGGTGCCATTGCACTCCAGCCTGGGCAACAAAAGCGAAACTCCATCTCAAAATAATAATAACAATAATAAATACAAATAAATGTCCTTGCCCCTCTCCAGATGGAACAAGCCTAGGATTTATTCCTCTCCTAGGACTGAGCTTTTTAACATTTTCCTGTTCCATGCCCTCAATTAAAATTGGTTGCCACCCACGCCCTCAGGATACAGTTTTTCTCATTCTACCCTGCTGCAGATAAGACCTTTTTTCTTTAGAGGAGACTGGGTAGACAGGTCTGAATGGAGTTTCTGCTCCTTCTTTCAGCCAGCACACTTGAGAAGCTTGTCAGCATCCTCCTTATCTTCCTCATGAGCAGCGGGATGCCTGAAACAAACCAGGTGCATACCTCCCTATATCTGCAGCCCCTATGGATGTCCCACGGGTATGCTAGGCTGCACTAAGAAGTTTTAGCAATGTAGTTTAGCTTTTAGATACTTCCCTAGACACCAGGCTGGAGTGCAGTGGCTGCACCACATTCCATTATGGCTTACTGCAGCCTCAACCTCTCAGGCTCAAGCAGTCCTCTTGCCTCAGCCTCCCAAATAGCTGGGATTGCAAGTGTGAGCCACTGTGACCTTAATTCTGTCTCTAGCTAGCAGAATCTAGCAGAATCTTCTTACCCACTTATATGGCATCAGGTGACATCTGCTCAGGTAAGCAAATGCTCAGATTTGTTTTTCCTGGATGTCTGCAGACATACATCTCTCTCTAGAGTCCATGTTAGTTCTTTGCCCTGCAATCTTGGTTTTCTGATGATCTCAAAGAAAAGCAATTAATTTTCAATTTGTCCAGATTTTTTTTTTTTTGTAAAAGTGGGAGAGATGCTCTTCCCAGTACTTTGTATCTCTGAGCTCAGTTGCTGGTATAGTTAGATCAGAACCTTCCCTCAGTTGCTATCTGTCTGTGTCCAAGGATTTGGCATGGAAACAAATGATTCTGTGTTCCCTACTTCTCTTCTGCCAAAGCTTCTATTGGAATTTCTACCTGCCTCCTTCAAATAGCTAACCCCATGTGATGGCAGAATTTTGCAGAAGGCTACATGCTGCGGATATATCATAGACACTGCTGAGGCAGAAAAGCAGTGTACTATCAGATTCCTCTGAGCATCTGAAATCAGCTTTCAAAATGTCAAACAGCCTTTTGATGCTCTGCTGCTCCCATGAGCAACATTATAATTTTCCTCTGAGGGAGACTGAGGGCATGGAATTGGTGCTAGTCTTTATCCAGATAGGTCAATACGGTATTTATTAAACACCCATTATGCACCTCAGGTGATTCTGGGCTCTATGGAGGTCTATGGACCATGACCCTTGTTAAATTGAGATTAGCCTAAAGCTGCCTCCTTACATATTTGAAGTTTGACCTAAAAGTTTCTCTGTCCATAGTGAACTGTAACCTGCATGGGTGTGTAAACAGACTGTAACCTACTCTTGTGCCAATCACTGAGTTTCAGCCAATCAAAAGCGGCCAGCTGTTCAAACCCTGTTCAAATAAGGCAAATGCTGAGCTGTAACCAATCCAGAGATTTCTATACCTCACTTCCATTTTCTCTACATCACTTTCCTTTTTCTGTCCATAAATCTTCTTCCACCACATTGCTGCACTGGAGCCTCTCTGAATCTATTCGGGTTCAGGAGTTGCCAGATTCAAGAATTGTTTTTTACTCAGTTAATATCTGTTCAATTTAATTTGTCTAAGTTTTATTTTTTATTTTATTTTTTTTTAAACACTCTGTTCTCAAACTTTTGGGTGAGAAAGGCAGTAATCCAGGCCCTTAGCTATGTGGGTTAAAGTGCTCATAGATTACAGCTGCCAGGATAGTCTCTAAAACTATCAAGCTCATAAGTGAGAAGACTCTTAGCCTTGTAAATGTAGCCCAAGCAAGATCTCAGATATTCACCAGCAGTAGGTAGGCTACCGCTCATTTATTTCTGATAGATCCCCTGACTTCCCTGTTACTAATCTAAGCTTATTTCATGGCAATGACAACTTGGCTTTTAGACAACGTGGCTGCACTGCACTCCATCACGGCTCACTGCAGCCTCAACCTCTCAGGCTCAAGCAATCCTCCTGACTCAGCCTCCCAAATAGCTGGGATTGCAAATGTGAGCCACCGTGACCTTAATTCTGTCTCTTTCTTCCAAGACAGAATCAAATACTTACACTTCTCCAATGATGACTTCTCAGTGATGAACTCCATACACTCAGTTTCATGTTTGTTATAGTCTCCACGTCTCTTTTCCATTTTATTTTATAATTGCATTATACTGATCTAGCTGTCTGTTATAGGGTAACCTTGCATCACCTCTCAGTGGCCCATAGATGGCTGGCACCACTGAATCCCAAGATGCCTCCCTTTCTTGTATCTCTCTTTCTGATGTCAGCTATAGAGTGGCATTTAGAGGCCCAGGAAGCAAAACAAGAGGACGGAGTCATGGGAATTGGTGATATAAAAATGAGACACTGTTGTGGAGAAATAGGAAGACAATCTCTGGAGAACTGGGCTTCTGGGTTGATACTCAAGAAAACAAATCCTGTCTCTACTAAAAATACAAAAGTTAGCTGGGCGTGGTGGTGCATGCTTGTAATCCCAGCTACTTGGGAGGCTGAGGCAAGAGAATCACTTGAGCCCGGGAGGCAGAGGTTGCAGTGAGCCAAGATCGCACCACTGCACTCCAGCCTGGCAACAGAGTGAGACTCCATCTCAAAAAAAAAAAAAAAGAAAAAGAAAAAAGAAAACAAACCATAACAAGCAGAGTGACAAGGTGGTTAGAGGCATGATATTTGGAGTTATACCAATGTGGATTCCAATGCAAGCTCCACCCATTACTAACTGGGTGACTTTGAGAAAATGACTCAACACCACTGAGTCTCAACTTCATTGCTGTAAATGAGGATCACACTGTATGTTTGAGTTAAAGCACTTGGCACACCATCTAGCCCATAAAACATACTCAATAAATTTAAATAGCTTTTATAATTATAACTGATACTGTAAGTGGGCTTTGGAATGGCAAAGGCAGATGGCAAATGGCAAAGGAAAGAGTCCAGTTGCTAACACAGTGAAGCCACAGTTGGAAAAAGAAGAGAAACAAGATTAAATTTCTGCCCAGCTGAATGCTTCATTCACATAGACTTCTGGCTGAACTGCAATGTAGCCCAGGTGAGACATTTCAACAACCTCGTGTTCTTCTGCTTCTGGTCCATTTTTCTTTGCTGATGCAGAAGGAAGGATAGACGCTAATATTTCCTAAAGCCTCCTATGCACCAGCCACCATGCTAGGTACTTTTACTTGCATTCTTCTTTATTTATCACTTGCCTTCCCCTCTATTGTCCCAGCCTCCATAGCAGTCAATGAAGAGGCCGGGGCACTGGTATCATAAACTCCTTTCTGAATACTCATTCGAGCAAGCCGTCTACACTACTCACTGAATGTGTATTAATGTGAGAATCCTGCTGGGTGGATGTAGACATTCACTCCCTCAAAGTTTTCCTGTAAGTTAGCTCCCAGAACATTCTGCCTTAGGGTATTGCTATTGCAGTCACATGCCAGAATGATAAATAATCTGAACAAGCTTTCTCAGGTGCAATATTTATGGTTGAGTTTGAAGCAAAGAACAGTCAGAAGCAGTGGGGAAAAACTAATTTACTGTAATGTCACCCTGGATATATAGCAAATAGCTGTAAACAAGTATGTACAACATAATTAAAACTATGATAACATTATAAAATAGGATGATGGCTAGTTAGAGAGGAAGATCTATCAAGTAGGAACCCGTGTATATCACTTGAAATATTGCCTCAATTACTTCAAGTCGTCAGCTCCGGCTCCTCATCTCAAAAACAATCCTTACAAATGCAAACTTAAAATGACAAGTGCTGTTCGTTTCTAGCCCTGGTTTCCTTTCCTTGTACCTGTCCACAGGAATTGCTCTTCAGCATCTGTTGAACAAACATCAGCAAGACAAGGATAATACTCAAATTTCTTTTTTTTTTTCTGAGACCGAGTCTCACTGTGTTGCCCAGGCTGGAGTGCAATGGCGTGATCTTGGCTCACTGCAACCTCCACTTCCCGAGTTCAAGCGATTCTTCTGCCTCAGCCTCCTAAGTAGCTGGGATTACAGGCACCCACCACTATGCTCAGTTAATTTTTGTATTTTTAGTAGAGACAGGGTTTCACCATGTTGGCCAGGCTGGTCTTGAACTCCTGACCTCAAGTGATCTGCCCGCCTCAGCCTCCCAAAGTGCTGGGATTACAGGTGTGAGCCACTGTGCCTAGCCTATACTAAAACTCTACCTTGTCTCATCCCTGACTCCTCAGTGGATCTTAGCATAAAAGCTGAGCTAGAGAAAGCATCCTTAAATACCCCAAGGTAAAACACCCAGGAATACGTATGCACAAAAGCATGTGGGGAAAATAAAAGCCAGTGGAATGGTTCATTAATAAACACAATTAATTTACTTATACCGTTCCAGCAGATGAAACAATTCTCTGATTGCAAAGCAGCTCAGACAATCAGCGGGTAATGTGAAAAACCAAGGCTTCCTGGTGATCCCACAAGAGAGATAAGCTGGATCTCTCCTGGCTGAGCTGTGGATTTTCCAGCCCTGCCTTTTGCCCAGCCCTGTGTGTCAGCCCTTGCACACATAGCTCTAGGTTATCAAAGAAAACCTTTTAAAATCTTACAGAACTTAGAGAGGAGATATTATCTCTAACTTGTGAACCACTCCGTCCAAGCTATTCCCTGTGTCTGACTTCTGGTTCCTTCCAGCTATGAAACTTTCGTTTTTCTCCCCTTCCTTAATACCTCAATGCAAAGACAAAGCACTTAGCTCACTTTTCATAGCTATAATCAGGGTTCTTCTCACTCATTTACTGCTTTTTATTATCTGTAGCAGCTTGAGGAACCACTCCTACCTGATGAATTCAGTATCTAGAACTTTCTATCATTCATTTATTTGAAGTGCAACTTCCCCAAAGCTTTTCTTCAGCTCTGGTTCCTCAAGTAAAGATCAGGCACCTGTTGCCTACCTGTTTTGTTTAGGTAGGCATACCTAAACAATACTAAGTAAATTTATGAGTATGTTTTGTTTAGGTTTTCTATAGGATGCCCTGGTGCTCCCAGCCAACCCAATTTTCTGCTGCTATCCTTACTATATGCAAATTCTGAATTAATACAATACATATTTTCATTGTCCTTACCATGACTTACTGGAAATATTCTTTCTCTTTCCTTTCATTCATTCAGATGTTGCCCAAACTGCCTGTTCCAATTCCAATTTATCTCTTTTATAAAACTACCCTCACTTGTCTGTCCTCAGCCAAGCTCTTTGTTTATTTGTTTTGTTTTGTTTTGAGATGGAGTTTTGCTCTTATTTCCCAGACTGGAGTGTAGTGGCACAGTCTCAGCTCACTGCGACCTCTGCCTCCTGGGTTCAAGCAATTCTCCTGCCTCAGTCTCCCAAGTAGCTGGGACTACAGGCATGCGCCACCACCATGCCTGGCTAATTTTTGTATTTTTAGTAGAGATGGGGTTTCACCACTTTGGACAGCCTGGTCTCGAACTCCTGATCTCAGGTGATCCACCCACCTCAGCCTCCCAGAGTGCTGGGAGCTCTTGTTTTACTAAGTCAATAATTTATTATTGCATTATATTTCCTCACAAGATTTAAAGTTTCCTGAGAACAAGGATCACATCTCAGAATGTTTCTTCTCTTAATGCCTAATAAAAATGTCAGCCCACAGTGGGCACTCAACAAACTCTTTTGATTGAACTAGGAGTAATGTTTGGCAATTATAGGATTTCATCTGGGAGCCATATAAAAATAACTTTCTAGCAATAAATGTTGGACCAAACAAAGAATTAATCTGTGTATCAATTGGGGTTTCATTCAGGGACCACCAAGGATGGGTATCCTGTTGATCACCCTCTGGATTTGGACTGAGGTTCGAAGTCCTCAGTCTTACCATTGAAGGAGAGAAGCAATGATCAATTGGGAAGTCAGGAAGAGTAGATAAAAAGAATAAGAGCTCACACTCACTGCATGATACCTATCAGGGACAGTTCAGGGCACTTTACATTTAGTAAATTATGTAATCTATACAGCAACCTTAGGAGGTTTATCACTCCATTTTTTAAATGAAGAAATAAGAGACGGAGAGGTTAAGCAAATGGCCTAAGGTCATGGAGCTACGAAGTTGTGTGTTAGTCCATTTGTGCTGTTATAACAAAATACCTGAGACTGAGTAAAGAAGAAGAATTTCTTTCTTGTAGTTCTAGGGGCTGTGAAGTTCAAGATCAAGAGCCCAGGAGATTTAATGTCTAGTAAGGGCTCACTGCTTCTAAGATGGCATCTGGTGGCTGTGTTCTCACATGGAAGGAGAGTGGAAGAAAGGAACCCACTCCCTCAAATCCTTTCATAACAGCTTTAATCCCATTCATAAGGCTTCTAATCTTATGACTTAATCACCTCCTAAAGGCCCCAACTCTCAAATCACATTGAGTTTCAACATGTAAATCTGGGGGGACACATTCAGACCATAGCTTTCCACCCTTGGGCCCCAAATTCATGTTCTTCTTACATGCAAAATCCATTCCTTCAATTCCAGTAGTCCCCAAAGTCAACTAATTCCAGTAGTCATTCAAAAGTTCAAAGTCCATATGTACTAGGGTTCTCTAGAGGGACAGAGCTAATAGGATACATATATATAAAGGGTAGTTTATTAAGGAGTATTGACTCACAAGATCACAAGGTCCCACAATAGGCCATCTGCAAGCTGAGGAGCAAGGAAGTTAGTCTGAGTCCCAAAGCTGAAGAACTTGGAGTCGGATGTTTGAGGGCAGGAAGCATCCAGCACAGGAGAAAGACTGAGGACGGGAGATAAAGCCAGTCTAGTCCTTCCACATTCCTCTGCCTGCTTTTATTTTGGCTGTGCTGGCAGCTGATTAGATTGTGCCCACCCAGATTGAGGGTGGGTCTGCCTTTCCTACTCCACTGACCCAAATGTTAATCTCCTTTGGCAACACCCTCACAGACACACCCAGGAACAATACTTTGCATCCTTCCATCCAATCAAATTGACACTCAATATTCACCATCACACCACAGTTTTATCAAAATCAGGTATGAGTAATACTCAAGGTAAGATTCTAAAGCAAATACCCAGACTCAAGTCTTTCGTTTTAACAGCACAAGGACTCTCCTAAGCCAAATAACTGTCTAGCTGTGAACCTGTGAGATTAAAAATGTATATACTTCCAAAATACGCTGATGGGACAGGCATAGGGTAGACATTCCCATTTCAAAAGGAAACAGGAGAAAAGAAGAAAGAGATAACAGGTCCAAAGTACATCCAAATCCTAATAAGGCAAACAACATCAAATCTTGAGGTTTGAGAATAATCTTCTTTGACTCTATGTCCTGCCTTCTGGACACATTATTTCCCTGGAAAAACCTGATATCAAATCAATATCACTAAGGCAATAAAGTTATAAGCCCTCAAAGATAAAGAAAAGAAGTGAAAGCATGGCCAAGCAAAAAATATCTACTTTCTTTTACAAAGAACAAAATCAGGCCAAGTATTAAACAATCAAAACTGTTATAAACAATGACAACTTGGAAATTAGATAATTAACTGAAAATAAAAGCAAAAAGAAGAAATTCATCAAAAGGTAATATTGCTACCCTGGTTTATTCATCTTTTATAATTGGGCATCAAATTACATTATTTGAAACTGATCAATTAAGTATATTTTTAAAACAAATAATAACATAAAGTCAGAAAAAAGGGAATTCCAGCTGGGCATGGTGGCTCATGCCTGTGTAATCTCAGCACTTTGGGAAGCCTAAATGAGCGGATCACCTGAGGTCAGTAGTTCCAGACCAGCCTGGCCAACATGGTGAAACCCCATCTCTACTAAAAATACAAAAATTAGCTGAGCCTGGTGGTGGGCACCTGTAATCCCAGTAATCCCAGTTACTCGGGAGGCTGAAGCAGGACAATTGCTTGAACCCAGGAGGCAGAAGTTGCAGTAAGCCGAGATCGCACCACTGCACTCCAGACTGGACGACAAGAGAGAGACTCCCTCAAGAAAGAAAGGGAGAAAGAAAGAGAAAGAAGGGAGGGAGGGAGGGAGGAAGGAAGGAAGGAAGGAAGGAAGGAAGGAAGGAAGGAAGGAAGGAAGGAAGGAAGGAAAGAAGGGAGGGAAGGAATTCCCATTACTGCTTATTTTAATTAGGCAAATGGGAATTTTTGCACTGTTTTCCCATCAGGATAAAGGAAAATGTATTTAGATGAAGTCTAAATGAATGGATGCTATATTTGCATATGGGATGCAAGAAAATGAGAGATGAGCTTGGATCACCTATTCCTGTGGAGTTTGAGTGATATCTCTTACTGATTTTTTGTTGAATCTGGGAGCCACAAATGGAAGTCTTCTCATATTTAATGCTGTGGGGCTAGGGGGAGAGTGAGAGACAAGGTGCAGACTCCAAATAAAGGATAAAAAGGAAATCAAAGATGCCAAGGTGGAAGTGAAGCAAAACAGGTGAATGGATGATAAGTTTGGAAAAAAAACTTAAATAGGATATGAGCAACTGCAAACTTTTTTTTTTTTTTTGCTTGTTCTTTTTTTAGACAGAGTCTTGCTCTGTCGCCCAGGCCGGAGTGCAGTGACACAATCTCAGCTCACTGCCACCTCCACCTCCTGGGTTCAAGCGATTCTCCTGTTTCAGCCTCCCGAATAGCTGGGATTACAGGTACGGCCACCATGCCCGGCTAATATTTGTATTTTTAGTAGAGACAGGGTTTCCCCATGTTGGCCAGGTTGATCTCAAACTCCTGACCTCAGGTGATCTGCCTGTCCCGGCTTCCCAAAGTGCTGAGATTACAGGCATGAGCCACTGCACCCAGAGGAGCAACTGCGATGGTTTTATACACAATTCAAGGGCCAGATTAGGGTTGAATAACCTTACACCATTGCCAAAATCATTTCCTTCAGTGCCAAGAGCTACTCAATCTCCTCCCTGTACTTCAAGGTCCAATTTATTACCTTCTCCTCTAAGAAGCCTTGATCATTGTGAGATGCAAGTGATATCACTGCCTTTGCATACTTATGCATACTCTTCTTCCTAGACTCAAGGACCCATTACTTTAAACACTCTCTTTACAATATTTTCTAATCCCGTATCCCTGTATTCATGTGCTCCAAGTGCCCTGCAAATGTTTTGAAGACAAAGGTAGTGAAATTGTCCATCCAATGTGGAGAATAAGAGTGGTAGCTGAACAGGCATTGAGAAAAATGTAGAATGACATTTAGATCTCAGCAGAGGTTAAAAGCAATACATTTTTAGGGACATGAAAAGGGCTGGCTGTGTCTAACAGAGATCTCTGCTTGAACCTAACAGGCTTTAGGAACCTCCTTACCTGGTTTTGAATTCTGGCTTGATCAGTTACTAGCTTTGCGGACATTTGAGTCATTTTACGTTCCTATTCACATGTTCATCTCGAAAATGGGGATTATAGTAGGTAGGTTACAGTCTTTTTTATTTATTTATTTAAAAGGAGTCTCACTCTGTCACCCAGGCTGGAGTGCAGTGGCACGATCTCGGCTCACTGCAACCTCCGCCTCCTGGGTTCAAGACATTCTCCTGCCTCAGCCTCCCCAGTAGCTGGGATTACAGGCGCATACCACCACGCCAGGCTAATTTTTGTATTTGTAGTAGAGACGAGGTTTCACCATGTGGGCCAGGCTACTCTCGAACTCCTGACCTCGTGATCCACCTGCTTCAGCCTCCCAAAGTGGTAGGATTTAAGGCATGAGCCACCATGCCCAGCCAGTCTTTTTTATCTGAAATACAAATTGTTCTGTGACCTTGCATCTCTCTCCAGCCAGCCCAACATCTCTTCTTTTTTCTCTGTCATCCGGTTTTTGAAACAGCACTTTATACTTTCTGCTTTTGTTTCTCTATCTCTTATTTGCTCTGTAAACAGCTACAACCTAAGGTCGCTAATAGTCTGCTCAAATGCCACCTTCTCAGTAAGACCCTTCTTAATCCCTCAATTTATAATGCCAACCGGCTCCAATTTAAAATAGCTTCACTCCTGGGCACGCTTCATCCTTCTTTTCTGAATTGTTTGTCTCCGTGGCAGTTACCAACTTCTAAAATACCATGTAATTCATTTATCTGTTTTGTCTATTATCTGCAATCCCCATGAGAATATAAGCTCTATGAAGGCTGGAGGTTTGTCTCTTCTGGTCAGTGCCAACAGCATCATTGATGTTAATAAGTATTTGCCAAATGAACATGTGTCCATCAGTCCTTAAGTTACTGAACCTCTGAAACATTCGATGCTATGTGTGCTTCTGTTAATGTCTCGCTATTGTCTTCTCTTTTAGATTCTGTGACACCCTCTCCCAGGTTTTCACCGTCACCTTGATGGCCACTTGCTCCCAATCTAGGCTGTCCCTTTCTCCTTTCACATGTTAAAAATCAAGATACCCCCAGGGTTGCATACTTGCTCCCTTCCTTGCTGTTTATTTTTTTCCTTTAGTCTGATTCATTCCATCCCAGTAGTCCCCAAAGTCAACTCATTACAGTAGTAATTCAAAACTTCAAAGTCCATATGTATTAGTCCTGCTATGTTCAGGGCTGCTACGTTCAGGTCTGTTCTAGGAGCTTTCTTTTTCTCTCTTTTTTGTTTTTGTTTTTGAGACGGAGTCTCGCACTGTCGCCTGGGCCAGAGTGCGATGGCGCGATCTCGGTTCACTGCAACCTCCGCCTCCTGGGTTCAAGCGGTTCTCCTGCCTCAGCCTCCCTAGTAGCTGGGATTACAGGCACACACCACCACAGTCAGCTAATTTTTTGTATTTTTAGTAGAGATGGGGTTTCACTCTGTTGGCCAGACTAGTCTTGAACTCCTGACCTTGTGATCCACCCGCCTCGGCCTCCCAAAGTGCTGGGATTACAGGCGTGAGCCACTGAGCCCGGCCTGTTCTAGGCGCTTTCTATGGATCAATTCGTAATCCTCACAGTAAACTGTGAAGTAGGTATTTACCCTCAATATCTCATTTTAGGCCCAGGCATGGTGGCTCATGCCTGTAATCCCAGCCCTTGGGCAGATCAAGGCAGAAGGATTTCTTGAGCTCAAGAGTTTGAGGACAGCCTAGGCAACATAGTAAAACTGTCTCTCTACAAAAAATAAGTAATAAAAATAAATTAGCCAGGTGTGGTGATGCACTCCTATGGTCCCAGCTACTCAGGAAGCTGAGGTGGGAGGATCAATTGAGCCCCAGGAAGTCAAGGAGGCACTGAGCTGTGATCATGTCACTGCACCCCAGGCTGGGTGACAGATCAAGGCTCTTTCAAAAAAAGAAAAAAAAAAAAAACTCATTGTCTGGATGAGAAAATTGAGGCACAGAAAGGTTAATATCTTACCCAAGGTCGCGAAGCTAGGAAGTGATACAGCAATGATCACTCTTGGGCAGCCTGGGTTCCGAGATCATGCATCTCTTAACCATTTGATAATGCTGGCCCTCCAGATAGACTCTGAACATGTCCACATCTGTATTTCCCAGCCTAGACCACTCCCCTGAGCTCCCAACCTAGGTGGTCCTTTTCTCCACTCACATGTTAAAAGTCAAAATAGATGGCTGGGCATGGTGGCTCATGCCTGTAATCCCAGCACTTTGGGAGGCCAAGGTGGGTGGATCACAAGGTCAGGAGATCAAGACCATCCTGGCCAACATGGTGAAACCTGTCTCTACTAAAATTACAAAAATTAGCTGGGTGTGGTGGCATGTGTCTGTAATCCCAGCTACTCAGGAGGCTGAGGCAGGAGAATTGCTTGAACCAGGGAGTTGGAGGTTGCAGTGAGCTGAGATCGTGCCACTGCATTCCAGCCTGGCGACAGAGTGAGACTCTGTCTCAAAAAAAAAAAAAAGAAAGAAAAAAGTCAAGATAGATGACCTCACCACATCTCAGACATACCTGAAACTCTATATAATAAAGGCTCAACTTCCCCCAAACCAGGAATTCCTTCTACTTTCCCCATTTTCATCAACAGCAACTCCAGCCACTTGAGCATCCACACCATAAGTTAGAAAATCAACCCGGAGGCTCTCCAGTCCCTTATCCCTAGAGCCATCCAATCAAGCAAGAGTTGATGTTAAATCTACCTCTTAACAACTGTAGAATTATTGACAAGCACTTCCATTGATCAGATCTGCTAATTCTCGGTAATCACTTCAGCGTCCTCACCACCTTTGATCCTGTTCTCCACACGGTCACTCTATACACTGGTGCTACAGTGAGCTTCCTAAAGTGCACATCTGATCACAGCCTTCTAGCGTCTTTCCTCTATCCAATTCCTTATTTTTGCCCCCAACGCAGAAATCTGGCTCTTGTAATCTGGCTTGGAATTCTGGCTCTTGTCCACCATAATCTCTCTCCTCTCTTTTCCTCCCTGCTCCCCTAAAAGTCCCGCTCCGAATCTCTGAGCAGGACAAGTTCTCACCTTGTATTTGGATATATTTAGGATTAAACTGATCTTCTTCACTTCTAGCTAGAAATTAACACATGCCCGGCACATAGTAGCTGTTTGTTCAGTAAACGAATAGTCACTTCTGCAGCAACGTTGCCTTTCCCCTACTTTCTGCTCCTCTAAGTCATCTATCTTTTTTCTTTCTTATCCTTGTAACCTGCACATCTATAAGTCATCTATCTTGGTAACCCCCATTTATTCTTCACAACTTAGTTACCCTCTCCAGGAAGCCATCTCTAACACTCTCTCACTCTCCCAAACTTGAGTGGTTAGGAGTCCTCGTCATAATTTGATACAAAGCTTATGGTTTGGATGGCAATTGCTAGTTTGTTTTTCTGCCCTTCACCCACACCACTACTCCCCAGATTAATCTATAATGAATTTTGCTCTACGAAGGATTGGTTGGTCTAAGAGAGACTTGCAGATGACACAAGTTTCCTAAGGATATTATAAAATACATTTGCAGGAAGTTGTATTTGTTTAGCAGGGCTGTCTTCGTGAGGACACTTTGGAGAAATGTCTTTTGTATTTTGGTGTCAAGAATAGCTTGGCAGTGCAACTTGTTAATGAACCCTGTGAATGCTACAGTTGATTAAGTTCTGTCTCCCCATGGGCCCTCTAGAAAACTTAGAGCTCATTGTAGTACATGTGTACAATTCCAGGGTTTACCTTTACTATTATTATAATAGCTATCATTTACTCAGGTTTACTGAATGCTTTATTTCATATTAATAATAAAGGCAAACATTTGTTCAGTGTTGACAATTGTTGAGTGTTTGCTAGGCTCTGTGTTAAGGAAATTAGCCTTGTGTCATATTTACAGTAACCACCAAGTTGGAAAGTTGTGTTTTGTGCACCCCTGAGTTGGTGGTTGCAAGTTGCACACCCCAAACTCAAGAGTGCACAAGACACATTTCTTCTTCTTATGTGTTCTTTGCTTTTCCAGGACTATGTGTATGTTTTGAGAGGCTTACTTGGTACCAAAGTACCAGCAGACAACCTGAGCTGGGGCTGGAGCCTCTGCTCCTAGGTGATTTCATCTGTCGTGGCTGCTATCCCACTAAGAAGTCTTCCTTTCTATGTAAACGTCAGTCACCTGTCCACAGATGACATTGTGTCTGGCCAATCTCCTGAAGCCCCCATTCTGCTACATGAACCCTGGGTTCTGATACCTCATTGGGTTCCACCAAGGGTGATGCCTGGTCCTCTTGCTTCCAGATCCCCCACTTTCTTTTTCCTTTGTTTTGTTTGTTTGTTTGTTTGTTTGTTTACAGATAAGTTCTCTCTTTGTTGCCCAGGCTGGAGTGTGGTAGCATGATCCTGACTCGCTGCAGTCTCAAACTCCTGGGCTCAAGCAATCCTCCCACTCCAGCCTACTCAATAGCTAGGAGAACAGTTGTGCCCCACCATGTCCAGATTTTTTTTTAATTTTTATTTTTTTTTGTAGAGATGGAGTGTTGTTATGTTGTCCAAGCTAGTCTTGACCTCCTGGCCTCAAGCGATCCTCCCACCTCAGCTTCCCAAGTGCTGGGATTATAGATGTGAGCCATTGCACCCTGCCCCAGATCCCCTTCATCTACGTGTGTCTTCTCATTACCTGCCACTGACAGCTCAGCCCAAGGGAGGGCAGGATGTGGGGTACCAGATTCAGAGACCCAACCAGTGTCTACTCTTCCTTTCCATGCTTACTTTTTCTCTTCCTGGGAATACATTTGAGTCTTTTTTTTTTTTTTGAGATGGAGTCTTGCTCTGTTGCCAGGCTGGAGTGCAGTGGCGCGATCTCGGTTCACTGCAACCTCCGTCTCCTGGGTTCAAGCGATTCTCCTGCCTCAGCCTCCCTAGTAGCTGGGACTACAGGTGCACCCCACCACGCCTGGCTAATTTTTGTATTTTTAGTAGAGACGGGGTTTCACCTTGTTAGCCAGGATGATCTCAATCTCCTGACCTCATGATCCGTCCGCCTCAGCCTCCCAAAGTGCTGGGATTACAGGCATGAGCCACCCCACCCAGCCACATTTGAGTCTTGATCGTGGGGTCTTGGGGGGAGGAAGAGCTGAATATATGTGTTTATCACTCTATGCATCTGGTGCTCTCAGCCTTGACTTTTGAGGCAATTACCAACAACTGATTGTTAATATTTGCTGTGCCATCCCTCTGAGTGCACATATGTGGAAAATATTCTAGCTGGCTGTGCACTGGAGGAGAGGCAGGAAGGTCCCCAAGACCATCCCCAGGCTTGATGATTTACTGGGAGGATTCATATGACTCAGATTCATGGCCATGATTTATTATAATGAAAGGATTCAAAGCAAATGGCACGAGTAAAGTCCGAGGAAATCAGTTGCAAGCTTCAAGAGTCTTCTACTGGGAAAGTCACAAAGGAGGCACTTAATTCTCCCAACAATGGGTTGTGACAGTGCGTGTGAAATGCCAACAGGGAAGTTCATTACAGACTCAATGTTCCAAGGTCTTTACTGGGGGCTGGTCACGTAAGCACCCTCTGCTTAACATGTACCAAAATTCCAGATGCCCAGCAGGAAAGCTGGCGTTCCTCATCAACCACATTGTTTGTACAAACAACTTAGACATAGTGAGCCACTCTTATCTGTTAGGGACAGGTGGGAACCCTTGCAAACTCCAAGTTCCCAGATGCCGCCAAGGGCCAACCTTGTAAGCATGTCTTTCAAAGGACAGCAGTTAGGCCTGCTAAGGGGACTCTGTTCTGCAGACAAACTAAATGGGGAATGTGAAGAGTCCAGGAAAGTGTTATGTCTGTGTTGGGGTGTGGAGTGGAGAGGAAAGAAGGAAAGCCAGGGGACAGACCTCAATTACTATTTCAAAATATTTTCATGCCACAGATTTGTTTCTTCTATTTTATAGATAAGCCAATGAAAGCTCAAAGAACTTAAGGGAATGCATATAAAGCTAGGAGGCATAGGCTTAAATCTAGGCCTGTCTGAACTCAAGTCCATATTCCCAACTGCTCACCATTCCTGTCTCTATTCCATGTCCTTCCCCTTCCTATCCTTATGATCCATCCTGAATCTCCTATATTATCTTCCTGCACAGTGGCTCACACCTGCAATTCCAACACTTTGGGAGGCTGAGGGAGGATGATTGTTTGAGCCCAGTAGTTTGAGACTTGCCTGGACAACACAGCAAGATCCCATCTCAAAAATATAAAATAAAACAAGAAATAATTATTCTTTTAAATCACCTTAATTTTTTTGTAAAACATGGTGGAAAATACACTAAATTCCTTGAGTATTCTCATTAGACTCTCTACCCAGATTATAAGCTCCTTGAAGGTAGACATCATGTCATCTTTCTCATCCTCATGATTTAAATAAAGGAATGATAGCACTTGAGAAATGGAAGAACTCAAGACAGAAATACAGTGCATCTGAAAGCACCAGCAATAGAAAGGAGGATGCTGGGATGTCCTCGATGCCTGGTGATGCCACCTCTCCCACCTGACCCTGCTTCCAATTTAGTCACCTTGACCAGGCTCCATCTACTTATGTAGGTGGGGTTCAGTGAGACCATTAATAAGCCATCTATTTATATCAGAGACCTATCCTCCTTAAATGAGAAAACCATTTCACACTTACCTACATTAGCATTGGCCACATCCAGGATAAAGGCTCAAGGGAGGGAAATTAGATAAAGAATGAAGGAATTAGTAGGCTGGGCATGGTGGCTCATGCCTATAATCATAGCACTTTGGGAGGTGGGATGATCGCTTGAGGCTATGTGTTCAATACCAGCCTGGGCAACATAGTGAGACCCTGTCTCTACAAAAAATAATACAAAGAAAAACTCGCTGGGTGTGGTGGCATGCACCTATAGTCTCAGCTACTCAGGAAGCTGAGGTGGGAGGATTGCTTGAGCCCAGGAGGTCGAGGCTGCAGTGAGCTGTGATGGTGCCACTGCACTCCAGCCTGGGTGAAAGAGTGAGACCTGTCTCTAAGAAAAAACAAAAACAAAAGCAAAACATTATTAACAGGCTCCTACAAGTAGCAAGAGCTGCCAGTGAGTGTTCTCTTGGCTTGGCCTTGGCACCTGCTACCTCTAGCATCCTGTGTTTGTATGCTGCAGGCATAGGGAATATCCAGTTCATGTATTTGAACTTGCTATCACATTTTTGCATACAGATAACACACAGAGCCTCTGATTTCTCAGCAAAGAAAAACTAGGAAACTGGGAGCAAAGGTCTACCTTCCCAAACTATAGGCAGTCATCCACAATGACAAATTATTTGAGGAATCTGTAATCAGTAGATTGAAAGGAACCATCAGTAATGTATATAGCACGCGCCCAAGAGAGGGAGCAAATTGTTGGCTGGAGAATTTTGTTTTTAATTAAACAGGTAATGTATGCTTGCGTTTAGTCCTATAAATGAAAACGTATTCACTACAGAGGCATGAATCCTATTAGGCCTTCCTGTACATAAACTGTATGGGTGATTACCACTGATTACTGTACTATTAGAGACCTGTGCATGGAGTGGCTTGATTGTAGCCTGCCTGGCTCCTGAAAGGGTTCCCGTGTGTTTTGTCTGAATTGTAGAGAATCAGTAGGGCTGCAGATTGCCTGGCAATTCAATTGCGGGTTTGGATAGTTGTGCGTAGGGGTTACAAATGCATACCATCAAATAGAACTCTTTCTTTCTTTCTTTCTTTCTTTCTTTCTTTCTTTCTTTCTTTCTTTCTTTCTTTCTTCTTTCCTTTTTCCTTCTTTCTTCTTTTTTGTTCTTTCTTCTCTCTTTCTTCTTTTTTTTAGACAGAGTCTTGGGTCTTACTCTGTCACGCAGGCTTGAGTGCAGTGACCCGATTATGGCTCACTGCAACCTCAAACTCCTGGCCTCAAGCGATCCTCTCACCTCAGCCACCCAAGTAGCTGGGACTACAGATGCACCACCATACCCAGCTGATTTTTGTATTTTTTGTAGAGACAGGGTCTCGCTCTCTTGCCCAGGCTGGTTGCAAACTCCTGGGCTCAAGTGATGCTCCCATCTTGGCTTCCCAAAGTGCTGGGATTATAGGCACGAGTCACCCACCATGCCTGGTCTAGAATTCTTTCTTTATACAGGCCAAAGAAAGAGAAAAGAGGTCTATCAGGGAGAAAGTGGTATCCAGGAGGCTCCAGGAGCCTCTCACCTTGAGCATAAATTGGATAAGCAGACTTCTCCTGGCAGGTACCTATCCATATCATTTGACATAGTCATCCTAGTGGTCTCAGTGGCTATAGTCACTTCTACTTTGTAGAATTCCTAAAACTCACGCCTTCAATACAGGATGTTCACTCTAGACATTTGTGTCTCATTTTGGAAATCATGAAAGGCAATAGACCTGTGAACTAAACTAAATTTATCTGTTTTTTCCCCTCACATACCTCTCCTTTCTGACCCTTCAACTGGCTCTACAAGCTGCCTCTGACCACATCACATCCCCTGAAAACCCACCCATCTCATCTATGCTCCTCTTTCCCATAGACATTGGCTCTTTGGCCCTTACATGTGTGTTCATCAAAAAACACTTGCACTACACAAAAAGCCACATTTTGGATGATTCCCTTCACAGGAAATAGCCAAAATAGGCAGGTCCATTGAGACAGAAAGCAAATTAGTTTTTGCCAAAAGCTGGAAGAGAGAGGAATATGGAATGACTGCTTAATGGGTGCAACATCTCCTTTTGGGGTGATAAAAATTTTCTGGAGTTAGATCGTGGTGATGGCTTCACATTTTGAATGTACCTAATGACACTGAATGGCAGACTTCAAAATGGTTACAATAGCACATTTTATGTCATGTATATTTTATACCACCACCACCACCATAAAAACACTTGCTCCAACGTGAGGCTAGTTTATACAAAAACAATTAGAATTGAGCTGCGACTATACTTCGTAATCCCATGCTTTTAATCAAGTTCTTCAAATCCTGAAGTCAAAGGAGCGATTGGTAGTGGAAATTTCAGACTATAACAGGAACTAGAATAGATAGTCCAGAGTATCTGTGGTCCTTGACCTTCAATTGCACAACTGTGGAGCATTCATTATTTGTTTTGCATATAAATTGTGTGAGAATGTTCTCTCTCTTTCTCTCTCTCTCTCTCTCTCTTTCTGTCTCTCTCTCAGATTTCCAAGTTGGGAGGAAGAGCGTTTGCATGGAAAATTGTTGCTGGCTAATCCAACAAACTCAAAAGCTTGGCAGGCCCGGTCCTCTTCTACTGAATTACTAAATCGAGGTTCTGTCTCCAGCCAGCCAGCAACACCTGCTCTGCTTCTCCTTGGCTGAAACTTACCCCTTTGTACACAGACGTCTACTCCCCTCTCCCTCTCTCTCCCCATAGCCTCCTGCATACACTGTGAGCCCCCCTCACCTGCTCCCCACTTCTGAATCTGTCAGAGAGAAATTCTCAAATCATTAAAAACATAACTTTCTTACAAATGGATAATGAATACATGTCAGAGTTTTATTTAACTCTTTGTTGAAAAAAACAGCAGAATGACAGAACTGATTTGATGGAGTAGGGAAACTGGGATTTATTTTTTCTTTTTAAGAGACAGGATTTCCCTCTGTTGCCCAGGCTAGAAGTGCAGTGGTACAATCATAGCTCAATGCAGCCTCAAACTCCTGGGCTCAAGTGATCCTCTTGCCTCAGCCTCCCAAGTAACTGGGACTACAGGTGTGTGACATCAGGCCTGGCTAGATATTATTTTTTTGTAAAGACAGCGTCTTGCTATGTTGCCCAGGCTGGTCTCGAGCTCCTGGCCTCAAGCAATCTTTCCACCTCAGCCTCCCAAAGTGCTGGGATTACAGGCATGAGCCACTGTGTCTGACCAGAAACTGGGAATTTTACAATCTGAAAGGAAACTAAGGCTAAGGAAGACTGCCAAGTTAGGTACAAAACTAGTTAATGTTCTACAGAGCAATAAAAACCTTTAGGGTTTCTTCCCGGGAGGCAGAGCTTGCAGTGAGCCGCGATCGCGCCACTGCACTCCAGCCTGGGCGACAGAACGAGCAGACTCCATCTCAAACAAACAAACAAACAAACAAAAAAACCTTTAGGGTTTCTTTTTTGAGATGGAGTTTCACTCTTGTGGCCCAGGCTGGAGTACAATGGCATGATCTCGGCTCACCGCAACCTCTGCCTCCCGGGTTCAAGCCATTCTCCTGCTTCAGCCTCCTGAGTAGCTGGGATTACAGGCATGTGCCACCATGCTCAGCTAATTTTGTATTTTTAGTAGAGACAGGGTTTCTCCATGTTGATCGAGCTGGTGTCAAACTCCTGACCTCAGGTGATCTGCCCATCTCAGCCTCCCAAAGTGCTGGGATTACATGTAGGCCAACATAGTAAAACCCCATCTTTACTAAAAATACAAAAATTAGCTGGGCATGGTAGCACACACCTGTAATCCCAGCTATTCGGGAGGCTGAGGCAGAAGAATCACTTGAACCTGGGAGGCGGAAATTGCAGTGAGCCGAGATCGCACCACTGAATTCCAGCCTGGGCAACAGAGTGAGACTCTGTCTCAAGAAAACAAAAGATACTCAAGAATATATGCTTTTAGCTGTTTCCATCGGGTCCCTTTATGTCTCCATCAGAACGAGAAGTGTGGCATTCTCAATACCTCTACCATGCTAGGAGCCGAGGGTATGCTCCTTAATAATGATGACACCAAGCCTCTATTGACTGTTCACTCTTGCCAAGCTCTGCCTTAACTACTTTGCAAGGATTGTCTCCTCCCTCATTCTGCACACGTTTTAGTAATTCCTGCTTGCAACTTACAGCATGAGCTAAATAGCTTCATGTTATATGTCTATTGATATTCGCAGTCTGGGAATTCACTCACTTTTTGTTGCTGACAACATCAGTAAAGTGAACATCCATGTTGATGGTATGACAGTACTTGGACTTTCTCAACTGGAAGTAGGTCAGGTTTGCCTTTGGTTCCTTCAGCCACACCTACGAGGCCCCTGTTTCCCATTCTAAGGATCATTCTTTTCAGGAATCATGAGACTTCAGGATCTTGCTCCTGTTGAACTCCAACTAAAGGAACCTGCTGCAAGTCTGCAGTTACCTGAGTGTGAATCTCAGCTCCAGGAGTTTGTGTTGGAATCCACATCTCTCACTGAGGTTGTTAAGGCTTGGTTTTCTTCTTTATGAATTCCAGGTACCCAATAACAGGCTTGAGGAAGGTATGGTCTTAAAGGTGTGATAGCAAGACTTTGCCAGGGCATTTGAAGCCCCATTCTATACATTCGTCTCTGAAGGCTGACTTCCATGTAGAGCACAGACATCATAGATGAACAAGCTGAGATATGAATACATTTAGAAGAAAAAGGAGGAATTGCTGTGTCCTGTGCGGAAATGGTTAGTTCCTTTCCCTTCCCGACTTTTCATACCTTATTAAGTTCCTTTTAGTAATTTTTATTCATTGTCTCACCCTACCCATTGGCTATACACCCCTACTTGTCACTGTTATATTGCAAGTTGAGTTCAATATCTCCCCCTTATTGTAATAGTCTTTAATAAAGCTTTCCTTGCCATTTTTACCAACTATCAGAATAATTTTCTTTCAGTGATGCTCATGGCCTGTAATCCCAGCACTTTGGGAGGCTGAGGTGGGCAGATTATATTTACGCTAAAGCTTTTACCCCAAGAACTATCTTGATGGCATGGCCTGGGTGCAGCCGATTTGAAACAAAAGGAAGCTGGAGAAGCAAGAGCTGTTCTGTCACTTGCTACTACCTCTGAATGTCTCTGGGACAATGACCATAGAGACTTTTATGGCCCTGGCAATGACATCTGCAGCCAAGGGCTAAGAGGACACCCCAAGCCCCACACACCTGAGAGACCATCTGTAAAGCAAGCAGAAGGTCAAACAGGAAATATAATTTTAGCTCATAATGACGAATCCCATCAATGACAGCAGTTCCTCTTGCTTGCCAGACAGAGCCTCAGGTCCTGCATTGAAGAGATCACTAAACAGTCCAAGATGATCAGCCACTTGCCAGCAAGTGTTCTTGAAAGCTTTTCTTCCTGGGGCTGGAAAGGCTCCCAGAAGCACAACTAGAGCTGTGAAGCCTGCTTTCTAACAAAGGCTGCTAAGGAAGACAGAAAGCCAGGTGGGCCTGTCCAACCCACTTAGTCCAGGTGGGACAGGTACCAAGCATGTCACGCTTTCTTAATTAACCATTCACTGCTGCCTTGCACAGACTAAAGCTGTAATTTCCCAAGACTATCCAAGGTGACATAGGCTCCTCTTCTAAAGGCATTAATTGGGAACATCTCATTCCCCGTGGCAGGGGTGGAGCAGATCTTTCCAACTGGAGTGTGTATTTATTTAGAGCTATTACCACATAATATTTACAAGATACTTAACATGCATTAATTACCCTGTAATGAACTCTGTGGCTACAATATCAATGTTCTGTCAGGACTGTAAAATGTCCCTACACATACACATGCACACTTTTTTATCACCTCAGGGAATAAATGAAAAATTAAAATTAATTGCATGCCTATTAAATGCTTATTTTTAATAGAAAATGTGCAAATGATGTGAAAATGCAAAATAGGGTACACAGTAAATGAAAAGCAGATAACACATACTTCTAGACACACTCTACTGTTTTTATGAGCATGTTTTACAATCCATTCATTATTCTGTCTGTCCTTCTGAAAGCTAGTTATTATATTGCTCATACAAAGAAACATGTGAATGGCTGTGCAACAAACCATGAAAATCAGAACAAAACTGAACATTTCTGCTGCTATTTGAACCCGCCTCCCTCAAATCTCTGCCAGGAGAATTCTTACAGGAGGTTTATCCCAACAACACCCACTCAAAGCCTGTAGAAGAGAGAGAAGGGGAAGACTAGCTATGGTAGCTCAAGATTCAAGTTACTCTTGTCTGAATATTTTTATCTCCCCAAAATGGACATGATGAAACCTAATCTTCAGTGCAATAGTATTAAGAGGTGGGACCTTTGGGAGGTGATTAGGTTATGAGAGCTTTGCCTCCATGAATAGAATTAGTATAGTTATTGTTGTTATTAGTACTATTTTAGAGACAGAGTCTTGCTCTGTCACTCAGGCTGGAGTGCAGTAGTGTGATCATAGCTCACTGCAGACTTAGACTCCTGGGCTTGAGCCATCCTCTTGCCTCAGCCTCCTGAGTAGCTGGGACTACAGGCACACACCACCATGCCCTGCTAATTATTATTATTATTATTATTATTATTATTATTATTATTTTGTAGAGACGAGACCTTGACCTTGCTATGTTGCGCAGGCTGGTCTTGAACTCCTGGTTTCAAACAATCGTCCCTCCTCAGCCTCCCAAAGCTCTGGGATTATAGATATGAGACATCACCCCCAGCCCTGGGATTGGTACCCTTATAAAAGAGGCCTGAGGGACCCCATTTTTCTCTTCTACCATGTGAAGGTATCAAGCAAGGAGGCACCTTCTGTAAGGAATAGACCTTCACCAGATACCCAATCTGCTGGTGACTTGATCTTGGACTTCCCAGCCTCCAGAACAGTGAGCAATAAATTCTATTGTTTATAAATTACCTAGTCTAAGACATTTTGTTATGGCAGCCTAAACAGACTGAGACAGTGGTTAATCAAGGAATGGTCAGCAACCATCTTATTTCTTCAGATGACAGAATTTTCTCTGGAGGCAAGGAGATGAGGTAAGAGAATAAGAGTTGTACAGAATAATCCGCATCATAGAATCACAGGTGATCACTGCTACATATCCCTCCCCAAATATAAGTAATTTTTTTTAAGACAGTCTCACTCTGTTGCCCAGGCTGGAGTGCAGTGGCACAATCTTGGCTCACTGCAGCCTCAGCCTCCTGGGCTCAAGCAATCCTCCCATCTCATCCTCCCAAGTAGCTGGGGCTACAGGCATGCACCACCACACCTGGCTAATTTTTGTATTTTTATAGAAATGGGGTTTAGCCATGTTACCCAGGCTGGTTGCAAACTCCTGAGCTCAAGCAATCCTCCTGCCTTGGCTTCTCTAAGGGCTGGGATTACAGCCACCATGCACAGCCTATAAGTCATTTTTATATTACCCATGGCATGTCACCATCCAGGCTATATTTCAATGATATGGGCACCTTAACTGAATGAACAGAGTTTAACTGATTTAGTTTTCAGAAAAATCTTTCTTAATTAAGCCAATATCTTATGTCTAAAATTTGTACCCATTTGTTCTAATGTTGACCTCTGGGACCACAGATAGCTATAAAACATTTTACTCCTTCAATTATTTGACCACCTTTTTAGTAGTTGCTAACAGGCATCTCATTCCTGAAAGGGTTAAACTTTTTGGTGATGTGAAGAATGTCCTTACTTTGTACTAAGGCCATGCACCAAACAGGCAGGTTTATTTGGAAGTTTATCTATGGACAAATACAGAAGCCCTGGGTTCCAGATCACGGTCTTCCCATGGTTTTTTATAGCATCCCTGCTTTAATCATAGCACCCCTGTTTCAATCTACCCACCTATACGATTGAAGTGTCTGTCTCTCTTTTAGGCCAAAGGGCCCTTCAGGTTCTCAGTTTGCTTCTCATTGGTAGTCATCAGCTTGGACTCTATCCCAGTACACTTGTGCATTTCCTAATTACAGTTTCCAGTTTTATGATAAATGCAGAAACCTTCTTTTATAGAGCTTACAACTCGTGACAAGCATGCAATAAAAGTATGAAATGAACATCTTACTCTGAGAGGCGGATTACAGACAAGGGGACTAGTTGACACGAATACATGCTGGAAATGATCCAGACAAGAGGAAAATTGAATACATTTCCTAGGTAATGGCCAAACATTGCTTACTTTATGCTACTGAAAATTGTGAAATTATATATTGAATTGTCTCTTACTTGCACAGAGAAATACCATTGACATCTCTTTGGGTTGCATTTCTTGGAGCATAGAAATGACAGCATTCATTCAACAAACATATATTGACATCCACCTTTTGCCAGATACTATGCTAGACACTGGGGACAGGAAAGTTGGAGACGCTTCTCTAGAGGTATCCATGAAGGACACAGATATAAAATAGTGATTGTAATATGTTGTGTGCTGCTAGCAAGCCACTTCTGATTTGCCAAGAAACCACAGAAGGGAGAATAACCAACTCAACTTTGCACAACTGAGGAAGCCTTTACAGGGGCACTGATAAGCTAGCTGGGTATAAAAGGGCAAATAAGATTTATAGAGCAGAGAAGGGTAGGAAAGACACTCCATTTGAAGGAAGTAACTAGTCAAGGCCAGTAGGGTAAAGGAACCTGGCAAATTCTGCAATAATATTATTTTGGTATGATTGAAATTAGGGGCATATGAGAGAAAAAAGGAAGAAGAGGCTGATAAAGTAGTCTGAGTTTGTGTCATGCAAGGCCTTTGATACCTTGCTAAGAATTTAGGGTTTATTTTAGATATATAAAGCAACTTGAAATTTTTGAGCTGGAAAATGTTTAATTATGTTTTATGGTAGAAAGAGAAGTTGTGTGGCATTTATAGAAGAGTGGCAGGGTGACACAGGAAGCTGAGAAGTTATTTCAGTAGTCTAGGAAGGTGCTGATAAGGACCTGGATGCCAGGCATGGCCATAGGAACAGAGAAAAAGGAGACAGACACAAAAGATGGTTAGGTTGTAGAGTTATCAGGGTCTGAAGAATTAGTGTACAGGCACAACAAGAGAATAAGAGAATCCAGAAGGATGATTAGGGTTCTTGATTGGGCAATTAGGAGAATAAAGCCATCATTAACCAAGACATATGGCAAGTTCCAGGGGTAAAATAATAAGTTTTTAAAGGGTATATAAATGTTATTTGCCCTTTTATACCCAACTGGTCTATCATTGCCCTGTGAAGACTTCCTCAGTTGTGCCAAGTTGAGTTGCTTATTCTCCCTTCTGTGGTATCTTGGCAAATCAGAAGTGGCTTGCTAGCAGCACTACAACACATTGCAATCATTGTTGTATACATTTATCTCCCCAGATGCCCTGGATCTTCCTGTTTTATATCAAGGCACATTGATATGCGTGATATGTGCATGCAGGCACATTACTGCAAGCCAGTGATTCTCAAAGTGTGGTCCCAGGACCAGCAGCTTTGGCATCTCTTTTTGGGAATACAAATTCTTTTTGGAAATACAATAGGTCCCACCTCAGGCTTATTAAATCAGAAACTCAGATGGGAACCAGTAATCTGTGTTTCCATAAGATCTCCAGGAGGTTTTGATGCCTGTTCAAGATTGAGAGCTACAAAAAAAAAGCTGCTTTTCTATCGTTATAAAATGATACATGGATAGATGGATAATGGATAATAAATTACCCATAGATAATGGATAGATTCAGTTCAAAATGAAAAGATTCTGGTGTTTTCTTTTTAAATTACATTATACTTTAATCATACATAATATCTGGAGTCTAATCTACACAATGATTATCTCCAAGTCTTTTAGTTCTTATTATTAGTTAATTGAGGGGAAATTGGCAGATGGTAGAGTGATTGGCTGTCCAATTATCAGTCACTGTTAAAGGAATAGTAGCTAAATGCCAAAGTCATGTAACAGGAATCTTTTTCTTCATCTTTTGGCAACATGATGGCTACAATAAGCCTTAATGTTTCTATATTTTACATTTACATACATGTAAATGTATGTACAAAAAATTATACATTGTATTTACATTGGTCTATGCAGTGTACAATGTATGTACAATACATACATTGTATTTTTCAAAGAAATATACATTATATATAATATGTAATATATTGTATATTATATAATGTGTATATTATATATATACTATATACTATGCAAATGCAATACATAATGTATATTCAATATATAATGTATAATGCATGTATAATGTATATTATTGTATAATGTACAATACAATGCAAATGCAATATATAATATATATTTCTTTGAAATAATTAGAAATCAATGTTTTATATTCATTTATTAGTATCCAATCTCATTCTGCAAGAGACCAGAAGCAGCACAAAGAAAATACATGTATTGAAATAGTAAATGAAAATGTAAGCTTCAGATGAGATGCCAGTCTTAGCACAGAAGGAAGCCTGGAAGTTTCCTTCTGTGCTAGACATTAACCTTTTAGCTACTAGAGGTAGGATAACTGGGAAACAGTCCAAGGGAGGAACTATAGTAACAGAAACAGTTCTAATTGGATGGAGCAGTGACTATCCGTCACCCCAGGTGATTTATCATCTTCTCCAAAAGAAACCTTAAGATTATCATAATTCCTTGACATTAATATAATTCGTTAAAAATGAGATCATGCACGTTGCACTATTTGTGTGCACCTGATTGACCCTAGAGTGCCATTCCCTGCGTTTCCTGTGTCCAGAGAGCCTTATGCCTGAACACAACCAGCTTGGCCAGACCACCTTAAAATCTTCATCATCTTTTGACTATGTTATTGTATAAAGTATGCATTCTTTAATGATATCTCTATATATACATTTTTTACAATTTTTGGTTTTTCCATTCTCACAAATCAATCTCCAACTCCTTATACCTGACACATAGTATGCAATAATAGTATTTTCTGAAAAAATACAAGTGCAGCAAGGTGCAAAGTCACTGCACTAGAAAATTGAGTGATCTGGGTTGTGGTCCAGACAACTGCACAAACAGATTTTTTATTTTGAGTGAATTGTTTCATTTCCCTAAGCCTTAGTTTCTTCACCTCTGAAATGAAAATATGTAAAACCTTCATTATTCTCAGCCTTGGGTACCACGGATTAGAAGCAGAAAAGAGAGTGAGAAAACCACCTGTCTGGAAATTTTCCAGGACTGACCAACATGTCTGCTACATTCTTCGGAAGTTTCTGGAAGATCCCCGGGGAGGTGATGGTGGGGGGGTTCCATTTCAAGTGAGCAAGAGTTGATTTATGATTTAGTCCAAGGGCCATGAGAAACTCAAGGATCTAAATTGCTGTTTCCTTGAAATTATTCCATTCCAGTGAACTCAGATGAAATGAGGCAAAAGCAGGATCTTATAGGAACCCTGGAGAAGCAAAACTGCTGATTTCTGTGAGCCTCTGACCTGCCCCTGATAAATCTGCTGACACTTCTACACCAGACTCTCCCACAAGGTTCACAGTAGCCCCATCCACAGGAAGGAAGATGTAAAAGTATCTCCTGACCTAAATTCTGGGAGCTAACCCAGGCCATTTTTCTATCAGTCTTTGAAAACAGACCCAGCCTGATGTTACCGCCTTGTGTGAACCTCTCCAAAGTGAGAGGTGACACTTGTGTGCTTAGAATATATGTTTAAGGCTATTTAGAGCATCTCAAATGATGCCTACAGTCAAGGGTATCCCAAGGCCTCCAGAGAAGGGGAATTATCATGAGAAGAGCTGTAATAACTCCCATTTCTTTGTGTTTTTGTTTTGTTTTGTTTTAAAGACAGGCTGTCACTATCACCCAGGCTAGAGAGCAGTGGCACCATCATAGCTCATTGTAGCCTTGAACTCCTGGCCTCAAGAGATCCTCCCACATAGTCTCATCCTCCTAAAGGGCTAGGATTATAGGCATGAGCCATTGTGCCGGCCCAGTGCCCTTTCATGGGAACTTAATGTCACACAAAGGATATGTTTTACATAAGACATCTCATTTAAAATCACACTTGAGAACCCCTCAAATTTGAGACAGGTCTCAGTTAATTTAGAAGGTTTATTTTGCCAAGGTTGAGGACATGTGTCCATGACACGGCTTCAGGAGGTCCCGATGACATGTGCCCCAGGTCATCAGAGCACAGCTTGGTTTTACACATTTTAGGGAGATTTGATACATCCACCGACATATGTGAAATGAACATTGGTTTGGTCCAGAAAGACGGGACAACTCAAGCAAAAGCAGGCAACTTGAAACAGGGAATGGGGTTTACAGGTAACAGGTAGGTGAGAGACACATGGTTGCTTTCTTTTGAGTTTAGCCTTTCCAAAGAAAACAATCAGATATGCATTTATCTCAGTGAGCAGAGGGGTGACTTTGAATAGAATGGGAGGCAGCTTTGCCTTAAGCAGTACCCAGTTTGAATTTTTCCTTTAGCTTAGTGGTTTTGGGGGAACCAAGATATTTTCTTTTTACACACTCAAAGTCATTGGTTTACAGGTGAGAAAAGTAAGGCTTAGAGAGACCTTCGTATGTTTATCTTCTGAGAGATTCTCAATTGCCTTAATTCAATCAAGAGCAGCTAGTATCTTGCAGAAGAGCCAGATTATTTTAGAGTTAGATATTTTGTTATTAGGAGTGGATGATTTAAAATGTCAGGGAAGATTTTGTTCCCTTCCCTTCCCTTCCCCTCCCCTCCCTTCCCTTCCCCTCCCCTGCCCTCCCTTCCCTTTCCTTCCCCTCCTCTCCATTCCCTTTCTTTCCCCTCCCCTCCATTCCCTTTCTTTCCCCTCCCCTCCCCTCCCCTCCCTTTCCCTCCACTCCCTTCCCCTCTCCTACCCTCCCCTCCACTCCCCTCCCTTCCCTTTCTTTCTTTTTTCTTTTGTGTTTTCTTTTAAGTTCTGGGATACATATGCAGAACGTGCAGGTTTGTTACATAGGTAAATGTGTGCCATCGTGGTTTGCTGCCCCTATCAACCCATCACCTAGGTATTAAGCCCAGCATGCATTAGCTATTTATGCTGATGCTCTCCCTCCCCCACCCTACCCCCTGGCAGGCCCCAGTGTGTGTTGTTCCCCTCCCTGTGTCCATGCATTCTCATTGTTCTAGCTCCCATTTATAAGTGAGAACATGTGGTGTTTGGTTTTCTGTTCCTGTGTTAGTTTGCTGAGGATAGTTAGTTAGTCATCAGAGCGAAAAGGCAACCTACATACAGAATGGGAGAACATTTTTGCAGTCTACCTATTTGACAAAGGTCTAAAATCCAGAATTCACAAGGAACATAAACAAATTTACAAGAAAAAAAAACAAACAATCCTATCAAAAAGTGGGCAAAGGATCTGAACAGACACTTATGAAAAGAGGACATTTATGTGGCCAAAAAACATATGAAAAAAATGCTCTTTTCTTTTTGCTGGTTAGGATGGTTAATTTCGTGAGTCAATTTCAGTGGGCCGTGGGGTACCCAGATTAAACATTATTTCTGAATGTGTCTGGGAGGGTGTCTTTGGATGAGATTAGCATTTGAATGAGTGGATAGACTCAGTAAAGTAGATGGTCCTTCCCAATGTGGTTGGGCATTTTCCAATTCATTGAGGGCTTGAATAAAACTAGAGGAGGAGAAAAGAGGAATTTATCCCTTTCTTTGCTGCCTCATTTCTTGGATTTCAGAATGGGATTCACACTGTTGGTTCTCCTGGTTATCAGGCCTTCATACTTAGGCTCAATTATGCCACTACTTTCTTGGTGATAAAGGAGTTAAAAAGAAAGTATTTAGGCAGAGAGTGAGGATAAGGAAGTCCTTGGTAAGGTTTTCCTTTTAATGAAAAGCAGCCCCCAAATCAATTTTTTTTTTTCTAACAAAGAACAGCCTGTAAAATTGAGCTGCAGACATAGACAAGCAAGCTGGAGGCTTGCATGAGTGAATGCCAGCAGTTGTGCCAACAGAAAAAGGCTACCTGGGACTAGGCATGTCCAACATGGCGGCTCTATCTTCCCTTTTCCTTTCCAGCCAGGTGTGCAGTAGAGAGCAGACAACATGGCGCCAGCCAAGTGGAAAGCCTATTTGCATAATAAGATTAGAGTGGGGCAGCCAGCTTCCCTGCACGCTATGGCTATGTAAACGTCACATCTGGTCCAACCAATCTGTGAGCCCTATGTAAATCAGACACTGCCTCCCCCAGCCTGTCTATGAAATCTGATGCACTCTACTGTGGGCCGGAAGTCCCATTTGAGCACCCCTCTCTCTCCAAGGAGAGAGAGCTGTCCTCTCTTCTCTTTCTTTTGCCTATTAAACTTCCACTCTTAACTTCACTCTACATGTGTCGATGTCCTTGATTTCCTTGGCATGAGGCAAGGAACCTCAAGTACTTACCCCAGACAATGACACCACTTCACTGGGTCTCTAATTTGCAGTTGGCAGAGATGGCACATTGTAGTACTTCTTAGCTTAGTAATTATGTGAACCAACTTTTCATAATCAATCGTGTGTGTGTGTGTGTGTGTGTGTTTCCTATTGGTTCTATTTTTCTGGAGAACACTGACTTATATAGTAATATAACTGAATAAGATCACATTTTGCAAACTTTCCTGGAGGTTAGCAACATTTCAGAAGTGTTTGCCAAAGATCTGTCATGTTACTTGGAGGAAATAAAGAAAGAAGCCTGAACGTCCCTGATAACATCTGAACTCTGAAGAGAAATGGAAAATAGGAATTTGGCTTTCGGGAGAGAGGAAATTCAGTGGTGAAATTATCACAAGAAAGGGTATGGTGGTAAAAATCATGAAACTGTCAGAAAACAGTTATTAAAAGGACACGTCCTTGGAAACCTTGATTTTAGAAAAGCTGTGAGTCTCTTTGACAACCAAACCACATCTGAGAGAGGAAAATAAAATAGAAATGTGATGTTAAGATAGGGACATTTTAACCTAAAAAAAAAATGGAAGTTAGAAAAGTGGCTCTTCACAGCCTGGGCAACATAGCAAGACCTCATCTCTATAAAAAATTAAAAAACAGAATAGTTAGGCATGGGGGTGCATGCCTGTGGCTCCAGCTACTCAAGAGGCTGAGATGGGAGGATTCCTTGAGTCCAAGAGTTTGAGGCTGCAGTGAGCTATGATCGCACCACTGCACTCCAGTCTGGGTGACAGAGTGAGATCTTGTCTCAAAAAAAGAGAGAGAGGAAAGTGGCCCTTCACTTACTCAGAATGACTTACGAGAGGGGAGATGGGAGCCATGCCCCTGTGGTGGGACACGTTTATCTTCTATGATTTACTACACACACTTAGTCCATGATCCAGGAGAGAGGTTTCCAAAAAGATGACAGAGAAGAGGTGTCCTCTATCATGGGAAGAGGAGGACTCTCCTCCCTTCCTGCAAGGTTTGAGTAAACCTGGAAGGAAGGCTTCTGAGCTGCTAATGAGCTTTTGCTTAGGTAGTGCTAGTGTAGAGAAACACATCTCCCTGGCTACCCCACGTTCTTTTAAAAGGGACCTTAGCTGAGACAAAGTGGAGGCAGTTTTGAAGAAGCTCAAAATGTGCTTTGTGGGTTGTTGATAATAGTCTTGGACCATTAGATAATAGTCTTAATCCTTAGAGAAAGAGGAGGAGAAGGAGAAGGAAGAGGAGGAGAAGAAGGAGGAGAAGGGGGAGAAGAAAGAGAGGGAAAATGAGAGGGAGGAGAAGAAGAAAGGGGAGAAAGAGGAGGAGGAGGAGGAGAAGGAGAAGGAAGAGAAGGAGGAGGAGGAGAAGGAGGAGAAGAAGGAGGAGGAGAAAAAGGAGGAGGAGGAGGAAGACAAAGAGGAGAAGAGTAGGAAACATGGAAGGAGAAGAAGGAGGAGGAAGAGGGGAAAGAGGAGGAGAAAAGGGAGGAGGAGAAGAAGAGGAAGATGAGGAGAAGAAGGAGGGGGAGAAGAGAGCAGCTATGTCAGCTTTGCCAAGTTAGGATGAAACCACCAAAAGCTGAAACCTAAGAATGAGTAGAAGAAGGTGGATAACACATCAAAATCAGGTTTCTGCAGGAAGAGAGCAGGCAGAAGTATAGCCAGCTTTATCAATGAAGCTGGCATGATGTATAACGGAGGGTGCAAAATCTGAGCACACTGTATATGGATGCCCAATTCTGGTAGCCAAATCTTAAGTTAAGGGCAAAGTGATACTTTGTCAGGAAGACAGCAGGTTGTAGTAGAAATGATTTGTGACTACTCTATGATGCCTAGGGCCTCATCTAGGAAGATCAGATAGCTGGAGGGTGACATCTGGAGTCTGGAACCGTTTGGAGACTTCTTCATTCACATATCTGTGTCTGGTCTGGGATGATTCAGAGTGGCCTCAGTGGAGGCTGTTGGTCTACATGTAGCCTCTCCTGTGCTTGGGCTTCCTCACAGCATGGTGGCCTTGTAGCTATAATAGATCATTTGCTAATGCACAGAGCAAGTTGATACACTGAGACACCAATTTGCAGCAGAGAAAGAGGTTTAATTGTAGGGTCACCAAAGGAGGAGATGGGAGAAAACCTCAAATCCTTCTCCCTGAGCAATTTGGGGTTAGATTTTTTTGAGGGTTTTGGAGTGGATTGAAGTGTGGAGATTATTAATTGGTGGAAAAGTGTGGGGTAAAGGCATGGGGCAGAGAGATAAAGAAGCTATATTCCATGCTGATCCTAATCTTCTGTGGGGGTCTCCAAACTGGTTGCTGAAATTTGTGGTTTGAAAAATATCTTAAGCAATACTTAAACAAAAGCCTTATGATTCTAACGTCAGAGATCCTCTCTATAGGAACAATGGGGGTGCACATACTCAGGATCTAGTGCTACATGACTTCCAGCAACAAGGAAGTCAGCCAAAGTGCAGCCTAATTGATGCTTAATTTTAATTATGTTTCTGTACAGAACCTGGCATGCAATTCTGGTCAATCCTGTGGGGATGGTTTCAACCTCAGGACAGTCAGTGGTGGCTCAGGCATCCAAGAGCAGGCGTCCCAGAAAACAAGGTGGAACCTGCTTGTCCTAGCATTGAAACACCCCACAGTGTCTCGTCCCTTATACTCTACAGGTCAAAGCAGTCACAGGTCTGCCCAGATTCAACAGGGGGGGACACAGAGCTCACATCTCAGTGGGAGAGTATTGAAGAATTGGTACCCATGTTTAAAAATTGCCACTCTCATTTTCCTGAGCATCTCTCTCCTGTCTTGCCTTTTCATGTCAAGGTTATTGACTCATCTCTGGACTTATTCTCCTTAATGTATCCAGATAGGTGTCTCTTGCATTCTTCCACACATAGTTTGGGTTATTGTATTAGGTTGGTGCCCATGTAATTGCGACTTTTGCTCTCACTTTTAATGGAGAATTCTTCACTTACATATCTGTGTCTGGTCTGGGGTGACTCAGAGTGGCCTCAGTGGAGGCTGTTGGTCCACATGTAGCCTCTCATGTGCTTGGGCTTCCTCACAGCATGGTGGCCTTATAATTGTAATAGGTGTGTTTGCTAATGGACAGAGCAAGTCAATACACTGAGACACCAATTTCCAGCAGAGAAAGAGGTTTAATCATAGGGTCGCCAAATGAGGAGATGGGAGGAAACCTCAAATCCATCACCCCAAGGAATTTGGGGTTAGACTTTTTAAGGGTTCTGGAATGGCCATTATTTTAATGGCGGAAATCGCAATTATTTTCCATCAACTTACTATTTCCAACAGCTAAGGTCAAACAGTTCTTAGGTTTTGTAGGACTTGGGCTGGCTTCATGGTGAATTAGAAATAACACAGGTTTGGCTGGAGACAGAGAAACCCAGGTTCCAATGGTTCATCAGTCCCTATGCTAACTTCTATGCATGCATGATCTTCCTGGATCCTTACAAGAACTCCTTGATGAAGGTATAATTAGTTCCCTTATTTAACAAGTGAAGGAACTGAAGCCCAGAAATGTTAATGAATTGGCCCAGGGTTCCACAGCTAAGTGACAGAACCACAATTTAAACCCGCAGTCTTAATCACCATGCTCTTCACCTCTCCTGCCAATGTCATTTAGTGAGTATTTCTAGCTGTATGTACTTGGGCATGCAGTCAGTATATGGTTGCATTTTCTACACCTTCCTTCCCTACGTCATGGTTGGTTAGGGTCATGTAACCAGTACCAGCCAATGAATGATAAGCAGAGGTAATAAATGTAATTTCTGGGGCAAGCATTTAACTGCTGGTGCAAGACCTTGTTCCAGAGCTCTCTCTCCCTTTGGGGACTGTGACTGGCATTATTTGAGATGGTAGCTGTTTAATCAGCCTGGGTCCCTGATATGGTTTACATCTGTGTCCTCACCCAAATCTCATGTTCAATTGTAATTCCCAGTGTTAAAGGTGGGGCCTGGTGGGAGGTAATTGGATCATGGGGGCAGATTTTTCATGAATGGTTTCGCATCATCCCCTTTGGTACTTCCCTTGAGATGGTGAGTGAGTTCTCATGAGATCTGGTTGTTTACAAATGGGTGGCACCTCCTCCTTCACTCTCTCTTGCTCCTGCTCTTACTATGCCTGCTCCCACTTTATCTTTTGCCATGACTGTAAGCTTCCTGAGGCCTCCCCAGAAGCCAAGCAGATGCCAGCATCATGTTTCCCATACAGCCTGCAGAGCCATGAGCCAATTAAACTTCTTGTCTTTATTAATTACCCAGTCTCAGGTATTTCTTTGTTTTCTTTTTCTTTTTCTTCTCTTTTTTTTTTTTTTTTTTTTTTGAGACAAAGTCTCGCTCTGTTACCCAGGCTGGAATACAGTGGCACTATCAGGGCTCACTGCAATCTCTGCCTCCTAGGTTCAAGAGATTCTTCTGCCTTAGCCTCCCGGGCACCTGGGATTACAGGTGCCCACCACCATGCCCAGCTAATTTTCATATTTTTAGTAGAGATGGGGTTTCACCATGTTGGCCAGGCTGATCTCAAACTCCTGACCGCAGGTGATCCACCCACCTTGGCATCATAAAGTGCTGGGATTACAGGCATGAGCCACCATCCCTGGCTCAGGTATTTCTTTATAGTAACGCAAGAGCAAACTAATACAGTCTCATAACCCTCTACCAACCCACAGTGGACATGCAACATGAATGAGAAATAAGTATGTGTGGATTTAAGCCACTGAATATTTGAATTATTACACAGTATAATTGGAACTATTTTGACTGACTATATCATGTCTTTAATCTTCAGTTTCCTTGGCTGCAAGATGGGAATAACAATTACTACCTAGAGGGACTATTAAAGCTTTTAGAAAGGCCCGGCGTAGTGGCTCTGCCCTGTAATCCCAGCACTTTGGGAGGCCAAGGTGGGAGCATCACTTGAGGTCAGGAGTTCGAGACCAGCCTGGCCAACATGGTGAAATCCTGTCTCTACTAAAAATACAAAAATTAGCCGGGTGTGGTGGTGAGCACCTGTAATTCCAGCTACTTGCGAGGCTGAGGTGGAAGAATCACTTGAACCCAGGAGGTGGAGGTTGCAGTGAGCTGACATCACACCACTGCACTCCAGCCTAGGTGACAGAGTGAGACTCCATCTCAACAACAAGAACAACAACAAAGGCTTCCTGAAATAATCTATATGTGTAAAATATCTAATTCAGTGTTTAGCCTAAAGCAGGACATTATCACTATCACATATATGAAGGACGCATGGCATTGAGCAGAATGGTAATTAGGCACCAGCCTGCCCACATGAGTGAAGCTGAACTTGCCTAATTCCCATTTATTCTTTGTAAACATCTGTTTGGCACCTGTAAGATTTCAGCAGGGTGGACCCTGAATGTAGAGAAGTCAGAGAGAAGAAAGATAGATAGTCACCGGGAGAAGCAGAGTTAATAGGGCTTCTTATGAATGTGATGTTTGCTAGGATTATAAACTGGCAGTTGGTTAGAGTTAAGCCAGTCAGTGAAATACAGAGACAGAACCAATCACGACTCTGCTATTTTATCCTGGTTACAGTGACAAGAATAACTTTATGGAACAGAAGCTCCCAAAATAGATTTCTTTCATAACCAAATAACAACCAGGTATAGAAAAATCATGTTTTCAAAACGGAGCTTCAATTTCCCGTTAGAGGAGGAATTTTGAACACTTCCCCTAGCGGGAACTGAGGAAGTGCCTCTTATTCAAAAGGATGCCAGTCTATGATTGTCCAATTATTCACTGCATTTTGTCTTTGATGGCCCAGATGTTCTCAATTTCTTGTAATAAGTTCTTTCATCTGAAAAGTCGTTCTACTCAGAAATGCAAAATCCTCTACAGCTCACCAGCTTTTTTTGATGAGCTGGTATAATTGGCCTTCAATGTGCTCATTGTTGTGCAATAGAAAGCCCAAGTTTAATTTCATTTCTGTAAACCTGTAGATAAGAGCCAACCACTGCACCATTTAAGTCACTCTCATTACGATCCACTTGGGCTCTGCCCACCACCCCATCTCCACTGGCAGGATGAAATTGTGCAAAAGCCTTTCTAACATGTCTCCTTATTCTTCTGCTTTAAAAAAAGAAAAAAAAACACATAGCAAATTTTTTATTTTATTTATTTTATTTATTTTTTTTGAGACAGAATCTCTCTTTGTCACCCAGGCTGGAGTGCAGTGGTGTGATCTCATCTCACTACACCCTCCACTTCCCAGGTTCAACCAATTCTCCTGCCACAGCCTCCTGAGTAGCTGGGACTACAGGCGCCCACAACCACACCCAGTTAATCTTTGTATTTTTATTAGAGATGAGGTTTCAACATGTTGGCCAGGCTGGTCTTGAACTCCTGACCTGAAGTGATCCACCAGCTTCAGCCTCCCAAAGTGCTGGGATTACAGGCATGAGCCACCGTGCCCTGCCTTAAATTTGATTTATTAACATTCATTGATCACTTCTTGAAAAAGCAACGTAACTTACACCCAATGATTAATCAATAGATTAACATCATTAGTCACCAATCTAACCATATCAATCAATACATATTGAGCTCCTTCTGATCCCATAAACCATGTAAGGCCCATGAGAGAGACAGATATGTATGAGAAAAGTTCTTGGTCTGAGAGTTCCTTATCATCTACTTGTGGAGGCTGGGTATATTCATAAAAAAAAAAATAGATTAGTAGGCCTGGCACGATGGCTCATGCCTTTAATCTCAGAAATTTGGGAGGCCGAGGTGGGCAGATAATCTGAGGTCAGGAGTTCAAGACCAGCCTGGCCAACATGGTGAAACCCCGTCTCTACTAAAAATTAGCCGGGCATGATGGTGCATGCCTGTAATCACAGCGACTCGGGAAGCTGAAGCAGGAGAATCACTTGAACCTGGGAGGCAGAGGTTGCAGTGAGTGGAGATCTCGCCATTGCACTCCAGTCTGGGCCACAGGAGTGGAACTCTGTAAAAAAAAAACAAACAAGAAAACAAACAAAAAAAACAAATTGCCAATAATAGATGATTAAAGTCACTCATTCAAAAAGCACTCATTAAATTCTTCAACATGGTTGAATGCTAGGAGATCAATTACTCCCTTGTCTTTACACTTTAAATTTTTGTGGCATTAGAACTGCACCTTCCCCACCTTTTTTTCTCCAGATGGTTTTGTATCCAATTCCGTGTCCTGCATTAAGAAGATTTCACTTTTTTTTTTTCCTTTTTGGAGACAAGTTCATGATCCGTCACCCAAGCTGGAGTGCAGTGACACAATCATGGCTCACTGCAGCCTCAACCTCCCTTGCTCAAGTGATCCTCCCATCTCAGCCTCCAAAGTAGTTGGGACTGCAGGTGCACACCACAACACCTGGCTTATTTTTTTTTTCTTTTTGTAGAGAGGGGGTTCTTACTATGTTGCTCAGGCTGAACTTGAGCTCCTGGGCTCAAGCAATCTTCCCACCTCGGCCTCCCAACGTGCTGGGATGCTAGGCATGATCCACGGTCCCCAGCTGGAGATTTCACTTTATAGGGATGAGAAACCTGAACTGTCTGAGGAGCTTCTGCTATTCTTCTGGACCGGGGCATAGAGAGACAATGTCTCATAGTGGTTACAGCATCGGCTCTGGAATCAGGCAGCCTGGGTTCAAATCCGAGGTCACCTGCTTGCTGCATGACTAGTCAAGTAACTTATCTCCTCAGGCCCCAGTTTCCCCTTCTATTGGGATAATAGGACCTATATTTTTAAATGGCATGATAGAGAGAGTACTTGGAACAGCATTGGGCGCAAGTTCATGCCTCTGTGCTCATTCACTGCTATTAATCTCAAGCTATAGTGCATAGAGGCATAGAGCTTTCTGGCCATTTGTACCTCATAATTGTCGCTCCTTTGCCAATGCCCTAATTTTGGGATGCACCCTCCAAAGACAGAATTGACACTGTTGTTGTTGTTGTGTTGTTGAGATGGAGTCTCCCTCTGTTGCCCAGGCTGGAGTGCAGTGGTGTGATCTCGGCTCACTGCACTCTCCACCTCCTGGGTTCAAGCCATTCTCCTGCCTCAGCCTCCCAAGTAGATGGGGTTACAGGCATGTGCCACCATGCTCAGCTAATTTTTGTATTTTTAATAGAGATGGGGTTTCACCATGTTGGCCAAGCTGGTCTCGAACTCCTGACCTCAAGTGATTCACCCTCCTCAGCCTCCCAAAGTGCTGGGATTATAGGTGTGAGCCACTGACCTGGCCTAGAATTGACACTTTTTTTGGTACCTACCTGATTTATTCATTTTCCCCCTTTGTATATCTTGCTTGAAATCACATTATCTCCACTCAGTGGAAAATGATTCTGTTGGGTCATACACAGATTCAAACAGAGAAACTAGAAATAATCAGAAATTACTTACACCAGTGAAATGTCAGGCGGGTCTGCATGCCCCATTCTTCCAAGAACATTTTTGGTAATTCTGTAGAAGAAAGAGGATTGTAAAGGTTTTGTAAGCCTTTTTTTTATTCTTTTCCTTCTTCTTCCAGATGAGAGGAGCCCTCAACAGACCTTTGTTGAAGAATAATTTTCCAAGGCTACCAATTTGGATCTCAAAAGCCCAGATTCAAAGGGAACCTCAGTTTGCTATCTAAAATAAGTGCCTGAATAGCTATCAGTTAAGGTACACACAGAGCAGATGGGAAATAGATAGCTACATCATAGATTGCTCTGTGAATTCAAGAGGTCTTTGTCTGAGGACAATAGTAACACGAACAAATATTCAGGTTTTCAGTTACAGGCCAGCCAGAGGATGGAGCGAAAAAAAAATCAAATTAAATCTAATTGAATCAGCAATGCCAGCACCATTAATACAAAATGCATCACCACCAGATATGCTTCCCCAGGTTTCCTGGCCCAATTCTTGGAAATGAGGCTGGATTGTACCCGATATAATACTTCCAGGTATCTTTCTGGTTAAGTACAATGGGGTTTTATTGTTTCTAATTAAATAGGGTTGATTCACAATCCTCAAATCTTTCCCCTGTGCCTTTCACCAAATGAGAATCCTCACAAGACTCTAGACACGTTATCAATAGGAAATGTACCCTATTAGTTATTTGAATGCTACTGAATGTAAGCTCTGTGAAGAGAATGACCTGGAAAATAATCATCTGTCATCCATAATTGTGCTGTCAATCAATTTAAACCACTTAACAGTGAGGTTTGGTTTTGCCCATAACTGCTAGTGACTGCATTTTACTAAGTGAGGGGAAAACATCTATCTGTATCTATGTATCTTTTTGCTCAGATCAGCTGTCTCCTCAAATGTCCTATTTCAATTGAAGGCACCAACACATACCCAATCCATCATCTTTGACACCTCCTTCTCCCCCTCTGTCACAGACATGTCCAACCAGTCACTAATCCTATTAATTCCATTACCTATGTAGCTGTCATATTTATCCCTTTCTCTCCTTGGCACTGCTGTTTATCCTGTTCTAGTGGGAGTCGTCATGGCAGGTAACCCCAACAGAAAGGCATTCTGGGACATTCCCAGCAGAGAGGGAAGAACAAGTTAAGGGCAATAGGTTAGTAGTTTTGGAATTGGATTTAGGTGAAAAAGAATAAAACTTCTCAGAGATGGGATAGCAGTTTAAGTCGCTAAATGCCACAGATGTAACAGAAATGAATCCCATCCAGATGATAATGTTTAACTGAATTATCTAATTCAACAGGACTGGGCCAAGAAGAAGGCATGATTCTGCACAGTAGTCATGCACGAGTACTAAGTGAAAGTCTAAACCATGGCTTCAGATGTCCCTGTTTGGGTTCAAGTAAGACTAAACATGCAAAGCAGAATCCGGCCGATATAACAGCAAACAAGTAAATCTAGATGTTGATCAAGCATGGCGGCTCATGCCTGTAATCCCAGCACTTTGGGTGGTTGAAGAGGGAGGATCGATCGAGCCCAGGAGTTTAAGACCAGCCTGGGCAACCCATAGTGAGACTCGGTCTCCACAAAACTTTTTTTTTTTTTTTTTAATTAGCCAGGGGTGGCGGTGTGTGCTTGTAGTCCCAGCTACTTGGGAGACTGAGGCAGGAGAATCACTTGAGCCCAGGAGTTTGAGGCTACAGTGAGCCATGATGGTGCCAATGCACTCTAGACTGGGAAATAGAGCAAGACCCTGTCTCAAAAAAAAATTAAACAGCTAGATGTCAAACTCAGATTTAATGGTCTCTTTCCAAAGGACAAGCATTGAAACTATTTTATATACATAGAAGCTCCTAATAAAGATCTCAATGGTCATTCATTCCCCAAGGGAGAAACGATCAACAAATGTATGCATGATCTTCCTGCTTTCATATCTAAACTGATGCACGCAAGGCACTGAATCTTGGTGTGGACAATTATTGATTACGTGTAACTGGAATTGTATTTAAATTTCTCATCTCACTTTTATTCTAAGGAAGGCATTCTACTAACCCTCTCAAGTGCTGATGACTATAATCAAGCCATCATAATAATAATAATTACAATAATGATAATAACAATATACTTGTATCACACTTTACAGTTTATAAAATGCATTCCAAGATGCGTTCACATGTATTATCTCACACATAAAAGGGTATTTTCCTACATTAACAGGGATTGGTCTTGAGAGTAAAAAGCATAAACAAAGCGCATGATCATTTATGAATTAGCATTTCAGGGTCTTTGTGGCAGGTTCTGTCTGTGTGCCTCCTGCATCTCTTTGGATTATATGACTATTTCTGTGCACACCAGCATCTTTGCTGACTGGCTGACCTGAGGCTGCCAGAACACACTCAGCCCATATGTAAGAGATGAAAGTGACTGGAAATTGACATCTTCCGAAATGTTCATATTTTGTAACCAATAGCTGATGGGTAGGGGATATAAATACCCCAGTTCCTTTACCCCTCAGCTAGGATAATCCTAAAGTGTGTGTTTTACGGTATTTTCTGAAGCTTCCTTGCAGGATTATGCTTCAGGTGCCAACAACAGTAGCTAGGGTTTCTGGCTGTTTCTTTCCCTCCCTGTGTCTCCTCCATGTTATCCTTTTATGCCTCTGCAACTCCCAAATAAACTGGGCATCCTCAATCCTCCTCTTACGAACTGCTTCTGATAATAATGATCTTAAGACAGTGTATATATCATCCCATCAAAAAGACATGTACTTGGATGTTCATTGCTGCACTATTCACCAGAGCAAAGACATGGAATCAAACCAGGTGCCCATCAATGGTAGATTGAATACAGAAAATGTGGTGCATATACACCATGAAATACTGCACACGTCCTGTAGGACAGAATTTCATTTTTTATGGGTGTGCAGTATTCCATGATGTATATGCACCAGCAACATGGATGCAGCTGGCGGTCATAATCCTAAGTAAATTAATGCGGGAACAGAAAAACAATTACCACATCTTCTCACTTATAAATGGGATCTAAGAATTTGAGCACACATGGACATAAACATGATAACAATAGATACCGTGCACTACTAGAGGATGAGGGAATGGGTTAAAAACTGCTTATCTGCCTATCGAGTGCTATGCTAACTGTCTGGGTGACGAGATCTATATTCCAAACCTCAGCATCACACAATATTCCTTTATAACAAATCTGCACATGTACTCACTGTGCCTAAAATGAAAGTTGGGCACAGCGGCTCACGCCTGTAATCCCAGGACTTTGGGAGGCCAAGGCAGGTGGATCGCCTAAGGCCAGGAATTCGAGATCAGCCTGGCCAACATGGTGAAACCCTGTCTCTACTAAAATACAAAAATACAAAAAATACAAAGCCAGGTGTGGTGGTGGGCATCTGTAATCCCAGCCACTCGGGAGGCTGAGGCAGGAGAATCGCTTGAACCCAGGAAGCAGAGATTGCAATGAGCCGAGATCGCGCCACTGCACTCCAGCCTGGGAGACAGAGCTAGACTCTGTCTCAAAAAAAAAAAAAAGAAATTTAATTTTTTTTTTTAAAGTAACCATGAGCATTCTGAATCAATGCATGGTGTGTGGCATACAAACAAAAAAGTCATCTAAACTGAACAACATTAATATCCATTGAGAAATCAATTTTATTCTTAAGAAGGTATACCACCTATCTGTAATAAGGTAGTTGCTGCTATTATCATGCATTTGTCATCACAGTTCAAGTACCGAGCCCTGAATTGACAATATGCTGGACACTGTGAGTAAAAATTAAGTGACTGACCTTGCCTTTCCAGTGACCAGAAATTAACATCTTCCCAAAAGTTCCCATTTTGTAACCAATGAATGATGGATGTGGGGATATAAATGCCTCAGCTCCATTCACCCCTTGGCTAAGATAATCCTAAAGTGTGTGTTTTACACATTTCCTAAGGCTTCCCTGCAGGATTGTTTGAGTTGCCCACAACAGTAGCTTTACATTCTGGGCTGGCAGTGGGAGCTCATGCCTGTAATCCCAGCACTTTGGGAGGCCAAGGCCAGGGGATCACTTGAGCCCAGGAGCTTGAGACCAGGCTGGGCAACATAGGGAGATTTCATCTTAGTCTTCATAAAATAAAATAATAAAATAAGATAAATTAGCTGGGAGTAGAGGCATGCTCCTCTAGTCCCACCTACTCAGGTGGCTGAGACAGGAGGATCACTCGAGCCCAGGAGTTTGAGACTGCAGTGGGTTACAATTGTGCCACTGCACTCCACCCTAGGTGATAGAGTAATAGCTGGTCTATAAAAAAAACAGGCCGGGCACAATGGTCCACGCCTGCAATCCCAGCACTTTTGGAGGCTGAGGCGGGTAGATCACCTGAGATCAGGAGTTTGAGACCAGCCTGGCCAACATGGTGAAACCCCATCTCTACTAAAAATACAAAAATTAGCTGGGTATGGTGGCGGGCACCTGTAATCCCAGCTACTCAGGGGGTTAGGTAGGAGAATCACTGGAACCCAAGAGGCAGAGGTTGCAGTGAGCCGAGATCAATGCCTTTGCACTCCAGCCTGGGCAACAAGAGCGAAACTCCATCTCCAAAAAAAAAAAAAAAAGGAGAGTTTATGTTCTGCTGGTTAAAGAAGGACATTGAAACAAAGCATCTATTCACTGTGCAACAATGATTTCAAGCTGGTGTTATAAAGAGAAAGGAAAGACTTATTACTTTCCAGTGATTTTCTTAAGGTGTGACCAGATTTGGAAACACAAGAAAACAGCTCAGCCGGGGAAATGGCCACCTCCCCCAGATTGCATTACAGCCAAGGAAAGGGCAACTGTTTGGGGGTTTAATGCACCATCAGAAGAATGGGTGTCAGTAAGAAGTCATCTTGCAATCGAAAACAAAAGGAGAAAAACAGGCGTGCTGATCTTAGCAAATCCTTAGAGATCTCAGCTTTTGTCACAAACCTTGTTTGTTGTATCAGAAAAATTGATGCCTTGCAACCAGTTCTTGTAAGATCTGTCTCTGAAGACAGAGTGGAAATAGATAGATCAAGTTACAAGCATGTTTTGTTGAAAAATAACAAACATTTTTCACAACAAGGAACCAAAGAACAAACAAAAGAGTGTTCCCTCCAATCTCCATATCTCTGATTCACAGAATGGGTGTTGAGATGTTCACTTAAGTGTAAAATCAGCTGTCCCCACCTCCTCTTTCCATTTTCAAACATGAGCAAGATAATCAAAGAACAAAAGCAAAAAGACAGCATTTCTTAATACCCTTGATAACAAACAGATACAACTTCTTTCTCTAAGGAGTTCTACAGGACAAATATATTAAGAGTTTCCAGAAGAATTGTGGTAAGTTGATGGCAGACTCAACACTGATTATGAATAGGTTTTGTCTAAGATCAGTCAACCACATAGGATAAGAGCAGAAATTTAAATAGCAGGCTGGAATTCTTAAGAGCTATCCGCTCATTTTCTAGACAGCCACGTTCTGCAAACCTCCTTTTGGGCAGTGTGATTCCTTTTAGCCCTCAGAATGGTTTCTACTACAGATATATAGGCAGACAGCAAGATCTCAGAGAGCAAGCAGGCTGTGAGATCCTTCCAGCCAGCAAGGGGCTATTGATCCCCACAGAACTTCCTTTGGTCTGGCAGGATGATGCTCATGTGCCCTAGGGGTGACCCAGGACATGTGGAAAGAGAAACAAGCCTTCAAAATTTTGAATACCAAAACCAAACAAAGACATTATAAGACAAGAAGACTACAGACCAATATCTCTTATGAATATGTATGCAAAAATCCTCAACAAAATATTAGCACACAGAGTTCAACAATGTCTGAAAAGCATTATGCACCGTGACCAGGTGGGATTTCTCCCAGCTATTCAAGGTTAATTCAGCATTCAAAAATTAATTAGTGCGGCCGGGCATGGTGGCTCACACCTGTAATCCCAGCACTTTGGGAGGCCGAGGCAGGTGGATCACCTGAGGTCAGGAGTGCAAGACCAGCCTGGCCAAGATGGTGAAACCCCATCTCTACTAAAACTACAAAAATTGGCCAGGCATGGTGGCTCACGCCTGTAATCCCAAATACTCAGGAGGCTGAGGCAGAAAAATTGCTTGAACCCAGTAGCAGTGAGCCGAGATTGTGCCACTGCACTCCAGCCTGGGCAACAGAGTGAGACTTCGTCTCAAAAAAACAAAAATAAATAAATAAAAATTAATTTGTGTAATCCATTGCATCAACAGACTGAAGAAGACAAATCATGTGATCATATCAACAGATGCAGAAAAAGCCCCACCCTGGCTAACACAGTGAAATCCCGTCTCTACTAAAAATACAAAAAAATTAGCCAGGCGTGGTGGCGGGTGCCTGTAGTCCCAGCTACTTGGAGAGGCTGAGGCAGGAGAATGGTGTGAACCCGGGAGGCAGAGTTTGCAGTGAGCCCGAGATAGCGCCACTGCACTCCAGCCTGGGCAACAGAGTGAGACTCTGTCTCAAAAAAAAAAAAAAAAAAAGAAAAAGCCTTTGACAGCAGGTAACATCCATCCATGATAAAAGCTCTTGGTAAACTAGGAACAGAGGGGAACTTCCTCAAGTTGATACAGGTCATCTACAAAAAACCTACAGGGAGCATATACATAATGAGAAGAAACTCAAAACTTTCCCAATAAGATCAAGAACAAGGCACCACTGCTTTTAAACATCACATACTGGTATATATGTTGGCAAATAAGAAAAAAATGACTTTGTTTACAGATGGCATGGTTGTCTATGCAGAAAATCTGAATTTTTTTTCTAAAACAACATCCAGAACAACTTCCAGTCCTGCAAACTCCATTTATGGTATGTTCCCTTTACAGATCTACCATTTTTTATTTTTTACAACACATTTTCATTGTACCTTTTCTACATACAGATATGTTTAGATACACAAGTGCTTACCTTTGAATTGCCTGCCGTGTTCAGTACAGTCACATCTTGTACAGGTTTGTAGCCTAGGAGTAATAGGCTAGACAATATACCCTAGAAGCATAGTAGGCTATACTATCAAGGTTTGTATAAGTACCTTCCATGATGTTCACACAGTGACAAAATCACCTAAAGCCACATCTCTCAGAACCTGTTCCCATCATTAGGTGATACATAACTGTATTTCTTCAAATAACCTTGAAAAACTCATATCTACCCCAAAACCTGCATGTGGTTGCTTATAGAACTTTATTCATAATTGTCAAAACTTGGAAGCAACCAAGATGCCCCTCAGCAGGTGAATGGATAAATAATCTGTGATACATCCAGACAATAGAATATTATTCAATGCTAAAAAGGAACTGAGCTATCACACCATGAAAATACATGGAAGAAACTAAAATGCACATTGCTAAGTGAAAAAAGTCTATCTGAAAAGGCTATATTACTATATGCTTACAACTCTATGACTTTCTGGAAAAGGTGAAATTATGGAGCCAGTAAAAAGATCAGTTGTTTCCAGGGGCTAGGGGGGAGGAAGATATGATTAGGCAGAGTAGAGAGGCTTTTTACGGTAGTGAAAGTACTTTTTTTTTTTTTTGAGATGGAATTTTGCTTTTGTTGCCCAGGCTGGAGTGCAGTGGCATGATCTTGTCTCACCACAACCTCCTCCTCCTGGGTTCAAGTGAGTCTCCTGCCTCAGCCTCCTGAGTAGCTGGGATTACAGGCATGCGCCACCACCCCCGGCTAATTTTGTATTTTTAGTAGAGACAGGGTTTCTCCATGTTGATCAGGCTGGTCTTGAACTCCCGACCTCAGGTGATCAGCCTGCCTCGGCCTCCCAAAGTGCTAGGATTACAGGTGTGAGCCACTGCTCCCGGCTGAAACTATATGTATGATACTACAATGGTGGATACATTACACATCCTTCAACACCCACAGGATGTATAACACCAAGAGTTAATCTTAATGTACACTATGGTCTCTGGGTGCTAATGATGTGACATTTTAGGCTCATCAACTCTAAGAAATGCTCCACTGTGATAGGGGATGTCAGTAGCAGGGAGGTAATGCATGGGTGGGATAGAGGCCTATGGTACCTCTGTGTCTTTCATTCAATTTTGCTGTGAACTTAAAACTGCTCTAGAAATAAAGTCTATTAAAATAGAAAAGGAGTTTTGCACACAAACATGCAGATCTCTCTCCAAAATTATCCCCACCCGAGAATTTTGACTGTAGTCCATGACTCCAATTCCTCACCTCCAATTCTCCACTAATTTATTCCAATTAGGCTTTTACTTCTCCTCTTCTGCAGAAACTTCTCTTCTCAAAGTCATGAATGACCTCCATGTTACTAATTACAACGGCCCATTCTCAGTCTGCATTGTACTTCATGAATCAACAGCATTTGTCAGTTATTCACTTCCTTCTCATCAATTTACTTTCTTTACTTGGCTTCCAAGACACCAGATGCTCCAGGTTCCCTTGTACTTTGCCCCTTCCACTTCCTTTGTTGGATTTTGTGTTTTCCCAAATTTTTTAAAATAATTTTTTATTTTTTGATTTTCGTGGGTGCACAGTAGGTATATATATTTATGGGGTACCTGAGATGTTTTGATACAGACATGCAATGCATAATAATGACATCATGGAGAATGGGGCATCCATTCCCTCAAGCATTTATTTTTTGTGTTATAAACAATCCAGTTATGCTCTTAGTTATTTTAAAATGTACAATTAAGTTACTGTTGGCTATAGTCACCCTGGTCTGCTATCAAATAGTAGGTCTTATGGTAGGTCTTATTCATTCACACTATTTTCTTTCTTTATTTTTATTTATTTATTTATTTATTTATTTATTTATTTATTTATTTATTTTTTTGAGACAGAGTCTTGCTCTGTCACCCAGGCTGGAGTGCAGTGGCGCAATCTCAGCTCACCTCAACCTCCGCCTCCTGGGTTCAAGTGATTCTTCTGCCTCAGCCTCTTGAGTAGCTGGGATTACAGGTGCCCGCTACCATGCCCAGTTAATTTTTGCATTTTTAGTAGAGATGGAGTTTCTCCAACTATTTTCTTTTAGTACCCAATAACCATCCCCACCACCCCCTCAGCCCCCACTACCCTTCCAAGCCTTTGGTAACCAACCTTCCACTCTCTATGTCCATGAGTTCAGTTGTTGTGATGTTTAAGTACCACAAATAAGTGAGAACATGTGATGCTTGTCTTTCTGTGCCTGTGCTTTGCTTATTTTATTTAACATAATGATGTTATGTTGCAAATGACATGTTGTTGCAAATGACAGGATCTTGTTCTTTTTTATGGCTGAATAGTACTCCATTGTGTAAATGTACCACATTTTCTTTATCCACACATCTGTTGATGGACACTTAGGTTGCTTTCACATCTTGGCTCTCATGAACAGTGCAACAAACGTGGGAGTACAGATATCTCTGTGATACACTGAGTTTCTTTCTTTTCAGTATATGCTTAGGAGTGGGATTGCTGGATCATATGGTAGCTCTATTTTTATATTTTTGAGGAAACTTGAAACTGTTCTCCATAGTGGTTGTACTAATTTACATTCCCACCAACAGTGTACAAGGGTTCTATTTTCTCCACATCCTTGCCAGTATTTGTTATTGCCTGTCTCTTGGATATAAGCCATTTTAGCTGGGATACCAAACTCATAAGATTAGAACACCCCAAGTCTCAGTCTTTTTAGTCTCTTTTCTCTACAGTTAGTCCAGGCCTCAGAGATTTAATATGCCAACAACTCGCAAATGCAAAACTCTTATCCAAACCTCTCTCCAGAATTCCAAATTTTTCTGTATATCCTGTTGGATCTACCACTTCATTATGTCTAGAATCTGATTGTTTCTCACCACCCAGTCTGAATCATCATCATCTTAGCATTGTAACTGGCCTTCCTGTTTCCAACCTCCGTAGAGCACCCTTGACATAAGTAACTCCATCTTAGAAGAAGACTCCATCTTACGTTGCAAAAGGCAACTTGCCATCAGGGACCAGATGTTTTGCCTAATCAGTAAAGACTGCATCTAACCAGGTAAAGACATAATCAACCACACTTTCCACTATCAGTCCTCACCAGAGGCCCCTGCGGCCATAAAGAGTGCAGGACTTCAACAGCTCAAAATGACCATCTTAACAGACATGGTCTTGCTGTCACTTGAGATATTCACACAGCATATGCTAGTGAAGGCTCTGACTACATTGAAGACTCTTCCTTGTAAGACCATTGGACCACCCAGCCCAGGCCAAAATATTATTTTTATTCGGGTCATTGTCCCTGGACTGATTTGATAACCTATTGTCCTGTCTCTTTTCTCTCATTGTTAAATGTCACTTTGTTTGTGGTGCAATGTTGACTCTATAACATTTATATATTGACTAGGTATGCTATTAGGTGTGGTTTGCAATATTGATTGACTTGTGGGGTGGCTTGAGCCCGTGTGCCCATGGCTCTGACTACTGAGTGGACGGGAATTACTAAGTGGAATTTCCTCCTTGGGAATTCCACATAGCCCGTGGCTTTTGTGATTGAAATAGCATCAATAAAAGCCTGACATGGTGGAAAGGCACAAACCTGAATAAATCTGATTATCTCTGACCCCATGCTGCTCAAGATACACCTTTCCTCTACATTTTATTTTCCAAATAGAGATAGAATTTTCCTTTTAAAATCTATGTCATATCGTGTTTGTACTTTGACTCAAATTCTCAATAGCTCCCATTTCACCAGAAGAGAAGTCAAAGTTCTCCCAAAGTCTTCTTGAGGCACCACCACTGCCTCTCTGCTCTCTTTATCCATTTCCCTCCCATCCAGCTATCTAGGTATATATCCAGGTGTATAAAACCTGGATAAAGAGACAGCTTTGCAGGGCCATTTCAAAATATGTCAAAGAAATATATTTGGGGGTAATATTTTGATCATAATATGTGAGGGTTAACTTCAATTTCTTTCAGGGCCTGTTCTCTGTTATGTTGGCATCTTATAGCTACAAGGATTCTGTTTTGTCTGTGTTAAGGTCTCTGGTTTTTTTTTTTTTTTTTTTTTTTTTTGGTTCTTTTTTTTTGAGATGGAGTTTCGCTCCTGTTGCCCAGGCTGGAGTACAATGGCACAACCTTGGCTCACTGCAACCTCTGCCTCTTGGGTTCAAGCAATTCTCCTGCCTCAGCCTCCCAAGTAGCTGGGATTACAGGCACCCACCACCATGCCTGGCTAATTTTTTATATTTTTAGTAGAGTTAGGGTTTCACCGTGTTGGCCAGGCTGGTCTCAAACTCTGGACCTCAGCCTCCCAAAGTGCTGGGATTATAGGCATGAGCCACAGTGCCCGGCCTAAGGTCTCTGTTTTAATATTAATGCTGGTTAATGCTGTGCCTGAATTCCAAAGGGAGGAGGGGATAATGAGGCATGTCCAACTCCCTTTTCCCACCATGGCCTGAACTAGTTTTCCAGGTTTACTTTAGTGAACAGGAGGGCTCCATTCAGTTGGGTGGGGGGTTTAGAATTTTATTTTTGGTTACAGCTTGTTAGCTTTTATTTATTTATTTTATTATTTTCTTTTTATTTGAGATCAGGGTCTTACTCTGTCGCACAGGCTGGAGTGCAGTGGTGCAATCTCAGCTCATTCCAACCTCCACCTCCCGGGTTAAAGCGATTCTTATTCCTCAGCCTCCTGAGTAGCTGGAATTACAGGCGTGCACCATCACGCCTGGCTAATTTTTGTAATTTTAGTAGAGATGGGGGTCCCACCATGATGGCCAGGCTGGTCTGGAGCTCCTGGCCTCAAGTGATCCGCCCACCTCAGCCTCCCAAAGCGCTGGAATTACAGGCGTGAGCCACTGTGCCCAGCCTAGTTAGCTTTTAGATGATGATCTAGGAGTTGAGCTTGGTGCAGTCAAGCCTCGTATCTCACAATCACAAGCACTAGGCTGCTTGAGAACTCTCCAGTTGCTATCCTGCAGTAAATTCAGAGGTGGTATTCAAAGCACATCTCGTTACTTGAGGTGTGGCCCACAGGCCAGCAGCTTTGGGACCATCAGGAGCATGTTAGACAGGCAGAATCTTTTCCTCACCTCCTCTGGCCCCCGCTAGTTAGACTCTGCATTTTAGCAAGAGTCAAACCGATTAGCATAAACATCAAAGTTTGAGAACACTGAAAGATTTGCCAACTCAAACTGTACTAGTAACAAATACCCAAAAGGAATAAGGTGAGGAAAGGTCCCAGGGAGGGGCTGGAAGTCAGAGTGGGAGTAGAATTTTGGGTGAATAAAGTCATGGCTTTTTATTGTTCACTGCAAAAGTATTTCAGTATTTCTTTTCTTTTTTCTTTTTTGCTCTGTCACCCATACCGAAGGGCAGTGGCACCATCTTGGTTCGCTACAACATCCACCTCGTGAGTTCAATTGATTCCCTTACCTCAGCCTCTTGAGTAGCTGGGACTACAAGTATGCACCACCATGCCCTGCTAATTTTTGTATTTTTTGTAGAGATGGCATTTCACCCTGTTGGTGAGGCTGGTCTTGACCTCCTGGCCTCAAATGATCCTCCTGCCTCGGCCTTCCAAAGTCCTGGGATTACAGGCCTGAGCCATCATGTCCTGCCGTGGTATTTCAGTATCTCAATAACAGTAGGAGTAGCAGGTATTTACCAGCTGGAGATTAATCTCTGGGTCTACTAATGTGCTATGAATGAGTTACATTGTGTTCTATATTAATCACCTTAACCTTCTAGCATCCAAGTGAACTTGCTGCCACCAGAGACCTAAGGCCTGTGTGTAAAAGCCATGAGTAGCTTAATGTGGACTAAGAAAGTGGCTTTGTAACTGCCCAGTGGGTTCACCTTGCCTGCTGCCTAGACAGAGCTGATTTGTCAAGACAGGGGAATTGCAGTGGAGAAAGAGTAATTCACGCACAGCCAGCTGTGCAGGAGACCAGAGTTTTATTATTATTCAAATCAGACTCTCTGAAAACTCAGGAATCAGAGTCTTAAAGGATAATTTGGTGGGTAGGGGGCCAGTAAGTTGGAAGTTCTGATTGGTTGGGTCAGAGATGAAATCATAGGGAGTTGAAGGCGTCCTCTTGTGCTGAGTCAGTTCCTGGGTGGGGGCCACAACACCAGATGAACCAGCATATTGATCTGGGTGGTGCTAGTGGATCCACTGAGTGCAGGGTCTGCAAAATATCTCAAGCACAGATCTTAGGTTTTACAACAGTGATGTTATCTCCAGGAGCAACTTGGGGTGGCTCAGACTCTCACAGCTGGAGGCTGCATGGTCCCTAAACCATAATTTCTAATCTTTGTGGGGTTTTTTTTTGTTTGTTTTTTTTTGTTTTTGAGATGGAGTCGTGCTCTGTTGCCTAGGCTGGAGCACAGTTGTGTGATCTTGGCTTGCTATAACATCCACCTCCTGGGTTCAAGCAGTTCTCCTGCCTCAGCATCCCGAGTAACTGGGATTACAGTACACACCACCACACCCAGCTGATTTCATATTTTTAGTAGAGATGGGGTTTCACCATGTTGGCCGGGCTGGTCTGGAACTCCTGACCTCAAGTGATCCACCCGCCTCGGCCTCCCAAAGTGCTGGGATTACAGCATGAGCCACCACTCCCAGCCTGTAATTTCTAATCTTGTAGCTTATTTGTAGACTGGTCCCTAGGCAAGAAGGGTTTTTTTCAGAAAAGGGCTATTATCCATTTTGTTTCAGAGTTAAACTATAACTAAATTCCTTTCCAAGGTTTGTTCAGTCGACACCCAGGTGTGAAAAAGGACAAGGTAAAGGTTAGAAGCAAGATGGAGTCGGTTAGGTCTGATCTCTTTCACTGTCATGATTTCCTCAGCTGTGATTTTCGCAAAGGTGATGAATCTGACAATGAATCCCAAATGTCATCAAACATTGAACATAATAAGTGACACGCAACACCTCCACCTTGCCACAATTCTCCAAGAGCAGTCAGTGAGTTTCTTTGTGTCTTGGACACCTATAGTATGGCCAGCAATGTGGTATACCCCAACAAGTATGCCCCATAAACAAGGGGTCCATGGACCTGCTAGTATAGTTTGTATTCCAAACACCTAAAGAGTCAGATGCACAGGTGAATCTGCAGGTGTTAGAGTTGAAGAGGCTGAGCTATCCGCAGGTGCTCCTGGCAGAGCAGCTCCAGGGGGCCCTGAATCTCTGCCTTCACATATATCAGATGCAATTGCTGCTAATATGCCCTTTTAGTGGCATACAGGATAGCTGCAGGGTGACTGCTCTAACAATGCATGCATTTTCTACTAATTAGAGCATCATCATTATTTTGAAATACTTGATATGAAAACATTCTGTTAGATTTGAAACCCATTTGCATTATCACAAGAAATTTCAACATTACACTTGTCAGTGCAAAAATAGAGGAGCTGTTAGCTCCTTTAAATATGCTTCAACTATTGCAAACTTGTGAATAGCTGTAAAGACGATTTTAAATTTTTTATCACCTGCCAGTATGAATACATTTTCTTGCCAATGGTGAATATCAAAAATTTGAAAAGATCATCATTAAAAGGTCATGATCAGGAATTGAGTATAACCTTGACAAGCATAAAACCTGATATGAAAATTATTATGTTCATGGAGGATAATGGCTGAGTAAGGTCCAACCAGACTAATCCACCTACAGATAATCACTATAAACTGTGGATATAATACAAAACAAATAGCTACCTTAAGGCAATGGAGAGTGCATAATGTCTAGAATATAATAACAAAGTGCCCTGATATGTGAAACATCGAGAAAATGGAACACATTCTTACAAAAAAAAAAAAGACCTGTAGTCAATTCTGATACAGTCCAGATGTGAGAGTGAGCAAAAATGGATTTAAAAACAGTTATTATAACTATTGGCCGGGTGTAGTGGCTCACGCCTATAATCCCAGCACTTTGGGAGGCCAAGGTAGGTGGATCACTTGAGGTCAGGAGTTTGAGACCAGCCTGCCCAACATAGTGAGACCCTGTCTCTACTAAAAATACAAAAATTATCCAGGTGTGGTGGTGCATGCCTGTAATTCCAGCTACACGGGAGGCCAAGACAGGAGAATAGCTTCAACCTGGGAGGCAGAGGTTGCAGTGAGCCAGGATCACACCACTGCACTCCAGCCAGGGCAACAGAGCAAGACTCTGTCTCAAAAAATTAAAAAATAAATAAATAAAATAAACAAAAATAGTTATTACAACTATTAATTCTTCTCTGTGAAGTAAAAGAAAACATGCTGGTGGTGAAAAACTAGGGAGAAAGTGAAAGCAGAGAAATAAAAACAATGAAAATAATGAAATCGAGTGTATTATAACTAAAAATATACAGCAATTGAAATAAAAAAGGCACTTAACATATTTCATTTCAACAATTGAAATAAAAAAGGGCTTAACATAATGCCAATGACATGGGAAAGAGTAAGTGAACTTGTTAGTACAAATTAGCCAACGTGAAGAACAAAGAGAAAAAGATTGAAAAAAAAATGAACAGAGCTTAAGGAACTCACTGAGTGATAGAAACTACTCTAATATATGTGTAATTGAAGTCCCAAAAAGAGAGCAGACAACAAATGGGGCAGAAAAGAAATTTTTGAAGAAACAAGGGTCAAATATTACAAATTTAATGAAAGAAGTAAATTTACAGATTCAAAATGCTTAACAAACACCAAGTAGAATAAAAATTGAAGCACATAATAGTCAAATAATTGAAAGTCAAATGATGAACAGCAAATATTGAAAGCAGCAAGAAAAAAACCGACTCACTATTTGATTAATAATAGACTTATTGCTAGAAACTAAGAGGCCAAAGGAGAGTAGAACAATACTTTTTTAATTGCTGAAAAAAGATGTCAACACAAAATGGTATGTCCAGTACAAAATGTTTCTTAATAAAGGAGAAATAAATTCATAATCAGATAAAAGGAGACTTTGTTGAGTTTGTTGACAGCAAACCTATCCAAACATGTACTGCTAAAGGAAGCTCTCAGACTGAAGAGATATTATACCAGATACTCAGATTCTCATAAAGAAATAAAGAGCATTATAAATGATTAGCATCTTGGTAAACATAAAGCAATTTTTCTTTTTTTCTTATAATTTCACCATAATACATATGAGTCTCTAAGGAAAAAACAACAACTTGGTTTTTATATTTGTAATATACGTGACTAGTATAAAGATAGTGGCCAAGATGGACCTATACATTGGCAAAGTTGATATATTTTCCCTAAAATGGTACAAATATTAACTGTAAGCAAAGTGTTAAAAGTTAAAGGGTTATATCGTAATTTTAAATCAATCACTAGAATAAAATTCAAGAAATAAAGCTAAAATACAATAGAAGAATTAGTATGAAATTCCAAAAAGAGCCAAATAGTATCTCCCCTTCCTCCTCCCCCACCAAATTAAAAACAAACAAAAAAAGGGACAGAAAAGAAGAACAGAGGAACAAGAATAAAAGGAACAAAACTTGAAAACAAATAATAAAATGGTAGCCTAATACCAAATCGTATAAATAATTAAGTCAGCATTATCAACTATCTTGATTCAACACATTTATGCCTGAAGTTGCAGTGTTTGGAATTTTTGCAATCAGACCTTGGCGATGACCTTGAGCAACAGAATATAAATAACTTCCACATACATACTTAGCGTTCCATTATTGGAATGCTAAGCATAGATGTGCTCTATAAATTGTGCTCTATAAATTAATATTTATAGAAGATATATATTAAGCATATATATTTAATTTTCTTCCAAAAATGGAAGAAATTTTCAACAAAATATCCAGGAAAATTCCAAATATTCAAAATTAAACAACATACTTCTAAATAATCTATGTGTCAAAAAATTACAAAATAAATTAGAAAATGCTTTAAGCTAAATAATAATCAAACTTCATCGTGTACAGATTTTAGGGGTGTAGCTACAGTAGGCTTTAGAGGAAATTGCGTAGCTTAAATGCTTACATCTGAAAACATGAAAGATCTAAACTCAATTTTGTACATTTCCATATTAAAATCCAAAAAAACAAAATTAAAAAAAATTATACCCAAGGTATTTTTAAAAGGAAAAACAATAATAATAAAAAAAAACCCACAGTTGATTATTTGAAAAGTTCAATAAAATCGATGTACCTCTGCCTGATAGATGAGGGGAAAAGGGGGAGAGAGAGAGAGAGAAAAACTGCAAATTATCATTGTAGGAAATGACAGAGGGGATGTCACTATTGTCACTATAGATCATACAACATAAAAAGGAAAATAAAGGAGTGTTATGGATAACTTTATGCCAATAAATTTAACAATGGAGATTAAATGGCCAAATTCTTGATAGATACAAAATACCAAAAGTGACCCAGGAAGAAATTAAAAAAAAAAAAAAACTTGAAAAGCTTTATATATATTAAGTAGGTACAATTTAAAATTAAAAATTTTCTACTAGGAAAACTTCCGGTCCAGATGTCTTAACTGATGAATTATGTCATACATTTAAGAAAGAAATGACGCCAATCCTACACACACTCTCTCAGAAGATAGTGACTTTATTTCTCAACTTATTTTATGAGGCAGGATTACACTGATAAAACCAAATAAGTCACAATAAAACTACCTACATGCTATAATTTAAATGTGTGTGTCCCTCCAAAATTTGTATATTGAAATCTTAGCTCTCAACGTGATACTATTTGAAGGCAAGGCCTTTGAGAGGTGATTAGGTTGTAAAGATGGAACCCTCATGAATGGAGATCAATGCCCCTATAAAAGAGGCCCTAGAGAGATCCCTAACCCCTTCTACCATGTGAAGACACAGCAAGAACGTGCTATCTATGAACCAGAAAAGGGGCCCTCACCAGATACCGCATCTGTCAGTTGTCTGAACCTTGAACTTCCCGGTCTCCAGAACTGTGAGAAAAAAAATATACATTTATATATTTTAACTATATATGTTTTTAACATATATATTTTAACTATATATGTTTTTAATGTATATATTTTAATAAATATGTTTTAACATATATTTTAGTAAATATATATTTTAAAATAAATATAAATTATATTTTAAAATAAATATATATTATATAAATATATCTTTTTAACAAATATATCTTAATAAATATATTTATACATATGTATTTTGTTTGTGAGGTACCCAGTTTAGGGTATTTTGTTACAGCAGCCCAAAAGGATTAAGGCAGTATATCTACATACTTCTGTCATAATAGAGATGCTAACCTCCTCCTTACCAAATTTTAGCAAATGTAGTTCAGCAATATATAAAAGGATGATAAATGTTGACCAAGAAGTGTGTCTACCAGGAATGAAGGTTGGTATAATATCTAAAAAGGAATCAATGCAATTCACAGAATCAATAGCATAAAGAAAGAAAAAAGAGGACATTTTAACTGATGCAGAGAAAGTATTTGAAAACATAAAAACTCCCAGAAAACTAGAAATAGCCTTTCGGCCAGAACCACTATCTTCCAGTAATTCACCAAAATGACGAAAGCAAAGGGAAAGAGGAGAAGCACCCGATATATGTTCTCTAGGTTTTTTAGAAAACAGGAGTTGTTCCTTTGGCCACGTATATGCTAATCTGCAAGAAAGGTGATATTGTAGACATCAAGGGAATGGGTACTGTTCAAAAAAGAAGCCCCGCAAGTGTTATCATGGCGAAACTGGAAGAGTCTACAGCGTTCCCCAGCATGCTGCTGGCATTGTTGTAAACAAACAAGTTAAGGCCAAGATTCTTGCCAAGAGAATTAATGTGTGTATTGAGCACCTTGAGCACTCTATGAGCCGAGATAGCTTCCTGAAAGGCGTGAAGGAAAATGATCAGAAAAAGAAAAAAGTCGGCTGGGCTCGGTGGCTCATGCCTGTAATCCCAGCACTCTGGGAGGCCGAGGCGGGCGGATCACTTGAGGTCGGGAGTTTGAGATCAGCCCTACCACCATGGAGAAGCACTGTCTCTACTAAAAATACAAAAAAATTAGCCGTGCATGGTGGTGCGTGCCTGCAATCCCAGCTACTCGGGAGGCTGAGGCAGGAGAATCACTTGAACCTGGGAGGCAGAGATTGCGGTGAACCGAGATGGTGCCATTGCACTCTAGCCTGGGCTACAGAGTGAGACTCCGTCTCAAAAAAGAAAAAAGAAAGAAGCCAAAGAGAAACGGACCTGGGTTCAAATGAAGCTCCAGCCTGCTCCACCCAGAGAAGCTCACTTTGTGAGAACCATGGGAAGAAGCCTGAACTGCTGCAACCTATTCCCTATGAATTCATGGCGTATTAGGTGAAAAAAAAAAAAAAAAAAAAAAAAAAAAAGACTTCGGGGCTGTAAAAATGTTTCTATTCATTGAGTAGAAGTGTGGTGTCCTGTCCCCCAAAGAAACATTTAAAGCAAATTTTAATTGTGTCCTAACTCATTATGTAATGTCTTTACTATCCAAATTTAATGTATTTCTTATTGAAAGATGTGAGGTAGCTTACTGTGCAACAAATTACTCAATTGCTTAGAAAACGGCCAGGTATTATTTATGAAATAGTTGTACTTGTTTGAAGACAGTCCCTCTAAGTCATCATGGAAGAAATAAAATAATTTACAAAAAGAAAAGAGAACTAGAAATAGAAGGAAATTTCCTCAACCTGATACAGGGCATTTATGGCGAACTCCTAGCTAGCAACCTGGTCAGTGATTAATTGCTGGATATTTCCGACCTAAAAGCAAGAGCAAGGTAAGAATGTATATTATTATCATCACTTCTTTTTTTTTTTTTTTAATTATTTTTAGTTTTTGTAGAGACAGGGTCTTGCTCTGTTGCCCAGGCTGGCCTTGAACTCTTGGCCTCAAACAATCCTCCTGCCTTCGTCTCCTAAAGTACTGGGCCTACAGGCATGAGCCACTGTACTTGACCTCATCATTTCCATTTAATATTGTACTAGAGGTGTTGATCAGTGTCATAGTTAAGAAAAAACTTTAATATTCAGTTTAGAAAGAAAACATTAAATTTGTATTCATAATGATATGACTTATAAAATCCTAAGCAATTTTTTAAAAGTCACTAGAACTAATAAGTGAATTTATAATGTCCTAGGATAAAAGTTCAATATAAAAAATTAATTGTTTCTATAAACTATTAATGAACAATTAGAAAGTGAAATTGAAATCAATTTATAATTAGAACTAAAAAATAAGTAAATTAGCTATGAATAAATTTAATAAAAAGTATACAAGACTTTTACACTGAAAACTTTAAAAAATATTGCTGAGGAAAATTAAACACCTAAATTACCTAAAGAAATGGAGGTAATTACCTAAATAAATGGAGAAATATATGATGTTAATGTGTTAATTTAAATATTAGTGTGGGGATTCTTCCCAAATTAGTCTGTAAATTCAAAATTCTCTGATCAAAGTAACAGTGAAATCTTTAGAAGAAATTTACAAGCTGATTCTAAAATTTATATGGAAAGTCAAAGGGCTTAGAGTAACAAAAAGAATTTGACTTACATTTTCTCATTTTAATACTTACAAATTTACTGTAATCATGACACTGTAGAACTAGCAAAAGGTCGACATCAAGATTAATGGAACAAATTAGAGTTAAGAAATAAACCAGACATATATGGCCAATTGATTTTTGACAAAGATAATTTGTCGAAAAGATAATTCAATAGTGAATAGCCTTTTCAACAAATGTTGCTAAAAACATTGCGTATCAGTGTGGAAAAATGAACATCAATACCTACCAAACATCATATAAATAAATTAATTAAATTTGGGTCATAGACCTTAACATTAAATGTAAAACTATATAATTTCTAGGAGACAAACATAGAAGAACATCTTTATGGCACAGGGTTGGGGAAAAGCATGAGAAAGTTGATTAAAGAGGCATCATTAGAAATGAAAACTAATGCTCTTTAAAAGACACATGTAAAAACACACTCACTATGGAAAAAAAAATATTATGTGTGTGTATATATATAAATAATATATGTCTATTTTTACATATAAGAATATAAAAGGTAAATAATTCTTTTATTTATATAAACACACACAGACACACACACCTGACAAAGACCTTGTATTCAAAATAGTAAAAGAACTCTTACAAGATAATAAAACCCAAGAAAAAATATTCAAATGTATTCAAATGATTCAAACAAACACTTCACAAAAGAGGACATATGAATGACTAATAAGCCCATGAAAAAATGTCAACCATCATCACTCATTAGGGAAATGCAAATTAAAAGTAACATGATATTCTGCTACACACTTAGATTCCACACACATTTCCTAGAATGGCTAAGACTGAAAAATACTGACTACACCAAATGTTGGTGAGAATGTGGAGCAACTGGAATAATCAATCATACATTCTTGTTGAGAATGTGAAGTGCCACAGCCACTCTGAAAAACAGTGAAGCAGCTTCTTGTAAAGTTAAACATAAACTTGCCATGACTGGCCAGGCACAGTGGCTCACGCCTGTAATCCCAGCACTTTGGGAGGCCAAGGTGGGCAGATCACTTGAGGTTAGGAGTTCAAGACCAGCCTGGCCAACATAGTGAAACCCCATCTCTAATAAAAATACAAAAATTAGCCAAGCATGGTGATGGGCACCTGTCGTCTCAGCTACTCAGGAGGCTGAGGCAGGAGAATCACTTGAACCCGGGAGGCAGAGGTGTAGTAAGCTGAGATTTTGCCACTATACTCTAGCCTGGGTGACAGAGTGAGACTGCATTTCAAAAAAAAAAAAAAAAAAAACATGCCATGACCAAGTAATCCCATAGGGAAATTAAAGACCTAAATAAATAAAAATGCATGTTAACACAAAACCTTGTTATAAATGTTCACAGCAGCTTTATTGATGATAGCCAGATATTTGAAACAACCTAAATGTCCACTGACATGTTAATAGATAAATTATTATATTTTAGTGCAATGCAGTAGTACTGAGCAATAAAAAAGAAAAAATTGATCCACATAATAATAGAAGTTTATGTCATCAACATTATGCTAAATGAGACAAAGTCAATATGGAAATTATCATATACTGTATAGTTCAATTTCTATAAAAGGCTAGAAAAGGCAAAACTATAATGACAAAAATCAGACCAGGGCCAGGCATGGTGGCTCACACCTGTAATCCCAGCACTTTGGGAGGCTGAGGCAGGTGGATGGTCTGAGGTCGAGTTTGAGACCAGCCTGGCCAACATGGTGAAACCCCATCTCTACTAAAAGTACAAAAATCAGCTGGGTGTGGTGGGATGAGCCTGCAATTCCAGTTACTCAGGAGGCTGAGGCAGGAGAATCACTTGAACCCAGGAGGTGGAGGTTGCAGTAAGCCAAGATCATACCACTGCACTCCAGCCTGGGCAACAGAGTGAGACTCTGTCTCAAAACAAAACAAAACAAAACAAAAACCTTGAATCCCTAGCAGACACACACACAAGCGCTGGACATGGGGAGGAACACACCAGCAGAAGAACATGCAGATGCCAACAGGCCATCAACAGTGGAACCACGTGGACACTGAGGGAAATTCAGCCAAGGGCAGTCAGAGGAGAGCCCAGCTGCTGGGCGACCAACTCCAGGGAAAGACCACTTTCCCACTCCATCCCCCTTCTAGCTCCCCATCCATCTGCTGAGAGCTACTTCCACCATTCAATAAAACTTTGCATTCATCTTCCAAGCCCACCTGTGATCCGATTTTTCTGGTACACTAGGGCAAGAACCCTGGGATACAGAAACCCACTGTCGTTGCAATAAGGCAGAGGGTCTAACCGAGCTGATTAACACAAGCCACCTGTGGATGGCTAAGCTAAAAGAACACACTGTAACACACACCCACTGGGGCTTCAGGAGTTGTAAACACTCAACCCTAGACACTGCCATGGGACTGGAGCCCATGCTCCCCACCACCTGCCCATCTGCATGCTCTCCCTAGGGGTTTGAGCTGCAGAGAACCACAGAAGCAAGCCACTTCTCCGTCACACATCCTGTGAGGATAGAAGGGAACTTTTCCCATTTCACTGTCAGAGTCCATTCTCAGCAGGACCCTGAACAGTGTCCCAGATGCCAGTGAAGACCCAAGGAGCTCCTTGGAGATGGGACTGCCATCTCCAAGCTCTGAACACTACTGTCCCAGCTAAGTGTGCAAGAATTTAAGGGTAGGGGGGCTCTAGGCCCTTCAACAATCTATAATAAAAGTTACAGAAACTGGGGCTAGGCACGGTGTCTCGCGCCGGTAATCTCAGCACTTTGGGAGGCTGAGGCAGGAGGATCACTTGAGACCAGGAGTTCAAGACCAGCCTGGCCAACATGATGAAACCGCATCTCTACTAATAATACAAAAATTAGTTGGGCATGGTGGCAGTTGCCTGTAATCCCAGCTAGTCAGGAGGCCAAGGCAGGAGAGTCACTTGAACCTGGGAGGTGGAGGTTGCAGTGAGCTGAGATCGCACCACTGCACTCTAGCCTGGGTGACAGAGTGAGACTTCATCTCAAAAACAAAAACAAAAAAATAGAGTATAATAAAAGAATATGGACTTTCAGTTCTTCCTTTTCTTAACCATGTGAACTTCAGTGAATTATTTAATCCCTCTGTAATATCTGTCACTCTTATTACTATGAATAATAAGGATTACATGGTGATGAAAGTCATACAGAAAGGCACTGGAGACTGGAATCTGTCTCAGGATCATAAGTAATCTTAATTCTAGGCCCCATCATGCACTGTTCTCCACACCTTGGTCATAAATAACTCAGAGACGAATGAGAGAGCAGTGAGGCTGCTTATACAAATTTTTGTCGCTGCTTGACAGAGGCTAGTGAAATCAATGACCAAACAGAAGCATTTTCTGGAAATGATTTGTTTCTTCTTCTTAGTGGACAAACACTATCTAAGGGAAACAAAGCAATTCCAGCCTCATTTTTATTCAGAAGACCTCATGGCTTTGCAAAGCTTCATTTGAAGAGCTGCAAGTTAAATTGCAACTTGTGTTGATGGAAGATCTGTCTTCCAAAATAATGATGTATGTAAAAGGAGGCATATTGCTCTTCTCCAGATCTATACACTCTATTCTTCTTCTCAGAGGCACAACGTAACATCGCCGTTTCAACGACAATGTCGATAATTATTTAATTCATGTAGAACACGTAAATATTTAATTCATGTAGAACACGCCGCCTTCATTGAGAAACCAGCAGCGAGCCATCCTCGGCCACTACAAACAACACAAGCCTCCTGGGTGCAGGAATACAGCTGATTGAAGACACGGTAGACGCAGAAGACAACCAGTGGCAGACAAGTAAGGTAGAGCAGAGTTGAATGTCTTGTCACTTGCACGGTGTATTTGTAACTAACGCCTTGATGGAATCAATTAGAAAGAGACAAGCTCAAAAAGAAGAGCGAGGGAGTAGGTGCTGTAGGAAGGAAGAAAAGAATGGAAGCATTTTCAGAGAAAGTCATTTACTTTTTATCTTACGAAGACCAGAAGCTCTCCTTGGCAGCTGGATATGCCTAAGATGAATAAAAATGAGAAAAATAAATTAATACATGACTTTAATGTACTGTATTTAGGAGATAATTTTTTTAAAGGTATGACTTCCGCAGAAGAAAATAACAGAACATCAGTCTGATGGCATAGAGGATGGGGTAGCACCGGTGCGGATCTCTGTTCATTTTTAGTTCTGGGACAATGAATCAGAAAACTCAGTTTTTCAATTAAAAAAAAAAAAAGAAATAAGTCTCTGTAGCTTTGTCTTGCTTCCTTAGGGTCCCATTATTTTCCTGTTCATCCCTAACTTACTTCCAAATGCCCAATATGTCCAGGCCATCTCCAATGATCAAGGGACTCCCTTGCCGATGGGGTCCCATTTGACTCTTCATTCTACGTACATTTTCCTCTTCCATAGTTACCATTCCAGGGTGCCACCTCCTTAGAGCCCTGTGCTCTGCTGCTTAGTCTGATAAACATAGTGCAAATGTCAGAAAAGTGCCATCAGATTCAAGCCATCTTGCAGATTGGATTGTTTGTTTGTTTGTTTGTTTGTTTGTTTGTTTTGAGACAGAGTTTTGCTCTTGTTGCCCAGGCTGGAGTGCAATGGCACGATCTCAGCTCACTGCAGCCTCCACCTCCCGGGTCCAAGCAATTCTCCTGCCTCAGCCTTCCGAGTAGCTGGGATTACAGGTGCCCACCATCATGCCTGGCTAATTTTTGCGTGTGTTTTTTTTTTTTAGTAGAAACGGGGTTTTGCCATGTTGGCCAGGCTGGTCTCAAACTAATGACCTTAGGTGATCCGCCCACCTCTGCCTCCCAAAGTGCTGGGATTACAGGTGTGAGCCACTGTGCCCGGCCTGGATGTTTTTACTAAACACTTCTTATTTACAAAATTCCAGAACCATGGGGAACCTGAAAATGAAATGAAGGCATCATCTCATGAGGAAGGGCTACAGGAAGGACCATGGTAAGTGCTCAAGAGGAGAGCTGTGGCTAACACTAAGTGGGCACTGTGTTTCAGGACCATGCTAAGTGCTTATTCACTTAACCCCTCCCATGACACCATGAAAGAAGATGGCCATTTAGTTGAAGGTGACACTAAGATGCTCAGAGATGAAGCAAATAACTAGTAGGATAAGGATCTGGTCTCAAATTACTAACTTTAAGACATATGTTTTTTCCACCTCCTCTTACACAACATAAATTTCAGCTGCAGGAAACTCTACTACCTGGATGAACAGCTTGTTGTGGCCTGAATAGGCATGGGCATGGGTTTAAAATATGGATGGAAGTCGTGATCTTCCTTGAAAGAGACTTTCTCCAAAATGTGTTGGTTTACATTTATACCCAAAAGCAATCCTTCTTAATTGTATTAGTTTATTTTCATATTGCTATGAAGAAATACCTAAGACTGGGTAATTTATAAAGAAAAAGAGATTTAATGAACTCACAGTTCTACATGGCTGGGGAGGCCTCACAATCATGGCAGAAGGTGAAGAAGGAGCAAAGGCATGACTTACATGGCAGCAGGTAAGAGAGCTTGTGCAGGGGAACTTCCCTTTATAAAACCATCCGATCTCGTGAGACTTATTCACTATCACAAGAACAGCACAGGAAAACCCACTCCCATGATAATTACCTCCCACTGGGTCCCTCCCACACAACAGATAGGGTTTTATGGGAGCTACAATTCAAGATGAGATTTAGGTGAGGACACAGCCAAACCACATCACTAATTAATAATAATAGCAACAATAATACCTTGCATGATCTTTTAAAATATTTTTAAAGTGTGTTTATGATCTCATTTTAAGCACTTAAAATCCTTTTAAGGCAGGAAGGGGGTAATATTATGCCCATGTTACTGAGAAAGTAACTGGTGCCCAGACACACAGTGAGTGAGAGGTAAAGAGACAAAATTCAAAGAAGATTTTTCCATTTGGTAGAACAGTGTTTTTAAAGCTAACCCAAATGCATCTTGGGTAAGAGAAATGTTTAAAATAAAATATTCAGGCCAGGTACAGTGACACATGGCTGTAATCCCAGGGCTTTGGGAGGCTGAGGCAGGAGGATGGTTTGAGCCCAGGAGTGTGAGGCTGCAGTAAGTAATATCATGCCACTGCACTCCGGCCTGGATTTTATTTCTCCCTAGCTTATGATGAGAGCAAAGCAATATTCGAGTAAGAAAATAACACTAGATGGTAACTCAAATCCACAGGACCAAACGAAATGAACCAAAAATATAAATATGTAGGTTAAAGTAACCAACTATACAAAAATACACAGCCATGAATCACTAAACAATGGGGATGTGTTCAATTTCTTTTTTTTTTTTTTTTTTTTTTGAGATGGAGTCTCGCTCTGTCTCCCAGGCTGGAGTGCGGTGGCGCCATCTCGGCTCACTGCAAGCTCTGCCTCCCGGGTTCCCGCCATTCTCCTGCCTCAGCCTCCCGAGTAGCTGGAACTGCAGGCGTGAGCCACCGTGCCAGGCAACAATGGGGATGTGTTCTAAGAAATGCCTTGTTAGATGGTTCCATCATTGTGTGAACATGATGGGATGCACTTACACAAATCTAGATTGTACAGCCTACTACACACTTAGACTAGATAGTATAATTTATTGCTCCTAGACTACAAACCTGTACAGCATATTCCTGTACTGAATACTGTAGACAATTGTAACACAATGATATGCATTTGTGTATCTAAACATAGCCATGCATAGAAAAGATACAGTAAAAATATAGTATAAAAGATAAAATATTGTACAGCCACATAGAGAACTCACCACAAATGGAGCTTGCAGGACTAGAAGTTGCTCTGGTTGAGTGAGTGAATGAATGATACAAAAATGTGAAGGCCTAGGACATTACTGCCCACTACTTTAGACTTTACAATCACTGTACACATAGGCTACCCAAAATTTGTAAAAGCTGTTTTCTTCAATAATAAATTAACCTTAGATTCCTGTGACTTTTTTACTTTATAAACTTCATAGAATTTTTCTAACTTTTTGACTCTTGTAATAACATTTGTCTTAAAACACAAACTTGTGTGTATAACTGTACAAAAATATTTTCTTTCTCTATGTTCTCATTCTGTAAGCTTTTTTCTATTTTAAAAATTATTTTTAAATTTTTAAATATTTTTCCTAAAAATGACACAAACACACATATTAACCTGGGATTACAAAGCATAAGATCATCAGTATCACTGTCTTCCATCTTGAAATCTTGTCCCACTGGAGTGACTTTGGGGCAATAACAGACATGGAGCTGTCATCTCCTAGGATAACAGTGCCTTCCTCTGGAAACCCTCCTGAAGGACCTACCTGAGGCTCTTCTTGAGAAGGTGTAACTCTTTCCAGAAATATGTCCAATGTGGTTGGCTTGGTTTGTTTCTTTTTTTCATTATTGATTTACTTCTTGGCAGATAATGCACCACGAACATTCCTCTGTATTAATGGAAACCTTTCAATGTTGGCATCCATGTTCTCAAATGTTTTAAGGAGCTCGTTAAGGTCTTCAAAAGCTTCTGCTAAACTCTTCATTGTGAATTTTGTTTCCTTTTTCTTTTTTTTTCTCTCTTTTCTTTTCTCTTGCCTCTTCTTTATCTACATGTTTCTGTTCCAGTTCTGACAACTCCCCCTTAGTCAATTCCTCAGGAACCACCCCTAGGAGTTCCTCAATGTCATCCTCATCCACAGAGTTGTTTGCCAACTCAAGGCAACCAGAGCCTTGTATTTGTGCAACCTCCTAATCCTTGGCAAATCCTTTGAAGTCATGGACAAACCCCTTGAGTGCCTTCTTCTAGATGACATTAAAACACTCCTTGGTGACATCACTCCAAGATCAGGTTCTTGATGCAGTCATAAATGTTGTAACCTTTCCAGAATTGCATTGGTATCTTCTCGGTGTCTTTATCATTTGCAGCAATGCCTCAGCAAAAGTCCTCCTCAGGTAACAGGTCTTAAAAGTTGGTATAATTATTTGATCCATTGGTTGGGTCAAAGAGATGGTATTTGGAGGGGGAAATACTACTTTGATATTGGGATGAAGATCACCAATAAAAGGAGAATGTGCAGGAGCATTGTCAACAACAAGCAAAATCTTGAAAGATATATTATCCTCCAAACCATCTCCATTTCACTGGGTCATCCGTAACTCCTTATTGCTCCTGTAGTAGACAGGCAGTGTGTGCTTACTGATATGCTTGAATGTCAATATGCTTGGGGGTCTTACTGTCCCAGATTACAAAATGTTTCTATTTGTAGCCTGCAACATTGGCCCCAAGCAAGACTGTTATCTTGTCCTAAAAAGCCTTGAAACCTGGCATTGACTTGGCCTCCTTATGGATGAAAGTCCTTTCAGGCAACTATTTCCAGAACAGAAAGGTTTTATCCATATTGAAGATTTGCTTTGCAAGTAATTTTCCTCCACAATCAGCTTATCTACAGTTTCCAAAAATTCTTCAGCTGCCTTCACATCAGCACTCTCAGACTTGCCACTCATTTTCACATTATGTAATGGATAATGATTCTTTTAAAATGAACCATTTAAACCACTCAGAGTGAGCAGTAAATTCACCATGATAGTCAAGTCCAGCCTTTTCTTTCAACATCACGAACTTTTTGCTTCAGCTGTGATTGTCATGGTGCTGAGAGGAATACACTTGTGTCTGATCTTCAATTCAAGTTATTAGAAGTTGCTCCATGTCTTATAGGGGCCCTTATTAAGAGTCTTATTGCCTTTAATGAAGCAAATCCTTTAACAACTTCCATCATTTTGTTCTTGTTCTTCAAGACTGTAGCTATGGGGGAATGGGACATGGCTGACTGGCAAGCAATCATCATTACTGATTTTCCATCTTCATAGTCCTTAATCACTTTTAGTTTTGTTTCCAGGTCAATCATTTGATGTGGTTTCTTTTTTTTTTTTTTTATTATACTTTAAGTTTTAGGGTACATGTGCACATTGTGCAGGTTAGTTACATATGTATACATGTGCCATGCTGGTGCGCTGCACCCACTAACTCGTCATCTAGCCTTAGGTATATCTCCCAATGCTATCCCTTCCCCCTCCCCCCACCCCACCACAGTCCCCAGAGTGTGATATTCCCCTTCATGTGTCCAGGTGATCTCATTGTTCAATTCCCACCTATGAGTGAGAATATACGGTGTTTGGTTTTTTGTTCTTGCGATAGTTTACTGAGAATGATGATTTCCAATTTCATCCGTGTCCCTACAAAGGATATGAACTCATCATTTTTTATGGCTGCATAGTATTCCATGGTGTATATGTGCCACATTTTCTTAATCCAGTCTATCATTGTTGGACATTTGGGTTGGTTCCAAGTCTTTGCTATTGTGAATAATGCCACAATAAACATACGTGTGCATGTGTCTTTATAGCAGCATGATTTATAGTCCTTTGGGTATATACCCAGTAATGGGATGGCTGGGTCAAATGGTATTTCTAGTTTTAGATCCCTGAGGAATCGCCACACTGACTTCCACAAGGGTTGAACTAGTTTACAGTCCCACCAACAGTGTAAAAGTGTTCCTATTTCTCCACATCCTCTCCAGCACCTGTTGTTTCCTGACTTTTTAATGATTGCCATTCTAACTGGTGTGAGATGATATCTCATAGTGGTTTTGATTTGCATTTCTCTGATGGCCAGTGATGATGAGCATTTTTTCATGTGTTTTTTGGCTGCATAAATGTCTTCTTTTGAGAAGTGTCTGTTCATGTCCTTCACCCACTTTTTGATGGGGTTGTTTGTTTTTTTCTTGTAAATTTGTTTGAGTTCATTGTAGATTCTGGATATTAGCCCTTTGTCAGATGAGTAGGTTGCGAAAATTTTCTCCCATGTTGTAGGTTGCCTGTTCACTCTGATGGTAGTTTCTTTTGCTGTGCAGAAGCTCTTTAGTTTAATTAGATCCCATTTGTCAATTTTGGCTTTTGTTGCCATTGCTTTTGGTCCTCTCTAACTCATTTTATGAGGCCAGCATCATTCTGATACCAAAGCCGGGCACAGACACAACCAAAAAAGAGAATTTTAGACCAATATCCTTGATGAACATTGATGCAAAAATCCTCAATAAAATACTGGCAAACCGAATCCAGCAGCACATCAAAAAGCTTATCCACCACGATCAAGTGGGCTTCATCCCTGGGATGCAAGGCTGGTTCAATATACACAAATCAATAAATGTAATCCAGCATATAAACAGAGCCAAAGACAAAAACCACATGATTATCTCAATAGATGCAGAAAAAGCCTTTGACAAAATTCAACAACCCTTCATGCTAAAAACTCTCAATAAATTAGGTATTGATGGGACGTATTTCAAAATAATAAGAGCTATCTATGACAAACCCACAGCCAATATCATACTGAATGGGCAAAAACTGGAAGCATTCCCTTTGAAAACTGGCACAAGACAGGGATGCCCTCTCTCACCGCTCCTGATGTGGTTTCTTACTGGCAACATTAGCAGTGGATTTTATATACTTGGGGCCATTACGAACAAAACAACATAAGATTAAATTATGCACAAGAGAAAACGATGCAATCAAGAGACATGATAAACAGGAGATGTATGAGGCTGTGGCTACTGCAATATGGCATATTATATAACAGTAAATACTTTTTAATAAGTAGAAGGAGTACACTCTAAAATAATCATTAGAAGTATTGAATAGTAAATACCTAAACCAGGAATACAGATGTTTATTATCAATATCAAGTATCATGTATTGTACAAAAGGGGATGTCCTAGACTTTTATATGACTGGCAGAGCAGTAGGTTTGTTTATACCAGCATCGCCAACAAATAAATAAGTAATGCACTGTGCTATGATGTTCCAAAGGCTACCATGTCACTAGGTGATAAGAATTTTTCAGTTCCATGATAACCTTATGAATCCACCCTCATATATGCAGTCCATCATTGAAATGTTACACTGCACATGGTTGTACATGGTTTTGTTTCTTCTCTCCACATCTTTAGAAGAAATAACACTATACAAAGCAATAACGATAGCAATGCATCATGTACATAAAACTACAATAAACAAAAAGAGAAGAGAGAATAGAGTTACAGAGGAGTAACATTTCTGTATGTAAATTACATTGTTAATATAAATCTGAATTCAATTCTGCTAATTTAACATGTATACTATTAGACCTAAAACAACCACTAAGAAAATAATTCAAAAAATTGTAAAAAAAATTACTGAGGGAATTAAATGTTACACTGAAAATATTCACTTAATGCAAATAAAAGCAGTAAAGAAGGAACAGAAGAACAAAAAAGAAATCTGAGACATATAGTAAGCAAAAACTATAGTGGCAGAGGTAAGTCCAAATATGCCAATAATAGCATTAGGCTGGGTGTGGTGGTTCATGCCTATAATCTCAGCACTTTTGAAGGCTAAGATGGGAGGATCACTTGAGCCCAAGAGTTTGAGACCAGCCTGGGCAAACATGGCAAAACCCCGCCTCTACAAAAATAAAATTAAAAAATTAGCCAGACATGATGGCACATACCCTGTAGTCCTAGCCACTTGGGCGGCCAACATGGGAGAATTGCTTGAGCCTGGGAAGATGAGGCAGCAGTGAGCCATGATTGCACCACTGCATTCCATCCTGTGTGACAGAATGAGACCCTGTCTCCAAAAAAATAATAACATTAAATATGACTTAACCAACCCAAACTAAAGTCAGATATTTTCAGACTGGGTAAACAAACAAGAATCAACTATATGTTCCTTGCAGGTGAAATATTTTAAATCCAAAGATACACATAGTTTGAAAGTAAAAGAATGGGAAAATGTATATCACATAAACAGCAACCATAAAAAAGCTGGAGTAGATTTCTACTATTAGACAACATAGACTTTTTACAAATGCTACTAGAGATAAAAAGGGACATTTTGTAATAAAAAAATGGTCAATCCATTAGGAAGATATAAATATTATAAACACATATGCATTTAACAATGAAGCCTGAAATATATCAAGCAAAAAAAATGACAGAATTGAAGAGAGAGACAGACAATTCAACAATATTTAAAGAAATCAATATTTTCATTTTCAATAATGGAGAGAACAACTAAGCAGAAGATCAACAAGGAAACAGAAGATTTGAACACTATAAACAAACCAGACCTGGCAGACATATAAAGAATACTCAGCCAACAACAGCAGATTACACATTTTTCTCAAGTGCACATGGAACATTCTTGAGGATAAACCTTATGCTACACCATAAATCAAGCTTCAATAAATTTAAGAGGATTGAAATTGTACGAAGTGTCTTCTCTAATTACAATTGAATTAGAAATTAATAACAGAAATAAATTGGGAAATTAACAAATAACATGGAAATTAAGCAGCACTCTTCTAAATAATCAATGGGTCAAAGAAGAAATCACAAGGGAAATTAGAGAATACTTTGAGATGAATGAAAATGAAGACACAAGTGTCAACATTTATTGGATGAAGCCAAAGCACTGCCTAACTAGAGGAAAATTTACAGCTATAAATGACTATATTAAAATAGAAGAAAGACCTCAAGTCAATAATTTAAATTTTCAACTTAAGGCACTGGACAGGAAAAGTGTACACTAAACACATAACAAGCAGAAAGAAGAAAATAATAAGAATTAGAATAAATTTTTTAAAGATGAAGAACAGAAAACAGAAAAAATAAACCCCAGAAGTTATTTATTTAAAAGATCAACAAAACTGAAAGACCTTCAGATAGACTGACCAAGAAAAATGAGAGAAGATGCAAACTACTAAAATCAGAAATGAAAGAGGGGACATTATTACTGACCTTACAGAAATAAAAAGGATTATAAGGAAATACCATGAACAAGTGTATGCCAACAAATTAGATAAGTGAGGAGAAATAGAAAAAGTTATAAAAAGACACAAACTACCAAAACTGACTCAAGAAGAAATAAAAAATCTGAATAGTCTTATAACAAATGAAGAGAACTTAGTTATCAAACAACTTCCTACGAAAAAAGTCCAGAACCATATGGCTTCACTTGTGAATTCTACCAAATGTTTAAAGAAAAATTAATACCAAGTTTTCACAAACTTTTTGAAAAAACAGGAGAGGAGGGAATATCTCCTAATTCATTCTCCGAGACCACTGTTACCCTGACTGAAGCCAGATAAAGAAAGTACATGAAAAGAAAAGTGCAGATCAATGTCTCTCAGGAACTTAGACTAAGAAAAAATCCTCTTCCTCAGCAAAATTATTATACAAAATGAATTTACTAATGTAGAAAAATAATTATACAACATGCCACATAACCAGGTGGAAGATTTTTTATTTTTTATTTATTTATTTTTTTTGAGATGCAGTCTCACTCTGTACCCCAAGCTGGATTGCAGTGGAACGATCTCAGCTCACTGCAACCTCTGCCTCCTGGGTTCAAGTGATTCTCCTACCTCAGCCTCCCGAGTAGCTGGGACTACAGGCACATGACACCATGCCCAGCTAATTTTTGTGTTTTTAGTAGAGACAAGGGTTCACCATGTTGGCCAAGCTAGTCTGGAACTTCTGACCTCACAAGATCTGCCCACCTCAGATTCCCAAAGTGCTGGGATTACAGGTATGAGCCACTGCGCCTGGCCCAAGTTGGGAGATTATCAAAATTAAAATTACATGCTCCAATGGACAGAATCAAGAAAGTGAAAAGACAACCCACAAGTGGGAGAAATATTTGCAAATCATATATCTGATGAGAAATTTGTATTTAGAATCTATAAGGAACTCCTACAACCTTATTTAAAAATGGGCGAAGAACTTGATAGACATTTCTCCAAAGAAGACATAAAATGGTCAAAAAGCACATGAAAAGATTCTCAACATCATTCACTACCAGGGAAACACAAATCAAACCCACAATGATATACTACTCACCATCCACTAGGGTGGCTATAAATTAAATAGCAGATTTTAACACATGTCAGTGAAGATGTCATGAAATTGGAAACCTCACATGCTGCTGGTGAAAAGTAAATGATGCAGCTGTCATGGAAAGACTAGCAGTTCCTTAAATGGCTATGGATAGTTACCATACGACCCAGCAATTCCACTCCTAGACATATACCCAAGATAAACGAAAACATGAAATCTAACTACACTAGGTCAGGCGTGTTGGCTCACGCCTGTAATCCTAGCATTTTTAGAGGCCGAGGTGGGCAGATCATCTGAGGTCAGGAGTTTGAGACCAGCCTGGCCAACATGGTGAAACCACATCTCTACTAAAAATACAAAAATTAGCTGGGCGTGGTGGTACGTGCCTGTAATCCCAGCTACTCAGAAGGCTGAGGCAGGAGAATCACTGGAACCCAGGAGGTGAAAGTTGCAGTGAGCCAAGACTGTGACACTGCACTCCAGCCTGGATGACAGAGTAAGACTCCATCTCAAAAAAAAAAAAATTAGAAATATATCTATACTAAAACTTATACATGAATGTTCACAATTACATTATTCATAGCAGATAAAAAATGGAAACAATCCAAATGTCTATCAACTGATGAATGGATAAATAAAATGTGACACAGCCATACAATGAAATATTATTTGGAAATAAAAATGAATTAAGTACCAATGAATATTACAACATGGATTCACCTCAAAAACATTACACAAAGAGAACAAAGTTAGTCACAAAAGACCGCATATTGTATGATTCCATCTGTATAACACTTCCAGAATAGACAAATGTATTAGGCTGTTCTTGCTTGCTATAAAGAAATACCTGAGACTGGGTAATTTATCAAGAAAAGAAGTTTAGGCCAGGCACGGTTGCTCACGCCTGTAATCCCAGCACTTTGGGAGGCTGAGGCGGGCGGATCACTTGAGGTCAGTAGTTCAAGACTAGCCTGGCCAACATGGTGAAACCCCATCTCTACTAAAAACATAAAAATTAGCCAGGCATAGTGGTGTGCGCCTGTAATTCCAGCTACTCGGGAGGCTGAGACAGGAAAATCGCTTGAATCTGGGAGGCGGAGGTTGCTGTGAGCCGAGATAAGTGCCACTGCACTCCAGCATGGAAGACAGAGAGAAAAAAAGAAAAAAAAAAAAGATTTAATTGGCTAATGGTTCTGCAGGCTTTGTAGGAAGCATGGTACTGGTACCTGCTCAGCTTCTGGTGAAGCCTCAGGGAACTTTTAATCACAGTGGAAAGTGAAGGGGCAACAGGCACATCACATGGCTAGAGAAGGAGCAACAGAGAGAGTGAGATGGAGGGAGAGGTGCCATATACTTTTAAATGACCAGTTCTCTTTAGAACTCACTATCAGGAAGACAGCACCAAGCCATGCGGGATTCGCCCCCCATGATCAAAACACCTCCCCCCAGGTCAGCATTGGAGATTACATTTCAACATGAGATTTGGGCAGGGAAAATATCCAAACTACATCAACAAATTTATAGGAACAGAAAGTAGATTAATGGTTTCCAGGGACTAGGAGAGTTGGGGGAGACGAGGAATGACAGTGAAGAGGTTCGTAGTTTCATTTTGTACATTATGAATATGTTCTAATATAGATTTTTATGATGGTTACACCACACTTTTAATATATTTTTTTAAAACCACTGAATTGTACATTTGAAATTGGCAAATTGCATGATATATGAATTATATTCCAATAAAGTGATCTTAAAAAATCAAATGGAACTCAAAAGGGATTGTCTGGTGAACTGATAAAATTTCTCTAGAGTTTACTCTTAATGAAATTATAAGAATCAAACCCATCACTAATTTCTTACATTTCTTAAGTATATTGCATTGGGTATATTATTCAGACTATGGTAATCATTAAAATTTGTGAATTCTTATGTTGCAGAGATAGGTTTACACATCTGTTTCCTTCACAGCCTCTGATGCCCTTGAATGCAGCTATTTTGTTTGATTCATCTCTCCTAAATTTCTCAGTCAGGGCAGGGTGCGGTGGCTCACACCTGTAATCCCAGCACTTTGGGAGGCCGATGCGGGCGGATCATGAGGTCAGGAGATCAAGACCTTCCCGGCTAACATGGTGAAAACCCGTCTCCACTAAAAATACAAAAAATTAGCCAGGCGTGGTGGCAGGCGCCTGTAGTCCCAGCTACTCAGGAGGCTGAGGCAGGAGAATGGTGTGAACCCAGGAGGCAGAGCTTGCAGTGAGCCGAATGAGCCACTGCACTCCAGCCTGGGTGACAGAGCGAGACTCCATCTCAAAAAAAAAAAAAAATTCTCAATCCTCAGAGCCCAGCCCTGAGTGCGGGACCTGGTACATGTGTCAGACATTGTGGCCCATGGGCTTTGTGGCACATCCCACTCTTGGGAAGCATTGCATTAACATTCTACAAGAGGCACCCATTGGCCAGGCATGGTGGCTCACACATGTAATCCCAGCACTTTGGGAGGTTGAGGCAGGTGGATCACCTGAGGTCAGGAGTTCAAGACCACCCTGGCCAACATGGTAAAACCCCATCTCTACTAAAAATAAAAACAATGGCCAGATGCGGTGGCTCACGCCTGTAATCCCAGCACTTTGGGAGGCCGAGGTGGGTGGATCACGAGGTCAGGAGATCGAGACCACCCTGGCTAACATGGTGAAACCCCATCTCTACTAAAAATACAAAAAAATTAGCCGGGCGTAGTGATGGGCACCTACAGCTACCTGGGAGGCTGAGGCAGGAGAATGGTGTGAACCCAGGAGGCGGAGTTTGCAGTGAGCCGAGATTGTGCCACTGCACTCCAGCCTGGGCGACAGAGCGAGACTGTCTCAAAAAAAAGAAATAATAATAATAAAATAAAAAATAAAAAAAATTAGCCCAGCTTGGTGGTGGGCACCTGTAATCCCAGCTACTCAGGGGGCTGAGGCAGGAAAATCACTTGAACCCTGAAGGTGGAAGTTGCAGTGAGCTGAGATCGTGCCATTGCACTCCAGCCTGGGTGACAAGAGTGAAACTCCATCTCAAAAAAAAAAAAAAGATGCACTCACTGTGTTAACATCCTACGAGACGCAAGCATAGTAACCAGAGGCACCTATGTGGAAAAGTTGTTGGACAGCCTCACAGAGGTTCAGCTTCCTTTCGGGGTCTTGATACTTTCTTTTCCACCTTGTCTGTATCAGGAGAAGTCAAATATAGAAGGCAGAGAGAGTCAAAAAAGGGTGACATTAAAAACTTTGAGCTCAAAGTCTGATTGTTACATTTCAATTTTCCTAGGTTATAATTTGATTCTATCATATCTTTCAGGTTGGAACTAAAGGATTAATGGTTAAGTTCCATGTTTCTGGCCTATGGAAAATTTCCCTATCATGAATAGGAGGGCTCTACTTACAACACCACGGATTTCATGGCCATAAGTGGAAAGACTTAGTGATTACAAATAACACCTGTTATAAAAATAACTACCCAGACCCTATGTTACTAAAAATATTTTTAAAAATTGTTTGGTGAGGCTTCCCCTATCAAAGAGAATATTTCTTTCTATTAAGGATTTATACTGAATAAGTGCAAAAGCTCAAATGCCTAAAGTTTATTGCAAGCAACAGTCATTAAGCCAAATCTTAAGTCAAAGCCAAGATTGATGTACCCAACTCCACTGATTATTACTGTAAAAAGAAAATACGATTTTTGGAGTATAACTTATTAAGTTGGGTTTAGTTACACAATGGTTCTCAAGCAATATATTTCCTAAATCATTCTACTATTGTTTCATTTAACTACTCATTCAATATCTATTACTCAAAAATTCCACTCTATTCAAAATGGATCATGGACTTAAATGTCCAGTGTAAAACTATAAACTTTTAGAAAAAATACAGGCCGGGCACGGTGGCTCACGCCTGTAATCCCAACACTTTGGGAGGCCGAGGTGGGCGGATCACCTGACATCAGGAGTTCGACACCAACCTGGCCAACGTGGTGAAACCACATCTGTACTAAAAATACAAAAATTAGCCGGCTGTGGTGGTGGGTGTCTGTAATCCCAGCTACTCTGGAAGCTGAGGCAGGAGAATCGCTTGTACCCAGAAGACGGAAGTTGCAGTGAGCTGAGATCGTGCCATAGCATCCCAGCCTGGGCAACAAGAGTGAAACTCCATCTCAAAAAAAAAAAAAAAAATACACAGGATAAAATCTTAGGTATCTAGGGCTAGCCAAAGAGTTCTTAGATTTGACACAGAAAGCACAATTCATAAAAGAAAAAATTAATAAATTGAACTCATCAAATTAAAACCTTTCACTTTGAGCAAGAGCTTAAAGAGGATGAAAAGACAAGCTACAAATGAGAAGAAAATATTTTCAAACTATGTATCTGACAAAGGACTCATATCTAGAATAAAAAACTCAAAACTCAACAATAAAAAAAATCAAACTATGTCATTAGAAAATGGACAAAAGACATGAAGGAACATTTCACCAAAGATGGCAATTAAGCACATGAAAATATGTTCAATATAATGAGCCATTAGGGAAATGCAAATTAAAATCATGATGAAATATTAATACAGGCTGTGTGCAGTGGCTCATGCCTGTAATCCCAACACTTTAGGAAGTCAAGATGGGTGGAACACCTGAGGTCAGGAGATCGAGACCAGCCTGGCCAACATAGTGAAACTCTGTCTCTACTAAAAACACAAAAAATTAGCTGGACATGGTGGTACATGCTTGGGGGATAGAGTGAGACTCAGTCTCAAAATAAAATAAAATAAAATAAAATAAATGTTAATACAGTAGCCCCCAACATTTTGGGCACCAGGGACTGGTTTTGTGGAAGACAATTTTTCCATGGACCCATGGCAGGGGTGGTTTTGGGATAATTCAAATGCATTAAATTTACTGTGCACTTTATTTCTATTATTACATTGTAGTATATAATGAAATAATTACACAACTCACCATAATATATAATTAGTGGGAGCCCTAGGCTTGTTCTCCTGCAACTAGATGGTCCCATTGGGGGTGATGGGTGACAGTGACAGATTATCAGGAATTAGATTGTCGTAAGAAGCACGCAACCTAGATCCCTCACATGCTCAGTTCACAATAGGGTTCGTGCTCCTATGAGAATCTAATGCTGCGGCTGCTCTGACAGGAGGCGGGGCTCAGGTGTTCATGGAAGCAATTGGCAGTGACTCTAAGTATAGATGAAGCTTCACTCACCTGCTCACCACTCACCTCATGCTGTGCAGCTCGGTTCCTAACAGGCCACAGACCAATTCCAGTCCATGGCCCAGGGGTTGGGGACCCCTATATTCATATATATCCATCAGAGTGACTGGTGGCTAACATTAAAAATAGTGCCAACATCAAATGCTGGCAAGGATGCAGAGAAACTTAGTCATTCAAATACTGCTGGTGGGAATATAAAATGGTATAGCTACTCTGAAAATTAGCTTGGTATTAATAGTTTCTTATAAAACTAAACATGCAACTATCATATGACCCAACAATGGCATTCTTAAAGCATTTATTGCAGAAAAATGGAAACTCAGACATCTTTCAACAAGTGAATATACTGTGTTATATCCATACCATGGGATACTAATCAGCGAAAAATGAACAAACTTTAGGAGGCTGAAGCAGGAGGATTGCTAGAGTTCAGGAGTTCAAGACTAGTTCAAGATGTGGGCAAAGTAGCAAGACCTCATCTCTAGAAAAAAATGGAAAAATTAGCCAGACCTGGTGGTCTGCATCTGTAGTCACAGCTACTCAGGAGGCAGAGGTGGGAGGATTGCAGGAGTTTGAGGCTGCAGTGAGCCATGAGATCATGCCACTCAACTCTAGCCTGGGCAACGGAGCAAGACCCTGTCTCAAAAAAAAAAAAAGCAATCATAGAGGAATGATAGGGAGGAAGGAAGGGCATTGTGCCTGTAAGCAGTCTGACCAGTTGCAGTTGCTTCCCAGGAGAAATGGTGTAGAAGTGGCAAGGGAGGGCAAAGAAGACACATTCCGCCAGGGGCAGTGGCTCACACCTGTAATCCCAGCACTTTAGGAGGCGGAGGCAGGAGGATCACTTGAGCCCATGAGTTCAAGACCAGCCTGGACAACATAGCAAGACCCCATCTCAACAACAAAAAAGTTTTAATTAGCTGAGTGTGGTACCGTGTGCCTGTAATCCCAAATACTTGGGAGGCTAAGGTGGGAGGATCCCTTGAGCCCAGGAGGTTGAGGCTGCAGTGAACTGTGATCACGCCACTGCTGCTGCACTCCAGCCTGAGCAACAGAGTGAGACCCTGTCTCAAAAAACAAACAAACAAAACAAACAAACAAACAAAACACATTTGGTCAGGGGCGGTGGCTCACATCTGTAATTCTGGCACTTTAGGAGGCTGAGGCAGGAGGATCAGTTAAGCCCATGAGTTTGAGACCAGCCAGGACAATATAGCAAGACCCCATCTCTACAAAAAATTTTAAAAAATTAGCTGAGTGTGGTATTGCGCGCTTGCAGTCCCAGCTACTTGGGAGGCTGAGGTGGGAGGATCCCTTGAGCCCAGGAGGTTGAGGCTGTAGTGAGCTGTGATCATGCCACTGCCACTGCACTCCAGCCTGAGCAACAGAGAGACCCTGTCTCAAAAAACAAACAAACAAAACAAACAAACAAACAAAAAACAAGAAGAAGAGGACAGTCTCCCCTTAAGCATTCGTCCCAGAGCACACTTCAGAAAGATTTGGGAGGCTTGGGACAGTGGGCTTAGGAGAGCAGAATATGGCAGTAGGGAATTATGTGTTGTACAGGGTAACATGGAGATAAGAACCAAGAGATGATAGATGTCTGGAAAGCTTGGGTTTCCAGGGGCTCCAGAGATAAAGTATAGGATAAGAATGGTGCTACAGATGAAGGCAATTAGTGTAGATTAAGGCAACTAGTATAGGCCCTAGTCCAGAATGTTTAGGGACTTTCTATTGTGAGAAGCCTGAATATACTACCAGATACAACTGTGTTTTTCTACAAGTGACTATTTGAATCGGATAGTCTTTCAGTGAGAAAATGGAACTGAATCGGGAGTCTGACACTGGGTATGGCAGAGTCTAATCTGAAATGGGTGAGGGTCTCCAGGAAATAGTGATGGAAACAAAATTGAAGTTGCCCAATATATCTCCACTGCCTAAGAGAGTCGGGTACGTGATAGAGGCTCAAGAAGAAACAAATTAATTACAGATGTTCCTCGATGTACAATGGGGTTGCATCCTAATAAAATTCATCATGGCTCAAAAACTCATAAACAGGTCGGGCGTGGTGGCTGTAATCCCAGCACTTTGGGAGGCTGAGGTGGGCAGATCACAAGGTCAGGAAATCAAGACCATCCTGGCCAACGTGGTGAAACCCCATCTCTACTAAAAATACAAAAATTAGCTAGGCGCGACGGCATGTGCCTGTAGTCCCAGCTACTCGGGAGGCTGAGGCAGAAGAATCGCTTGAATCTGGGAGTCGCAGGTTGCAGTGAGCTGAGATCACGCCAATGTACTCCAGCCTGGAGACAGAGCGAGACTCCATCTCAAAAAGCAAACAAACAAAAACAAAAAAACTCATAAACAAACCATAGTAATTCAGAGACTGTCTGTAATTAATTAAGATTTCAGGAGTACTGGAATATGTGAAATCTTTGCCTCAAGAGAGATACTAGGGGATTAAACTCATGGAATAAAACCATCCACAGTGGAAGAGCCACCAGGTGTCTTGTGGGCCCACCGTGAGTGCTTCTAGAACCCAGGGAGAATGCACAGTTTTCTAGTAGCAAAAGTTGTTGCTGTGACTCTTGATCTGTTTGATGTTCTTTTGAGTCATTTGATCCCTTCAAATGTGCTCCATCACCTCCCAGAAAAATTCCAGCCTCCAAACATGTGGTGCAAAGAAGAACCCTTGAGATTTAATATAGTGTGTGGCTTGTGATTAGAAGAAGACCCCATTGATAACATATGTATTCTGCGTGAGGTCCACTAAGGGCCATCCACCTTCCATATGCCAAAGATTTCTTTCCTGGGGAAAATAAACATTGCAATCCTAAATTGATCACACTCCTGGTTATCTCTTACGATTTTAGTTACATGGCATGGTGCTCTCAAAACAAACTTCATTTTCATCATATTGAATAAAAAATACCAGCCATGTTGATCTATGAGGAAGAAGGTAGGTTGCACAAAATCAAATGGCAATATATTGCTGCTGCTCTAAAAAAGAATTGCTGCTCTAGAGAATACTCCCTTCCTAAATGGCTATAGAGGCCCCACGCTCCAGAAAAGTCAGAAGAAAAATTACCTCCCAGCTTGTGCATTTATTTTTATGGCTGTACTTGATTGCTTCTCCCACTTCTGCCTACAACATACCCCAGTGCCCGTCAATTCCCAGACCTAATCCTAGACCAGTTTCCAAAGTCCCAACTGGGCCAGTTTGCTGAAATGACATGGTACGATCGGCTTTTGCCAGGCATCCAAGTCAAGAATTATAAAGTGAATGAGTCTATCTGTCTTTATAAGTGCATTGTGAACTTTATAGTTAAATATTAAACTTGCGTCATAAAAAATGGCTCATAAATGGCTAATAAAAACCTACTTTACAGCTTATAAAGTGCATCAGTACTTTACATGGGTTTGCTTAGAAAGATTTATGTGCAAGCTCTTTGTCTTCTTGTTAGAAATTATTCCCCACTCTCCATACCACCCCCCCCAAAAAAAAACATTAAAAATAACTCTTGAAAAATGACCCTTTGGTTGAACTCTGTGTGGTACCAAATTCGAGGGCTCCGAGAAATTCAGACCCAATGTGCTACTGCTCATTAATATAGAGAATGCCTGGGGTTCCCTAACTGGCACAATCACCAGATACACCCAGGGTGGGTGGCTCCTTGGGAGGTACATATAAATTGGCAGTAACCTTAAGACCAAGTAAAGCCAGGCACAGTGGCTCACACCTGTACTCCTAGCACTTTGGGAGGCCGAGGTGGGTGGATCACCTGAGGTCAAGAGTTCGAGACCAGCCTGGCCAATATGATGAAACCTCGTCTCTACTAGAAATACAAAAATTAGTCAGGCATGGTGTCGAGCGACTGTTATCCCAGCTACTTGGGAGGCTGAGGCAGGAGAATCACTTGAACCTGGGAGGTGGAGGTTGCAGTGAGCCAAGATTGTGCCATTGCACTCCAGCCTGGGCAACAGAGCAAAAACTCTGTCTCAAAAAAACAAACAAACAAAAAGACCAAGTAAGGTCTACACAACCCTTAGCACTTTAGCATGAAATCAGGTGTTAGCCCCAGTCCTGAGGCCACAAAGAGCTTTGTGAAAACAGCAGAGATGCCAACACGACAATCCCCAAGCCACAGAGAGTGAGTGAACCACCCCCAAAAGCACTCAGAGACTCCTTTATTGAGTTTCAAGAGATGGAACAGCTCCCTCTTCCTGCCTCTCTCTCTGTCTCCTTCCCTTAATGCATTCGTGATATATGTGACTGCAATTCACTCACCCCCTCCACCCTATTTCACTTTTTATTACCCATTGCACTGCTTTATCCAGGTTTATATACTTCATTATGTTCTGTGCTGTCACTTCCCTTATTTCATTTCTGATTTTTATTTTAAACTCGGCAGCTGGCAGCTGCATTGCCGCTGTCTGCCTCCTGCTTCTGCAAAGCCCCTCTGCGCTGCCAGAGACCAAGGTCTTCCATTATGTATTGACTGCAAAGTCTTTGAGACATTGCCAAGGAGGTGGAGTTCTGGGTATGGGATACCACACCCTGGACATGGGAATAGAAAACCTTTGTTCCTGCATTTGTCTTGCCACCAGGTAGCTGTGATGCTTTCGGATATTTAATTGGCTTTTGAGCAGGGTCAAATGTAAAAAGAAAAGTGATTGAATGAAATGATCTCCAAGATGCTAAACTATTCTCCGATGCTGCATCATCTACAAAATGTGGATAATAGCTTCTCTGCTTTCCACTCAAGATTGTTATCAGGACTAAATGAGATTAGGGCAGTCAAGGAGCTTTGAATATTATAATGCTTTTTCCAAACCTACGATATTATATTAATTATTAAAGAGTGATTTCAGCACTTTCCTTGTCAACATATTATTTTTTTTTATATCTCAAGATACTCCCTCTGCTTTTTTAAAGAAGGCAATCTTGTGTTTTCTCAAGGGAGGCATTTAATCATCCTTGCAACCATGAGCATTTATAAAGCCAGGTGCCAGAGAGAGATCAAAGAAATAGAGAAAACAAATTCTACCCTTGTTCAGCTTTCTAAGACTGGAGAACAAACCTATGGCCAAAGAAATAGCAAGAACCAGGGCAGGAGAATCGCTTTGGGGCCTCCTGGAAGGAGGCAACATTTAAGCTAGACTTTGGAAGGATAAATGGTTCTTCTAATTCTATTTTTATTTTATTTTATTTTATTTATTTATTTATTTTTTTTTTTTGAGACAGAGTTTCACTCTGTTGCCCAGGCTGAAGTGCAGCGGCACGATCTCGGCTCACTGCAACCTCCACCTCCTAGGTTCAAGTGATTCTCCTGCCTCAGCCTCCCGAATAGCTGGGATTACAGATGCCTGCCACCACGCCTGGCTAATTTTTGTGTTTTTAGTAGAGTTGGGGCTTCACCATGTTGGCCAGGCTGGTCTTCAACTCCTGAACTCAGATGATCCACCCATCTTGTCCTCCCAAAATGCTAGGATTACATTCCAATTCTAAAATAGCATCAAATGAGTTTTAATTTTAAAGATTTAGAAAGTGAAGAGTTCTTCTCTAATGGGCACTTCAGCTTTGCCAAATGTTGGTGTCTGGAACCATTTGGGCTCACTAGGGAACATTAAGATTTCAGGACCCTGAACATCTTTCTTTTAAGGTATTGAAGGAAAGTCAAGCCTTATCATCAGGTGTACTAAATACAAAATTAGGGTGCTGCATGAGTCACATTTTTTGTTCTTTTTGATTTGAAGAACTTCTCCTTTCCTGCAACAAAAAACTGCATCTCAAATAGCCCCTTGATCATTGTCAAAGGGAGAAGACCCTGGTCCAAGGTGAGGCAGTCAGTGAGACTCCATCTCAAAAAAAAAAAAAAGAAAAGAAAAAAGAAAAAAGGAAAAAAGGAGGCTTTGGTGTCTTAGATTCCCAGTATCCAGGTATGTCTAGCTACTCTCAGTCATTCTAGATTATGGACGCAAATAACTTCTCCATTTTACTTCAGCCAGGTGCACTGGGTTTCTCTCACTTGTGATTGAAAATATCCCCACTAATGTAGATAGCCTCGTAGTTCTTGAAGACCAGGTCTCAGTCTACTCTTCCCAACTAATTTCTGACAATTCTTCTACCTGCCAACTGAAGTCTCATTATGGAGAATCACTTGTAGTTACCCCAACTCCCCCATGTCTTTCCATAACTCTACATGTTTGCAAATTCTTTTTCCTCTATCTAGGATATGCTTCCCTGATTTGTCTATCTGGAAACCTTCAACTCTTTCCCAACAGCTCTACTGAAACTCTAAGGCCAACCTGAAGCCTCTCACTATTACAAAATTGCTTTGATATCCAATGAACACTCTCAACATGATTAGTATTGGCTTAGACTCAAACGGAGGATGCAAAAACTTGTGGACTAAGAGACATTGCCACTGTTATCAAGGAGTTAAGCATCTAGTTGAGGAGTAAGATTAATTCCATGAAACAATATGAGAGAATGTACAATCAAGCCCCAATTTGGACAGTACAGATTTTAAATGCCAAAGGAGTTGAGAAAAAAGGAAAAATTCATCCCAGCTGATTCTGCAAAAACTCCAACTCATGGCTCACATGTATATAGCAGCTGAAAATAGTACACTCCCACCAATTGTACTGCCACCAGCAAATTATTGGAATTTTCTCCCCAACAAGGATGAGAGAGAAAAGAATTAGGGAGGGAGAGAAAAGGGCTGGATTATAAATATTCTCACCTGGGAGGGAAAACAGTCGAAATGCAAATGAGGTTGTCAAAATTTGCTTCACCTCTTTCACTAGGCAATTTCACTTCTTGGTGTTTATCCTAGGGAAATATTCTGAATGCATAAAGAGTCAGAGTTGTTAATAATAGAGAAAAATTGCAAACATCCGTCACTAAAAAGCTAGTTGAACACACTTTGTTATATCTATACCATGGAATCCTACTGCAATCAGTAAAAGAGAATGATGTGTCTCATGTTTTTGTTTGTTTGTTTGTTTTGAGACAGAGTCTCTCTCTGTCACCCAGGCTGGGGTGCAGTGGTGTAATCTCGGCTCACTGCAACCTCCGCCTCCCGAGTTCAAGTGATTCTCCAACCTCAGCCTCCCGAGTAGCTGGGATTATGGGTGCACACTATCACACCCAGCTAATTTTTGTATTTTTAGTAGAGATGGGGTTTCACCATGTTGATCAGATGGTCTCAATCTCTTGACCTCATGATCCACCCGACTTGGCCTCCCAAAGTGCTGGGATTACAGGCGTGAGCCACCGCACCCGGCCGAGAATGTTGTGTTTATGTACTGTCATGGAAAGACCATCAATATCTATGATTAAAGAGAAAAAATAGCAAATCCCCATAATGCAATTGAGTTCATATAAAACACAGAAGCAGAAAATACTATATCTCTGTACAACTCATTCATTAATTTATTCATTCGTTTAACGAATATCTGTAGAACTCCAATAACGTGCCTGACAATATTCTGAGTGTTGGAGAATCCACAGTGAACCAAATATCAAAAGTCCTTGTCCTCCCAGTTTTGATAAAAGTAGAAAGAGACCGACATGAAGCCAATAAGCAAGTAAAATATGCAATTTATCAAATGGTGGTAAGCGCTACAGAGAAACATAAGTCAAGGTAAGGGGGAAAAGGAGTGACATTGCAATTTTGATTACCATGGTAAGAGAAAGCAGTAACCCAAAGGAAAGGTGATCATCATGCCATCATGCTTTCTTTCCTTTCTTTTTTTTGACACAGAGCCTGGTTCTGTTGCCCAGGCTGGAGTACAATGGCCCAATCTCGGCTCACTGCAATCTCCGCCTCCCGGGTTCAAACAATTCTCCTGCCTCAGTCTCCCGAGTAGCTGGGACTAGAGGTGCACGCTGCCACATCAGGCTAATTTTTTTTTGTATTTTAGTAGAGATGGGGTTTCACCGTGTTGCCCAGGCTGGTCTCGAACTCCTGAGCTCAGGCAATCTGCCCACCTCGGCCTCCCAAAGTGCTAGGATTACAGGTGTGAGCCACCGTGCTCGGCCAATCATCATGTTGATAGATGGAGAAAGACCATTGCAGGCAAAGGCGCTAGCCATTGCAAAGAGCACAGAGCCAAGAATGGGGCAGATTAAGTAAAGAGAGACATTGACGAAACTAGACAGCGGCGTGGGGCCCACATCTCGCAGATCTTCAGCAGCCGTTCTGAAGTCTTCAGCTTTGACCTTGATTGAGACAAGAAGCCATTGCTGTGTTGGACAGAGATATGATATGATGTAAGCTCTGTTTCACCAGGGTCACTCTGTCTGCTGTGCTAAGAACAGATTATTGGGGGGAAGAGGTAAAAACAGGAGGACAACTTAGAAGGCTATTAAGGTGATCCAGAAAGAAATGCTGGTAAGTGGAAGAAGATGAATCAGGATGAAGCAGGGAAACTGGTGACAAGTGGTTGAATTCTGGCTGCATTTAGAAAGTAAAGCCAACAGGGCTGGGTGCGGTGGCTTACGCCTGTAATTCCAGCACTTTGGGAGGCCGAGGTGGGTGGATCATCTGAGATCAGGAGTTCAAGACCAGCCTGGCCAACATGGTGAAACTCCGTGTCCAGAAAAATACAAAAATTAGCCGGGCATGATGGCAGGTGCCTATAATCCCAGCTACTCAGGAGGCTGGGGCGGGAGAATCGCTTGAACCTGGGAGGTGGAGGTTGCAGTGAGCTGAGATTGCGCCATTGTGCAAAAAAAAAAAAAAAAAAAAAGAAAGTAGAGCCAACAGGATTTAGCAATGGGGTGGGCGTGGAGTGTTAAAAAAAAGAGAGAGATAATTTTATTTCTGTTTAAAGCAACTGAAAGAATAATGCGAATGTTAACTGACATGGGGGAAACTACGGGATAAATATGTTTAGGGGAAGATGTGTATACACAGTGAGGACATAAGTGTGTGTATAATTTACATGTGTTTTTCCTATAACCACCCATCTCCTTTCTTCTTATTCTAAACTGGTAGCTGAGCTCTGTAATTCCTAGACCCAGGGATTTGCATAGGGCAGAAATAGAAGCAGCCTGAAGACCAGGGATCTTTCTTGTTCTGGAAAGGACTTATTGGACATCATGAAGGAAATGGTGCTGAGTCTTTAAACAGAAGAACAGGAAAAGTCTCTTGAGGATGAAGAAATTCAGAAAGGACACTTGCCCCAGACTGAGTAGGAAGAGAGCAGTCTGCAGTTTTTGGATTTTGACCCAAGTTTCATTCCCCAACAGTTAGGAAAGCAGCAGGAACTTGGAGAGGCAGCCGAGCAGCATGTCCTTAGACTCTTAGTCCATAGCATGTGCAGATTTTTTTGCCCTGTGCAAAGCAGTGCACAGCAGAGAAAGCCATAATTTAGGAAGACCAAGAAAATGGGGAAAAGCGACAGCAACCTGTGGGAACCTATGACCAAAACTCTGAGAGCACCTTCCATTGCCTTAACACTACATAAGACCTTTATCACTTGGCCCAAAACAATGGTGGAACCCCCAAACTTATGCAATTAGATCTTCTGCCTGCTTGACAGAACTTTGGAGCTTTGGAATCAATATCACACTGAGTTATAGAAAATGAAACATGACATTTCTTGCACATCTGAGATTGTGTGGTTAGATGTATGTCCATCGGAAGAGAAAATGCATATCAAAGGGTATAGAAGAACACAGTCCACACTGACAAGAGCGCCCCTATCTGGACTGGAGGGTGGGCTCAGATGTGCCATGTAAAGAGGTCCTTTTATTCTTTACTCCGTGAATTTGATGCTGTTTGACTATTTCCCCCACAACCATATGTCTGTGGCATGCTTGTAGAATTAGAATTATTTTTTATCTTCATCTCATTTTGAAGCCAAGCTGTTGGGAAATGCTGGCAAACACCTCCTTTTTCTCTTGCAGTAATCATTTTGTCATTACATTTTTCTATAGAGATAGATTTTATCCCATGCAATAATAAAATATTTTTTTTGAAAAAGGTAATATAAATTCATTATTTAAATTAATTAACCTTTATTTTATTGTTATTATCATTATTATTATTATAGAAATAGAGTCTTGCTCTGTTGCCCAGGCTAGAGTGCAGTGGCTCAATCACAGCTCACTGTAGCCTCAAACGCCTGGGCTCAAGCAATCCTCCTGGCTCAGCCTCCCAAGTAGCTGGGACTACAGGCATGTACCACCACACCTGGCTAATTTTCTATTTATTTATTTATTTATTTATTTATTTATTGTTTTTGAGACGGAGCCTTGCTCTGTCTCCCAGGCTGGAGTGCAGTGGCACGATCTTAGCTCACTGCAAGCTCTGCCTCCTGGGTTCACGCCATTCTCCTGCCTCAGCCTCACAAGTAGCTGGGACCACAGGCACCCGCCACCATGCCTGGCTAATTTTTTGCATTTTTTTAGTAGAGACGGGGTTTCACCATGTTAGCTAGGCTGGTCTCGATCTCCTGACCTCGTGATACACCCGCCTTGGCCTCCCAAAGTGCTGGGATTACAGGCATAAGCCACCGTGCCTGGCCTATTCTATTTATTTTTTGTAGAAAAAGTGTCTTACTGTGTTGCCTAGGCTGTTCTTTAACTCCTGGTCACAAGGAATCCTCTCACATCGGCCTCCAAAAAAGCTAGGATTATGGGTATGAGCCATTGTGCCTGGCCCGAACCTATATTTTAAATAAAATACATAAAATATTTTAAAATAATAAGAAATGTATCTAAAGCCACTTTTCAAGTGAACCAGCATGCATATACACATCTCCAACAAATTTGATTTGGAAAATCCACCTGCTTTGTACAGCAGATTATATTTAAGTACACGATGCTTTCAGACGTAGAGATTTATCTCTACATTAGCTCTCTAGTAAAATCATCTTGTTCCAAAGACTAAGAATCTTGAATAGGAGAGAAAGATGTATTGTTTGACTGTGGATTATTGCTGCAGGAGTGAGATCAATGGTATACAAGTCTCTTGAAGGAAAGAGGGACTCTCTCTCTCTCTCTCTGCCTTGTTAAGTAAAGGCATGAGGCCTGTGATTTCCTTGAGCCATTAGGAGTGATCAATAAACTCAGCCTCGCAGATTCCTGATAGATAACTCTGTAGTCCTCAACATGCTCCAAGGACCCTAGGGAATCTTCTCAAACTCAAAGACCCCCAAGTGCAACACGAATGTGGAATAGGAAAGTCTGCCAGGCCACCAAGACTCCTAGAGCCCCCATCAGCATCAATAAGTCAAACTCATGGCCAACCTCCCTTTTTTAATTGAGAAAATTATGACAGGGAAAGAGATCTGATTTAACCTACTCCATCTTGCTTCTAACCTCCAAGCTGTCCTTGTTCATTCCTGGGAGTACGCTGAACTAACTTTTGGAGGAATTTAGTTTACAGTTTAACTTTAAAGCAAAGATGATAACAACCCTTTCCCGAGATGGACCCCCTTCTTGCCTGGGGACTAGTCTGCCTTTGTAGGACTAACAAAGTAGCCATAAGATTAGAAATTAAGATTTAAGGCTGGGCGCTGTGGCTCATGCCTGTAATCCCAGCACTTTGGGAGGCCAAGGCAGACGGATCATCCGAGGTCAGGGGTTCGAGACTAGCCTGGCCAACATAGTGAAAACCCGTCTCTACTAAAAAATAAAAAATAAAAAAACTAGCCAGTCGTGGTGGTGGGCGCCTGTAGCCCCAGCTACTCGGGAGGCTGAGGTGCAGAATCACTTGAACCCATGAGGCAGAGGTTGCAGTGAGCCGAGATCACGCCACTGCACTCTAGCCTGGGTGACAGAGCGAGACTCTCCCTCAAAAAAAAAAAGAAAGAAAGAAAGAAAGAAAGAAAGAAAGAAAGAAAGAAAGAAAGAAAAGAAAAGAAATTATGATTTAAAAATCATGCAGGTGGAGGCCTGAACCTCCTTGGATTGCTCCCAGGGATATCATCACTGTTGTAAAACCTACAATCCGTGCTTGAGATACTTTGCAGACCCTGCAGACACCACCCAGACCAGTAATCTGGCTCAACCAGTTCTGCAATCCCACCCAGGAGCAGAAGATAGCAAGGAAAATCCACTTTGACCCCCTATGATTTCATTTCTGACCCGACCAATCAGCACTCCTCACTTCCCGACCCTCTACCCATCTAATTATCCTTAAAAAGTCCATTCCCCAATTTGGGAGACTGATTTGAGTAACAATAAAACTCTCGTCTCTGGTACAGCCAGCTCTGTGTGAAATAACTCTTTCTCTATTGCAATTCCCCTGTCTTGGTCAATCAGCTCTGCATTAAAAACAAATATTATCATGGGCTGGACACAGTGGCTCAAGCCTGTAATCCCAGCACTTTGGGAGGCTGAGGTGGGTGGAGACCAGCCTGGTTGACAGGGTGAAACCCTGTCTCTACTAAAAATACAAAAAACTAGCCAGACGTGGTGGTGCACACCTGTAATCCCAGCTACTCGGGAAGCTGAGGCAGGAGAATTGCTTGAACCCGGGAGGCGGAGGTTGCAGTGAGCAGAGATCGTGTCACTGCATTCCAGCCTGAGCGATAAGGGTAAAACTCCATCTCAAAAAAATAAAAAATTAAAAAATGAATTAATTAAAAATTAAAAACAAACATTATCAGAAGTTAAACCTGGTAAGGGTTAAAACTTTGACAGAGACAGTCAATGTAAAACAATAAAAATAAAAAATCTAAAATAGGCAGGAGATCTGGCCTTGGGTCCGGAAACCATCACTGACCGGCTGGTGTTACTGGGTCTCTAGGGCTTGTTACTTCCATTGGTTAAAATGAGCTTAATTGGAGGAAGTAATTTCTGAGGGCCTAATTAAGCTCTACGATTTTAGAATATCTATTATCTACGGAAGCCCAGAAAATTTGCACTGTGGCTTATTCTTTTGTTCATTTATTCGTTCATTTATTTGGTTGGTTAGATTCAAAGGCCTCTGGGTCTACCTTCCTGGGAAATTTCTAGGATCAACTGCTAATAGCAAATAAAGACATCCACCAACTGAAAAATCAGAGAATGTTTTATGTATAATGTATCCTAGGAAGGCTCTGTAGAACCAAAACTGTGGTGCCCTAAGAGGCTGGAAGTCCCATTTCTCTCCTAACTGCTTTATGGAACCAGGCCCACCTGCTATCAGGGCCAGGACTCAGTAAAGAAACTTGGACACCATAGCACAGTGTTAGCCCAGCATCTGCATTCAGACAGTAACACTCTTTCCTTGCTCATTGAAGCCCTTTCTCTCTCTCTCTCATTCTCTCTCTCTCTCTATTTTATATTTTAAATTTTAGATTCAGGGATACATGTGCATGTTTGTTACATGGGTCTATTGTCTAATGGTGAAGTTTGGGCTTCCAGTGAACCCATCAGCCAAATATTGAACATTGTTCCCAGTAGGTAATTTTTGATCGTTACCTCCCTCCCACCCTCTCTCCCTTTTGGAGTCCCTTGTCTCCATTATCTCCATTTTTATGTCCGTTTTACTCATTGTTTGGCTCCCACTAATAAGTGAAAACGTGTGGTATTTGATTTTCTGCTTCTGAGTTTGTTCACCTAGGATAATGGCCTCCAGCTCCATCCATGTTGCTGCAAAAGAACATAACTTCATTCTTTTTTATGGCTGCATACTGTTCCATGGTGGATATGTACCACGTTTTCTTTATCCAATCAACCTTTGATGCACACCTAGGTTGGTTCTGTGACTTTGCTATTGTGAATAGTGCTGCGAAAAAACATACGATTGCAGGTGTCTCTTTCATATGGTGATTTCTTTTCTTTTCTTTTGGGTAGATACCCAGTAATGGGATTGCTGGATCCCACTGGATTGAGATAGCTACATACTGTTTTCCATAGAGATTAAACTGATTTACATTCCCACTAACAAAATAGAAGTGTTCCCTTTTCTCCACATCCACATCAACATCTGTTGCTTTTTGACTTTTTAAAGATAGCCATTCTGACTTGCGTGTCTTTTGAACTTTTGCGTGTCGGTAATCCCTCCCTAAGCCCTCACTTGTCACTGACCCCAAGTACACGTTAGGCTATGTTTCTGACCTGCAAAACTGTGTCTTGCACACAATTTCCACTTGTCCTCTTGGCTTCATCTGCTTCTGGTCACTCCAAAGAGCCACCTACCCACTCAAACCTGAGCTCCCAGGATACCACTTGACTGGAGACTCAGTGGACCTGACCTGGCCCTTACGTTGGTTCCATGACTTTGCTATTGTGAATAGTGCTATTATATGAGAGGTATGGAGTTGTTGGACATCAGGAGGGCTTGATGCTTTACCGTGCTTTAGTTTCTTCACTCTGCTTTAGTTTGAACTAAAGATTGAACTAAGAACTGAAGACTGTAGGCCGAGGTGCACAGATCACCCGAGGTCAGGAGTTCAAGACCAGCCTGGCCAACATGGTGAAACTCTGTCTCTATTAAAAATACAAAAATTAGCCAGATGTGGTGGCAGGCGCCTGTAATCCCAACTACACGTGAGGCTGAGGCAGGAGAATCATTTGAACCCTAGAGGCAGAGGTTGAAGTGAGCCAAGATGGTGCCACTGCACTCCAGCCTGGGTGACAGAGCAAGACTCTGTCTCAAAAAAAAAAAAAAAATTTTGAAGATCATAATACATCATGTTCATTTGTCTCAGGATCAAATCTCTAAAATTCACAACTCAGGACTATAAGCCAGTGATTGAAAGTGACAAAGAACAGGAAAGGAGGTGGGAAGGGGAAGGAAGAAGGGGAGGACTTGACAAATCCTAAGAATTAGCAAACATCCAGAAACTTAATCTGTTACCATTGGTACCAAAAGAGGCAGCTGAGATCCATTAAATTTACTGAAACTTGAGATCAGTCATTTTGTAGAAAATACTTTAGATAAAATTAATTCAATCTGCAATTCTGAGTTTTAAACAGTAATAATGATTCCCTTGGCTAAAACGTTGGGCTTTAGTAGGGGATAGTAACTTTCTTATTACTAAGCACAGTGTCCTCCCAAGAGTTCTGACTTAAACCCTGTAGTCGAGCCAAGACATCTGGCAATTTCAAAAATTGAACTTGATCTTTAACAAATATAGATACAAATGTGAAGGACTTAAAAACCGCTCTTTAGAATGAGCTTTAATGGGCTGCGTTGCCTTTTAGAAACATTTTCTAATGAGCCTTCGGACACGAAATGATTCCAATTTGTGATGCATTGGAAGAAAAACCAAGAGGAGAAATTGCATTTGCTTTTCCCCACTGGGTTGTTAAGGGCTCCAGATTGACAAGCTTCATAGGCTCAATTGTGGGCAAGGCTCTCCAAGTTCAACTCCCTCTCTCGCAGGAGCTGGCACTGGGAAGGACTGAGTACAATGGAGCCCTTCAGATCTGATACAGACCAGCGATCCACAGACGGCCGGGTAGCAAATGGAGATGGCAGCCAGTCAGTGCCGGGCACCGTGCTCATCACTGGCTGGGTGCAAAGAGAGAGGGAGAGAATGCAGAGATGAAAAAGACACAGGACAGGCTGGGCGTGGTGGCTTATGCCTGTAATCCCAGCACTTTGGGAGGCTGAGGCGGGCAGATCATGAGGTCAGGAGATCAAGACTATCCTGGCTAACATGGTAAAACCCCATCTCTACTAAAAATATGGAAAATTAGCCGGGTGTGGTGGCACATGCCTATAGTCCCAGCTAGTCTATTTAGGAGGCTGAGGCACAAGAATCGGTTGAACCCAGGAGGCGGAGGTTGCAGTGAGCTGAGATCACGCCACTGTACTTCAGCCTGGGCGACAGGGTAAGACTCCGTCTCAAAAAAAAAAAAAAACCATGAAAAAAAAAACCAAAAAAAAAAAAAGAAAAAGAAAAAGACACAGGATATCCAGCCTAGGCACCATAGCAGGACTCCATCTCTGCAAAAAAAAAAAAAAAAAAAAAAAACTAACAGCGCATGGTGGTGCATGCCTGTGGTCTCAGCTGCTCTGGAGCTGAGGCAGGAAGATCACTTGAGCACAGGAGTTCAAGGCTGCAGTGAGCTATAATCGCACCACTGCACTCCAGACTGGATGACAGAGCTGGACTCTGTTTCTAGAAAAAAAAAAAGAAAGAAAGAAAAGAAAAAACACAGAATTCATTCATAAATAGGGTCCTATCACACACGCTCAGATTTATGTACGTATTATGGGTATATAAATGGGCCAGAACTGGATAGTGCACCCTACTTTCCAAAAGTCAGCCTTCCATTTACTCTACATTTCATGGAGGATTGGGCTTCCTCCAAGTAGAGAAGGAGGCCTCTGAACTTGCAAACTTCACTTCCCTTCCTAACCTCCCTCAGATGTCTCTGACTATGAATATGCACCCACGCATTTCCTGAGTTTCTCAGGGAGTCTCAGACACTGACGTGACAGCCTGTGCATCGGATTCCTATTTAGCAAATACACCTAGTTGGCGCCAATGTCTTAACCTTTACCTCCTTCCAGATCTTGGTGCAAACTTACACTGGGAAGAGTAGACTCTAAGCTTGCTATATGAGCTTTTCCATGAGTCACCAAAATTTAGAGAGACCCAATATATAATAAGGTGATTTTAAAATTCCCAGCAGGTCTGGTGCAGTGGCTCATGTCCGTAATCCCAGCACTTTTGGGAGGCTGAGGCACTTGAGGTCAAAACTTTCAGACCATTCTGGGCAACATAGCAAGACCCCATCTCTACAAAAAATAAAAAATTAGCCAGGTATGGTGGCATGCATCTGTAGTCCCAGCTACTCAAGAGGCTGAGACAGTAGGATCACTTGAGCCCAGGAGGTAGAGGCTGCCATGAGCTATGATTGCACCTCTGCCCTCCAGCCTGGGTGACAGAGTAAGACCCTGTGTGTGTGTGTGTGTGTGTGTGTGTGTGTGTGTGTATATATAAATATATAAAAATCAGTGATCACATTCTGGGCAAAGTTCCAGTCTCTTTCTCTTTTGCTCTCCAGTTATTTCAAGAACTGTAGTTAGGAGCCCATCACTGGCCACAGGCCAGGCACTTAAGTGACTACTTGAGATGGAGATAGTCAAAGAATAAAGATCAAGGAAAGGGCCAGGCGCAGTGGCTCACGCCTGTAATCCCAGCACTTTGGGAGGCCGAGGTGGGGGGATCATGAGGTCAGGAGATCGAGACTATCCTGGCCAACATAATGAAACCCCATCTCTACTAAAAATACAAAAATTAGCCAGTCATGGTGGCGGTCACCTGTAGTCCCAGCTACTCAGGAGGCAGGGGCAGGAGAATCACTTGAACCCAGGAGGTGGAGGTTGCAGTGAGCCAAGATCACGCCACTGCACTCCAGCCTGGGTGACACAGTGAGACTCTGTCTCAAAAAAAAAAAAAAAAGATCAAGGAAAGAGAATTCCCAGGCCTTTGGAATCTTTGTGGGTTCCAGGGGAGCACCCCCACTCTGTATGGCACAACAGGCTTGAGGGCATCCATGGGATTCCATTATGCAAATTAGGAAAATTAGCCCCCAGGGCAGATCGAGCTTCAAGGGGACATAGCTTGGGAATCCTCTGGTTCTTTGGACCTTGCTATGATGGACACTGCCCTGGGGCAAGTGCATGCCTTGGTAAGCGGAACCAGCACTGGCTTTCAGCCCTGCTCACTCCTTAGCCAAAAGCCCTATTCAGGCCACAGCCTGTCAAACTGCAGGCAATGGCCCTGTGCCAGGAAATGGTTTCCCTTCTCAGCTTCTCCCTGGGCGTTTATCTGCTTCTGCTAAGTCCATTGGTAAGATGCCTCCAGTTTTCAAAATGACCTGGGCCTCTATTCATCAGCACCCTATTACCCCCCGAGCATGCCTACTTGGACTTCCACAGAAACCATCCTCACTCTTGAGCAATACCATCATGCTGCCTTCCTTCCAGTACCTCTGAGAGGCTAATATTCAGCATTCTGGAAAGATTGTTAATAATCGCCCACAACAGACATAGCAGCATGGTTAAGAATCTTGCTCAGCTGGGTACGATGGCTCATGCCTGTAATCCCAGCACTTTGGGAGGTTGAGATGGGAGGATCACTTGAGCCCAGGAGTTTAAGATCAGACTGAGCAACATGACGAGACCTCATTTCTACAAAAAATAAAACAATTAGCTGGATATGGTGGTGTATGCACCTGTGGTCTCAGCTCCTCAAGAGGCTGAGGTGGGAGGATCACTTGAGCCTAGGAGACTGAGGCTACAGTGAGCTGTAATTGAGCCACTGCACTCCAGCCTGGATGACAGAGCAAGACCCTGTCTCAAAAAGAAGGAAGGAGGGAAGGAAGGAAGGAAGGAAGGAAGGAAGGAAGGAAGGAAGGAAGGAAGGAAGGAAGGAAGGAAGGAAGGACGGCAGGAAGGGAGGGAGGGAGGAAGGGAGGGAAGGAGAGAGAGAAACAAGAAGGAAGGAGAAAGAAAGAAAAAGAAAGAAGGAAAGAAAGAAAGAAAGAAAGAACAGAAAGAAAGAAAGGAAGAGAAAGGAAGGAAGGAAAGGAGGCAGGGAGGGAGGGAGGAAAGAAGGTAAAGAAAGAAAGAAAGAAAAAAGAATCTTGTGCTGCAATCTGCAACCAGGCTGTCTAAATTACAACTCATGCTCCACCCCTTTCTTAGTTATATAAGCTTGAGCAAGTTTCTTAAGCTCTTTGTGTCTCTATTACATCCCCTGTGAAAAGAGGATTTTAATGTTAATATCACAGGGTTGTTGGGAGGATTAACTGAGTCAGCAAATGGAAGCAGTACCTGCTCCAGGCAATATTTAGTTAGCACTTGCTATGTGCTAAATACTAGCTGTTATTACTATTTGAGTTTCTCCAATGAAAGATGTTCTATAATGAGATATTTACAGTCCAAGATGCCCTACTGTGTGCCTTCAATATGTCTGTGTGATCAAATATTGTTCAAAATGAGGTTTTAAAAAGCCACAATTTTTTTTTTTTTTTGTAACAGGGTCTTGCTCTGTCGCCCAGGCTGGGTGTGATCTCAACTCACCGTAACCTCCGCTTCCCAGGTTGAAGTGATTCTCTCACCTCAGCCTACCAGGAAGCTGGGACTACAGGCTCCCACCACCATGCACGGCTAATGTTTGTGTTTTTAGTAGAGAAGGGGGTTTCACCATGTTGGCCAGGCTGGTCTTGAACTCCTGGCCTCAAGTGATCCACCTGCCTCAGCCTCCAGAAGTGCTGGGATTACAGGTGTGAATCACTGCGCCCGGCCCACGAAATACATTTTAAGTGAAAGGTACAGGGCAGTTCTTTTGCCTTAGTGCTGGGAGTAAACTCATGCATAAACAGGGTCCTATCACACATGCATATATTTACGTATGTATTATGGGTACATAAATGGGACTATACTTCATGTGCTGTGAAAGTTCCTTTAAAACTCTTTAAGCCTCATCCACCTTATTTGTAAAATGAACAAATAATTATACAAGATGATACATCTAACATGTCTACCAGTTCTCTCCCTCTTGTTTCTAGTTTTCAGCACAAACTCCTACTCTCCCTTGACCCTTACCATTCTGCTGTTCTTCTCGCTCTCCTATGTCTTCCCAAAATGTTAGGGCAAAAATTGAAGAAAATTAAAAAAAAAAAAAAACTGTCCATGATTCTCCTCCTAGGGATGGCAACTAAAAATACCGTGCTTTGTATTGTCTTGCTTGAGCAAGGTAGGGCTGGTCCCCTCTGAATCTTGGTTTAGTATCCTACGGAATGGAGATAGAGAGGAATCTGCACACCAGCCTGGAAGGAGTTTCAGGAGTTTGTGTGGTTGTTTTGTTTTGTTTTGTTTTGTTTTGTTTTGTTTTGTTTTGTTTGAGACAGAGTTTCACTCTTGTCACCCAGGCTGGAGTGCAATGGTGCGATCTCGGCTCACTGCAAACTCCACCTCCCAGGTTCAAGTGATTCTCGTGCCTCAGCCTCTGTAGTAGCTGGGAGTGCAGGTGCCCACCACCACACCAGGCTAATTTTTGTATTTTTAGTAGAAATGGGGTTTCTCCATGTTGGCCAGGCTGGTCTCGAACTCCCGACCTCAGGTGATCCTCCTGCCTTGGCGTCTCAAAGTGCTGGGATTACAGGAGTGAGCTACCACACATGGTCCTCTCTTTTTGTTTGTTTGGTTGGTTGGGTTTTTTTTTTTTTTTGGTTTTTGTTTTGTTTTGTTTTTTTGAGACGAAGTCTTGTTCTGTCTCCTAGGCTGGAATGCAGTGGCGTGATCTCAGCTCACTGCAACCTCCACCTCTGGGGTTCAAGCAATTCTCCTGCCTCAGCCTCCCTAGTAGCTGGGAATACAAGCACGTGCCACCACGCCCAGTGAATTTTTGCATTTTTAGTAAAGATGGGTTTTCACCATATTTGCCAGCCTGGTCTGAAACTCCTGACCTCACATGATCCACCTGCCTCAGCCTCCCAAAGTGCTGGGATTACAGGCATGAGCCACCGTGTCCAGCCCCGTGTTTTGTTTTTTTAAGACAGAGTCTCACTCTCTCACCCAGGCTGGAGTGCAGCAGCGTGATCTCAGCTCACCGTTACCTCCATCCCCTGGTTTCAAGCAATTATTGTGCCTCAGCCTCCCGAGTAGCTGGGATTACAGGTGTGCACCACCACACCCAGCTAAGTTTTGTATTTTTAGTATAGACTGGGTTTCATCATGTTGACCACGCTGGTCTTGAACTCCTCACCTCAAGTGATCCACCTGCCTTGGCCTCCCAAAGTGCTGGGATTAAGTGAGCCACTACACCCAGCCAGGGTTTCAGGAGTTTTAAATGAGATTATGCAGATCTGAGTGCCTGGTATTGCATGTGATAAACGTTTGTTCTTTCTGAGCCATGGTGCTGCTTAGAAGCGTGATCCAAATAAGTTATATTTTATTCCACAACTCAGCAAACCTCAGCCTGTGCATAAACCTTTCCTGTTCAGTGTGATTTTTCTGCCTGACTTCCCTCTTCTGTCCTTTCTGTACCACCCTGTGTTTTGCTGATGGCCAATCAATGGCCCATTTTTCTTAAACAGCCTACACTTGGTATTTTACTACCGACCATGAGGGCCCCCGCCTTTTAATTACTCCTGCTGAGCCCAGCACTATATATAACACTAATGTTTCTGGGACTGCCAGCAATTAAAACCAAAAATAAATAACACATTACAAGCTGCAAACCAAGCTAGGCTCGGGTAACGCTATGGATGGATAGGAGGCTTTTTGTTTTTAATTGCTCGAGTTTCTCCAGGCCCCACTAAATGTAAACACCTGACAAGCAGCTGTTTGCCAGGGGATGGAGCAGAGGAAGGCTTGACTGAAATCTCTTCTCTGATGCTCTGTCTCTTGTTCTGGGCCCCCAGGGAGCTGACTGACATTCCCCTGCCTCAGTGTTACTCTCTGCAAAAGGGAGATGTTCGAGAACAAAGCCGACGGTAGACACGCATGTTTATGAACATGTTGCTCTTGGTCATGTATCGAATTGGAACAAGCTTTATTGATTTTTGCTGTTGTTTTTGTTTTTCTAGCTTGAAAAAAAAAAAGACATGGAAAGAGCAGTTTCGATGAATACTTATCTTATTTCATTTAGTGAACGTGTGAGGTTAATACTGGAGGTTGTCCACAACCAGGGACTACCATTATAACATCCAATTGTTAAAGCCCAACTTGGAAAATTAACTTTATTTATTTTTTTCTGAAGGAAGTACTTGGGTAGTACCCATGTTACAGTGTTGGCTGAGCTTAGGACAGCTCCAAGTCATGGGATGCATAAATACAGGTGGGCCAGGAAGGACCTTGTGTCTCATCCATTCCCTTGCCCACTCCATAGCCCCCTTGAAGGAGCTCTGATTTTTCTTTTTAATCTAATAGACATAAGATTAAAGGATCAAATGACATTGCAAATGCATCTGATACATTTCTGCGAAATTGTTCATAGAAAGATAAGGCACCAATAAAACTCAGTTTGAAAAGGTCAAGAATGGGCTGGGCATGGTGGCTCACGCCTGTAATCCCAGCACACTGGGAGGCCGAGGTGGGCAGATCACTTGAGGTCAGGAGTTTGAGACCAGCCTGGTCAACATGGTGACACTTCGTTTCTATTAAAAATACAAAAATTGGCCAGGAGCGGTGGCGAGCACCTGTAATCCCAGCTACTCAGAAGGTTGAGGCAGGAGAACCTCTTGAACCCGGGAGGTGGAGGTTGCAGGGTTGCAGTGGGCCGAGGTTGTGCCACTGCACTCCGGCATGAGCAACAGAGTGAGACTTCGTCTCAAAAAATAAATAAATAAATAAATAAATGAAAAGATCAAGAATGGCTCTCCTTTGTGGAGCTCCTGGGTGCCTCCTTAGAAGTCCTTCTCAGCACCAAGAGACATGTGGCCTCCAAGGCAACCTCCCCTCCACCCCAACTCTGAGCAGCCACCTGCTAATGACTGAGTGTGTAAACGGGTATGCACTGCCACCCATTGAAGCAGCTCTCAGCACCTGCCTAGCCGGCAGATGGCTGCGGTGTGGTTGAGTCTCCTCGCAACTCCCAGTCTTACTGCCTAGACTGCCAAGAAATGCAAGATGGAAAATTCGAACACACCAGGGCAAATCCACATGCACTTTCCTTAGCACTTTCCTTTACCCATGGGTGTTAGCGGCTTTGCTGCAGGCAAAAGCAACTCTCTTGAAAGCAACAAATAATGAGCCTTGACAGCAGCATGGAGCGAGTGCTGACTCATGAATGTCATCATTGTTCTCTCCTGCTATGGGCATTAGTCCATATTCAGCCCTAAGCCAGAATGTCTGCATAGAGAACAAAGCTGATTATCTCTACAGCCGCTTGATTCTAGACATGTTGCTAATGCAGGTAAACAAGTGCAAGGCCAGGTCTCATTGTTGGGGAAGAAACACCCCAGGATAAATCCAAGAGGGTCGGTGGTTACATTCTCCATTTGTTCCCATTGCCCGTTGCTTCTTCTCAATGGTTCCCTGCAAAAGGAAGGAGCTCATGAATGGCTTTTGGTTCTGTGAGAAGTACCAGCCTGCCTCATTCATTAAGCTCAAGAATCATCATATGTTAACCACCAACAAGCCAAAAAAAAAAAAAAAAAAAAAAGTACTAGCTCCCTCCTCGAACTTCAACATTGCTCACCCTTCCCCGGCACCTGTCAAAGCTCTGGGCACCAGCCTCCCTGATGGGCAGGGGGCACGTTGTCAGCAGCCCAGCTGTCTGGCACAGCCCAGCTGGAAGCTGAGACTCCATTGCCTCTCCATCCCTTTTCAAATCACATCCATCAAGACCTTTTTCTCCCCCTGTCAGGTTCCTGGCCTCCACCTACACCCGCAGCACACCCTCTGATTGGCCCGCTTTCCTTGAACAAATGTTTTATTTCTCGCATCGATGGGTATCTTGGCACTACAGCCCCTATTATACACTGGATTGAACACTATACCCATTTAATGTGAGGGGTAATCATTTTTCTCTCGCAAATATGGAGCAGAGATTGTTAAGGTTTTCACTCACTGCTCATGGTGCGATTAGATATTTTGGCCTCTGAGACAAGTGTTAGAAAAGGCCAGAGGAGAACAGATGAATGTTCCATTCGAGTGCAAAGATGGTAAAGGAGGTGTGTGACCCATGGGGAGAAAATGAAGACCCTGCCTGCCCTTTTCTGCAGGGTGAGCAAATTCAGATGCCTCCAGGGCTAGACAGATCATACAAAGGTGAAAAACTACCCTTGTAAAAATCACAAGGAGGGAGTAGTGGGGCTTCCTCCCTGTGGGAAGGGCACACCTGTCCAAAGGGCATTCAAATTTAAATTGAAAAATAATTGCAGCCAGCTCCTGGTGGCTCCTGCCTGTAATCCCGGCACTTAGGGAGGCCAAGGCGGGCAGATCATTTGAGGTCAGGAGTTCGAGACCAGCCTGGCAAACATGGTGAAACCCCACCTCTATTAAAAACACAAAAATTAGCTGGGCATGGTGGCACACAACTGTAATCCCAGCTACTCAGGAGGGAGGCCGAGGCAGGGGAATCGCTTGAACCTGGGAGATGGAGGTCGCAGTGAGCCGAGATCACACCATTACACTCCAGCCAGGGCAACAGAGCAAGACTCCATTTCAAAATAATAATAATAATTGCTATCCAAAAAAAAAAAAATCCATGCACAGACCACTTTAGGGACGTTGCTAGTCTGCTCTTCCTGGATTGTGACTTCCAAGTGGTTTAGACTCACAATCACCTGGGTGTGAATATAGCTCTGTCACATCCTGGCTACCTGACTTTGAAAACTTCCCATCATCTTCTAAGCATTCATTTCCCAGGTATCAAAAGGAAGTTGTAACAAGTCACAGTGCTGTCGGGAGCTAACAAAACCTGTTCTGTTGATGAACTTAGCGCAATGCCTGGCTCATAGAAAAGCTAATCGGTGTTTAGTGCTTTTACTCTGACACTTCACTTTCACTAGGCAGGCAGTAATCACTGAGGATTCATCCCCCAACAAACCAGGTAAATCAGGTAAATGAACCTCTTATAAATGCATTCAGTTGCCTGAAGTAGATAATTTAGGAATATTCAGTCAGTGAAGGAGTCTCACTAGAGACTAGAGTCTAATAATCCTCAGTAAAAAAAATCGTGTGTGTGTGTGTGTGTGTGTGTGTGTGTGTGTGTGTGTGGTTTTAGACATAAGATCTCACTCTGCCAGCCAGGCTGGAGTACAATTATCATAGCTCACTGCAGCCTCAACCTCCTGGGCTCAGGCAATCTTCCTGTCTCAGCCTCCCAAGTAGCTAGGACTACGGGTGTGCACCACCACACCCAGCTCATTTTTAAATTTTTTTGGTAGAAGCGGAATCTCGCTATGTTTCCCAGGCTGGTCTGGAACTCCTAGCCTCAAGCAATCCTCCTGCCTTGCCCTCCCAAAAATGCTGGTATTTATAGGTGTGAGCCACCATACCCAGCCAAAAAATTCTTCCTCAAGTAAAAGAACTTGAGAATAGGTAGTTGAGGCCTGTCGTGCAGTCAGTCATTCATTCACAAGCTCTTGTTAAGTACCTAGGCAGGACCAGCCCAAACTGGGCCTGCTCTGTCGTTAACAAAAAGTCAAGCTTCCTCATAGGCATAACAGAGCCAAACTATGACTTATGAACCCTGGGCACATGTAATGGAAAAAGCTTTGACCTCTAACAACACCTGAAATCAACAATTCCTACCCATGGAACCAAGAAGCCTGGGGTGTGACCAGAATCTGACTGTTGGAACTCCTTTAGAAGTGAGGGGTTTAGGCGAGGGGGTGGTGGTTCATGCCGGTGATCCCAGCACTTCGAGAGGCTGAAGCAGGTACATCACTTGAGGTCAGGAGTTCAAGACCAGCCTGGCCAACATGGCGAAACCCCATCTCTACTGGTGGTGTGCGCCTGCAGTTTCAGCCACCCAGGAGGCTGAGGCAGGAGAATTCTTTGAACCCAGGAGGTGGAGGTTGCAGTGAGCTGAGATCATGCCACTGCACTCCAGCCTGGGAGACAGAGTGAGACTCCATCTCAAAAAAAAAAAAAAAAAAATGGAGTTAGAAGTTCATTGGGCAGGAATATCTGGGACTAAAATCTGCTTCAATATACCTTACTATAAACGGTCAAATTTAAAGCATGCACATCAGACCCTGCCATGCCAAATTTCTGAAATTCTTTCCCTTGCCCCTCTGACCCTTTAAAATTTGCCCCAGACCCTAAATCAGGGAGATAGGTTTGAACCCAATTCCTGTCTCCTTGCTGGCCAGACTTAAAGCCTTTCTTTTCTCGAAAGCTGGTGCCATGGTGGTTCTGTGTACATTGGGCAGTGAGCCCATTTGCTCAATAACACCTCCTAGGTTCCAGACACCATCACTTCAAATTTGCTCTCTTCTTGATCTTTCAACTTATTTTTTAAAAATGTAATGATACATAATAGATGTACATATTTTGGGAGTGTATGCGGTAATTTAATACATTCATATAATTTTTAAAGCTCAGATCAGTGTAAATGGTATATTCATCATCTTAAATATTTGTCTTTTCTTTATGCTAGAAACATTCAAATTGTTCTCTTTTAGCTATTTTGAAATATACAATAGATTACTGTAAACTACAATTACCTTACTGATCTGTCAAATACTAGGTCTTATTGGGTCCTTGAACTCCTAGCCCCAGAATTTGTTATAGGCAATTCAGACTGGTGTTCTGATTTCACTCAGATCACAGAAGTACGAGGAATATCTTTTCTTTATCCATGCATAAACATTGATCGGATGACTTTTAAAATCATCTAATTGCTAATTGCACATCTGCTTAGAAGTGTCCTTTGTCCGATATTTCCTCAGAGCAGCTGCACGGGAACCTGAGCTGTAATTTCTCTAACACATCCATCAACATTTACACCCAGCTCTATACCACCTACAGAAATGCTTGTAGCACTTAAAACCACAGCTGGTTTTCAGCACTCACACTGTAATTCCCCCAATTAACAAGGCTTAAAAAATCATTCCAGAGTGGACCGGGAACTATGTAAGCCACAGATATAACAGTGATTATACCTGGCCCTTCTGGGTGGCTCTCACCCCAGCCACAGGAATCGCTTTGCAAATGCTAATTAGTTATATTCAACTGGGGGCTGCCCCATGCAGAATGTGGCAGTCATTGGAAACTAGAAGAGAGGAAGCCCTGAGTCACATTCTCAATTGAACAGGAAAGTCAATCGTTCAGAGCCCAGCTGACTGCATGGAGTGTGCCAGAGAACAAAATGAGGCAACAGAGGTGTAGAAGTTGCAGGTACCGAGGGGAAAAGAATGCAGTAATATTGGCCAAAGGGCTCCTGAAATTAATCCAGAGGCGGAACAATTGGAACGATCTCTGTTGAAGTTATGATTGGGTAGAAAAGAGCTGAACCAGCATCTCTCCAAACTGACTGCCTTGCACCTGGGTTAGGTTTGCCACACCTCTTGACCTTAACACCAAGGTGCTCATGTTACCAGCGGAGGGTGTCCAGGTTCTTGGCGCTTTGAACAAAGAACTGGATAAAACACACAAACAAAGCCAGGAAAGAATGATGCAACAAAAGCAGAGATTTATTGAAAATGAAAGCACACTCCACAGCGCAGAAACAGGCACAGCAAGCCGCTCAAGGGCCCAGTTACAGAATTTCCCAGGGTTTAAATCCCCTCTAGAGGTTTCCCATTGGTTACTTGGTACACACCCTGTGTAAATGAAGTAGTGGCTGCCCATCAGTCTGATTGGTTGCAGAAAGCAACCAATCAGAGGCTGAAGTGAAGTTGCAAAGTTATACTCTCCCGCAAATGAAGACTTGGCCCACGATCAGCCTGATTGGTTGTAGGAGGGGACCAACTGGAGGTGCTTTCAGTTTTTCAATTGCCATGCAGAAAAGGAGTGGCAAGGAGTGGCGAGGGCCAGTCCTTTTGTTACTTGGGCATGGAAAGTTGGGGATTTCCTTCTGATTTAGTTCTAGGAAGTCAGTGTGAATTGGCCTTAGGTTCCCTGTTTCCAGACCCTATTCTCCTGCCTCAGTCATTTAATGAATCTCCCTACCTCTGGCCTCTCCCTCCTCCAAGTAAATACACTCACTGCTATCAATCTTCCTAGATCACAGTTTCACTCAGGTAATTATTCATTAAGAATCTCTAACCCAGCCAGGCATGGTGGCTGACACCTATAATCCCAGCACTTTGGGCAATCGAGGCAGGTGGATCATCTGAGGTCAAGAGTTTGAGACCAGCCTGGCCAACATGGTGAAACCCTGTCTCTACTAAATTACAAAAATTAGCCAGGTGTGGGGGCACATGCCTGTAATCCCAGCTACTTGGGAGGCTGAAGCAGGAGAATCGCTTGAACCCAGAAGGCAGAAGTTGCAGTGAGCCGAGATTGCGCCACTGGACTCCAGCCTGGGCAACAGAGAAAGACTCTGTCTCAAAAAAACACAAACAACAACAACAAAAAACAGAACCTCTAACTCCCCGTAACCACCCCCAACCACAACTCATTGCTTAATATAGGGGTGAGGGCAAAAACCAGCCTGCTACTAATGAAGTTTTATAGGAACACAGCCATAGTCATTCATTTGCATAGGATCTATGGTACATCAGTGGGGGAGTTGGGTAAGCAGAGATCATATTTGACCTACAAAGCATAAAGTAGTTACCAAATGGCCCTTTAAAAGCATAAAATAGTTACTATGTGGCCCTTTAAAGAAAAAGTTTGCCAACCCCTGGTTTATGGCAATGCTTTCAACACTTTTCCTCCAAAGCAGTTCTAACAGAAAAGGATATTCATTGACTTCTTACAAGTGCAAAAATACTTTGAAGTCTCCTGGTTTTTCTTAAAATCACATGACTTTTGCACAACCATGCCTTTGTCTTTGCATAAAAATCACAGCTATTGTGTTTGTCCCAAATCTAGAGGTGAAACTGACGACCCAAGAAAATGTATGATGGATGGTTAGTTATTTTGTGCTCCAAACTAAGAAGGATTACCCTATGGGTTAAATTCCAACCTTTCAGGCTAGTATATGAGGGTCTGCACTGTTGGTAACCTAGGAGATTGAATGGAAATTGATTTAATCACAGTCCAGTTAGGAAAACAAGCCACTCCAAGTATTAGAAAAAGAGGGAATTTTGGCCGGGCATGGTGGCTCACGCCTGTAATCCCAACACTTTGGGGGGTCAAGGAGGGTGGATCCCTTGAGGTCAGGAGTTTGAGACCAGCCTGGCCAACATGGTGAAACCCCATCTCTACTAAAAATACAAAAATTAGCTGAGCTGGTGGTGCATGCCTATAATCCCAACTGCTTGGGAGGCTGAGGCAGGAGAATCACTTGAACCTGGGAGGTGGAGGTTGCAGTGAGCCAAGATCACAACACTGCACTCCAGCCTGGATGACAGAATGAGAATCCATCAAGAAGGAAGGAAGGAAGGAAGGAAAGAAGGAAGGAGAAAGAAAGAAAGAAAGAAAGAAAGAAAGAAAGAAAGAAAGAAAGAAAGAAAGAAAGAAAGAAAGAAAGAAAAAGAAAGAAAGAAGGAAAGAAAGGAAGGAAGGAAGGAAGAGGAGGGGAGGGGGGAATGGGAAGGGGAAGGGGAAGCGAAGGGGAGGGGAAGGGGAGGGGAAGAGAGGGGGAGGGGAAGGGAAGGGGAAGGGAGTTTTACACAGGAGATTTGTTACAAAGGGGACGAAAGATCTGAGACATATTAGAGGGAACAATGAAACAACGGAGAGATTAACACAGCAGGAAATAACTATTCCCTGACCCCTACCACTCTCATCCCCTGCCCCAGGGCTGTAGAGACAAAGAGAAGAGGCCGAGTTGTTACGACCTAGAAGCTAGGTACATGGACAGAAGTTGGAGCTATACAGTGCACAGGTGGTGATGAAGACAGGTAGCCAAAGTCCTGGAAGAGCAGTATTAGCCACCAAGACTTCTCTGCTCTACCATCTCCCACCAGTTCCCCTAATGGCTATGCCCAGCCAGAAGCCAAGTGTCCAGGGATGGCTGGAATGTGATTTTGTTCACAGTACAGAGAAAGAGAAGGGCAGGTCGTGGGTCTAAGAGCAAATAAGCAAATGGCTGGCACAGAAGGCCATGAGAGCAGGTTGCCACCATGAACAAAAGTCCATCCAGGTGGCCATGAAGAGACCCAAAAAAGTGACAGAGCCTTGATGAATTCATGACAGCTCAGCATGTCAGCGTTACCACCCAGAGCTTCCCTCTGACCACAAATTATTGACTCCTAGAAACAGATTCATCCTGATGGAATTCATCTGAAAAGCTGATACACACACACAAAAAACCAGAGTAACCTTCTAGCTGATGAGACATTTTTGAAAGCCTGAACACTATTTCCCTGTTTGAAAACTGCCAGGAAATTCAACCCATCAGCAGAATCTTTGGAGGACGGCTGCGGAATCAAGGGGAGTTTGTTTTAGGATCTGTGTGTTTGTGGACATCAGGTTTCCATGGGGTGAGCAATCATCTTCCCAACCATGCTCTCCCTGACATTAAACACAGATCCTTCTCGTCTTCCATCAAGGTCTCTCCCCGTGGAATTTTGCCCGTAGCACTGCCGGCATTTGCTCGGTGACTAACTCATCATGCTTCCATGACTGGCTAACGGGCAATGCTTTATTTAGATATGCCAACACAATCAATCAAGCCTTAATCTGGCCTGGGAGACATACTGTCTCTTTGAGAAGACTTAACACAGCTTTGGCATTACTCATTCCATGTTGCTAGGATGACTTAACTCTCAGAAGGTAGTCGTTTCCAGAACATTGGCATGGGAGAATGGGGCTATGAAATAAGGTAGGTTTACTACAGTCCTTCTCTATGTTACCTTCCTTTGTTTTTCTGGTTCTCAGTTTTAGAGGACAATTCATAGTGTGCCTAACATATCCTGCACTTTTCCACGTGCACTTTCCCATCTTTGTGGATCTGCTTTCTGCCATAAAATGCCCATTCTCAAGCTTCTCCCAGTGCCCAAGGCTCAACTTGATACCCTCATTGGTATATCACCTGTTTATTCATTGGTCTATCCTGATCCCCAAGTCAAGCTAACATGATGGCCCCTCCTCTGGAGCCTCCGAACATCTTGTATGAATCCTTCTTTATATAAAATAAAATGCTCCACCATTATTGTGGTCATAGTGTCAGAGGCGTTTGAACCAGAGAAACTCCATCTTGAATAGGGGCTAGGTAAAATGAGGCTGAAACCTACTGGGCTGCATTCTCAGCCAGCTGGGCATTCTTAGTCACAGGATGAGATAGGAGGTCGGCACAGGATACAGGTCTTAAAGACCTTGCTGATAAAACAGGTTGCAGTTAAAAAGCCAGCTAAAACCCACCAAAACCAAGATGGCAACAAGAGTGACCTCTGGTCATTTTCGCTGCTACACTCCCATCAGAGCCATGACAGCTTACAAATGCCATGGCAACATCAGGAAGTTACCCTATACGGTCTAAAAAGGGGAGGCATGAATAATTTGCCACTTGTTTAGCATATTATCAAGAAAATAACCATAAAAATGGGCAACCAGCAGCTCTCAGGGCTGTTCTGTCTATGGAGTAGCCATTTTTTTATTACTCCACTTTCTTAATAAACTTGCTTTCACTTTACTCTATGGACTCACCCTGAATTGTTTCTTGTGTGAGATCCAAGAACCCTCTCTTGGGGTCTGGATCCAGACCCCTGTCTAGTAACAATAGGTCTTGTTTGACTTCCAAAATGTTATAGGAAAGGACAAGGATCATGTCTTCCTCACCTCTATATGCTCAACAGTGCTTGAATACCATAAGATCCCAATTACCTGAGTAAATAACTCTGATAGATGGCCTGGTTTTTCTCTGAAGACTTTCCCCTAAAGCATCCTATTGTTACACAGCTCTATTTTTTCTTAATGTTCTTTTTTCTTTTGGCCTAATGTCTTGTTTTGTTGTTTTGTTTTGTTTTGTGCATTTGGGCTGATAAAACAAAATATCTTAGATCAGGTAGTTTGTAAATAGTAGAAATCTATTGCTCATGGTTCCGGAGGCTGGGAAGTCCAAGATCAAGGCACCAGCAGTTTTGGTATCTGGTGAGGGCCTATTCCTCACAGATCTTGCCTTCCATGTGTTCTTGCTTGATGGAAGGGGCAAACAAGCTCCTTTGGGACTCTTTCATACAGGCACAATTCCCATTCATGAGGGCTGTACCTTTCTGACCTAATCACCTCCCCCATTTGGAGGCCCCATCTCCAAATACCATCACACTGAAGATTAGGTTTCAACATAAATTTTGCAGGGATTAAAAACATTCAGTCTGGCTGGGTGTGGTGGCTCACTCCTGTAATCCTAGCACTTTGGGAGCCCAAGGAAGGGCAGATCACCTGAGGTCAGGAGTTCGAGACCAGCCTGGTCAACATGGTGAAACTCCATTTCTACTAAAAATACAAAAATTAGCTGGGCATGGTGGTGGGTGCCTGTAATCCCAGCTACTCGGGAGGCTGCGGCAAGAGAATCACTTGAACCCGAGAGGCAGAGGTTGCAGTGAACCAAGGTCGTACCACTGCACTCCAGCCTAGGTGACAGAGTGAGACTGTCTCAAAAAAATAAAATAAAATAATTTAAAAATAAAAAATAAAAACATTTAGTCTGTAGTGACAACCCTTTAGATATCTAAATAGAGCTATTAGGTTGTACCTGAGTCTCTTATTCTCTCAATCATACCTTCTAGACTTCAGAATCTCCATTACATTGGTTCTGTCTGATGAGTACCCATTCCTGGGATCTACCCACCACCTCTACTGGACTTGGCATTCAAATCGTGCCTATACCAAACATTATTTCTAGGCTCTTATTTGTTGGTTACTGTCACGTGCTCTTAGAAGTAACTCTAGTTCATTCTCCCACAACCCCCACTCCCACCTAGGTATTTCTACTCTTCTGGACAATGCTTGTCTCTAGACCACCTTTTTCCAGACCAGGTCTAGATTATTGCATTCCTGGGCTCAATCTACAGATGCTAGAGCTGGTCCCCCTGTTGGGATGGAGCTGTTTCCACCCTGTATCCTCTCAGTTGTCATAGAGGTCTTACTTAATATTCAAAGTGCATTGATATAAATTTGTTCAGTCGTCTAATAATTTTATTCTACACCCAACCTCCTGCAGCCAATCCATCATCAAGAGAAAGAGAGAGAGAGAGAGACAGAGGGAGCATCTAAATATCTCTCAGACACCCAGCTACTTGCATGTTCAATATTACCCTCTGCTCTCACCAGACAACTGCAATAGCCTGCCCCCCCAGGCTATTCTCCACACAGTATACACAGTGAGCTGTTGAATGCAAATCTGGCCATAACACTCTCTTACTTAAAACACTCAGTGGCACTCCTTTGTTCTTAGGACAAAGACCAAAATTCCTAACATGATTTTTGTGGCCTTCCATAGCTTCTTTAGAAACCACTTAACTGTCTTACTTCCTCTCCCTAAACGAGATCAGGCAAACCACTCTATTGCAGTTTCATAGACCTATGTTCATTACCATGGTCATGTAACTTTATGTTTACTTGGGTGACTATTTGATTTTTGTCACCTTCCCCTCTAGAGTGTAAGCTGAGTTAATGTGGCAAAGACAATGTCTGTTTCTGCTCATCAATATATCTCCAGCATCAGTCATGGGACATGAAACATTTAAAAGCCCTCCAGAAGTATTTGTGAGTGGTAAAAAGAAGGAAGGATGGTGCAGTGGGCTTAACAATAACCCCCCAAAAGATAACTACATTTGAATCCCCAGAATGTATGAATGTTACCTTACATGACAAAGGATATGAAGGATGTAAAGATATGAAGGATGTGAAGATATAAAGGGTGTGAAGATATAAAGGGTGTGAAGATATGAAGGATGGGAAGATATGAAGGATGGGAAGACATGAAGAATGGGAAGATATGAAGGATGGGAAGATATGAAGAGTGTGAAGATATGAAGGATGGGAAGACATGAAGGATGGGAAGATATGAAGTGTGGGAATATATGAAAGGTGTGAAGATATGAAGGATGAGAAGATATGAAGGGTGTGAAGATATGAAGGGTGTGAAGATGTGAAGGATGGAAGATATGAAGACTGTGAAGATATGAAGAATGGGAAGACATGAAGGATGGGAAGACATGAAGGGTGTGAAGATATGAAGGGCGTGAAGATATGAAGGTTGTGAAGAAATGAAGGATGGGAAAATATGAAGGATGGGAAGATATGAAGGATGGGAGGACATGCAGGATGTGAAGATAGGATTAAATTAAGGATCTTGAGATGGGGAGATTATCCTGGATTATCTGGGTGAGTCCTATGTGATCACAAGATCCTTACAAGAGGAGGGCAAGAAAGTCACAGGAGGAAGTAGGAGGCATGAGAATAGAAGCAAGAGGTTGGGGTAATTGGAGGAAGAGGTCACGAGCCAAGGAATGCAGGTAACCTCCAGAAGCTAAAAAAAGCAAGGACACAGATTCTCCCCTTAAGACTTTGGAAGGAGGCTGAGCATGGTGGCTCATGCTTGTAATCCTAGCGCCTTGGAAGATCATAGCAGAAGGATTGCTTGAGGCCAAGGATTCAAGACCAGCCTGGGCCACATAGTGATACCCTGTCTCTACAAACAATTTTAGAAATTAAAAAACAAAAATAAAATCTTTGGGAGCGAACCAGGCTTGCCAACACCTTAACTTCATCCCAGTGAGATTCATTTCAGACTTCTGGGCTCTATAACCATAGGAAAATAATTTTTGTTTTTTGAGACAAAGTCTCACTTTGTCGCCCAGCCTGGAGTGCAGTGGCATGATCTTGGCTCACTGTAACCTCCACCTCCTGGGTTCAAGCGATTCTTGTGCCTCAGTTGGGCACCACCATGCCCAGTTAATTTTTGTATTTTTAGTAGAGACGAGGTTTCACCCTGTTGGCCAGGCTGGTCTCGAACTCCTGACCTCAGGTGATCCAACCGCCTCAGCCTCCCAAAGTGCTGGGATTACAAGCATGAGCCAACATGCCTGGCCTTAAATTTGTGTTGTTTTATGCCACCAAGTGTGTATGAATTTGTTATAGTACCTACAGAAAACTAATACAGATGGTAAGAAAGAAGGAAAAGAGAAAGACAAAATATTTGTCTCTGTTTAATATTTGGGAAAAGAGAAGAAGTACTTTACTTAAAATACCTAAGAGGAAAGATCATTTCAGGAAATATTAAAGTTCATCTCTCCAGTTAGGGTTCACTGTTCCTTAAAAGAAGCCATCTTCATAGGCATGGAGCACTCCCAATTCATCCACTTCTGTCAAAGACTTCCGGCTCTCCCATCTTCCTGGCCCTTACTCTTCAGGGTGTCACTGCTGCCTGCTCTGTGTTGACACCTCTAAACTCACTACTTCCTAGGGTTCTAGCCTCCCTGTATGCTGCCAGGCATCTGACCTCTCTCTCTTTCCATGCCCTGTCTCCTCCTCATTGGCCTCTGTCTAAGCCCCGATAGCTCAAAGGGCTGGAGTAGCCCCCGTACACCCGGAGTTGCACTTGCAATAGGCAGAGAGTAGGGATGGAGCTCACATCTTCTAAGTCCTCACTCAACGTTCTCTGTCTACCACACACACGATGCCTCTCTGTCCATGGGTTGGAAAGATCAGGATACTGGGAGACTCTATCTAGGGACATAAAAATGGCCCTTACGGCCGGGAACGGTGGTTCACGCCTGTAATCCCAACACTTTGGGAGGCTGAGGTGGGTGGCTCACGAGGTCAGGAGTTGGAGACCAGCCTGGCCAATGTGGTGAAACCCTGCCTCTACCAAAAATACAAAAATTAGCTGGGCATGGTGGTGCACACCTGTAGTCCCAGCTCCTCAGGAGTCTGAGACAGGAGAATTGCTTGAACCCAGGAGGCAGAGCTTGCAGTGAGCCAAGATCACGCCACTGCACTCCAGCCTGGGTGACAGAGCAAGATTCCATATCAAAAAAAAAAAAAAAAAAAAAAGCCCTGACTAAAAACTTGCCAACCAGAGGAACCCAACTGTATTTCCATCTGCAAATCCTGCTCAAATATATTCCAGAGCTTGTCTTTTCTCTTTCTCTCTCCTTGAAGGCCGAGACTTGCCTGGCATGTGTCCTAATTTCTTTCTGCCTCAAAGAAGCCCCCCGACCGAAGGGGGCTGGTTCTCCTTCTATTCAAAGGAGTACAACCTCCTTGCCTCAGCAAATGACATGACATTTGCAGAAAGCCTGAATAGAGATGCTCTGGAGTGGGTGATGCATTGAGAAAGCCCCTTGCACCGTTCCTGTCCATGAGCCTCACTGGAGATCATCTGTCCCGTGTCTCTGTTTCTGCATAGCCAGCCCTCAGAGCCAGTCAGCGCAGGGAGGCAGGAATCAGGCCAGCTGCCTGACGACTTTAATGTTAAAATGTGTTGAGCATTCACAGGCCACGGAACTCTGCTAAGTGAACCAAATGGGCCTCCCTAAAGCCATATGCTCACTCCATCACATCCCAGCTGCAGACCTCTTGCAACAAGGGAACAGACTTGCTGGGGAAGGTTTGGGGGTTTTTTTTAATTCCTGTTGAACTGTTAATACCAGATGCTGATGGCACAATCAGAGAACTGACAGAGAAAAGTCAGCAGCAAGCATCGCGTCCCCAGAGAACAAGAATGTACCCTTTCCTAACAAGCACTTCGTAGAAATGTCTTTAGATATTTGCAGCCCCTGTGCATACTTAAAGGATGGGATCATTATGCAGTGATTAGGAGCTATGGCAAAGACTGTTTAGCTTCTCACCAAAGCACTTTCCTCTTCCTCTTGGGCATACAGCTAGGCCACATTTTTCAGCCCTCCTTGTACTAAGATTGCACCCATATGACTGAATTTTGGCCAATGAAATGGGCTCTGTGCCACTTCAATAAAAATGGAGTCTGGCTGGTCGCAGTGGCTCATGCCTGTAGTCCCAGCGCTTTAGGAGGCCCAGCACTTTGGGAAGCCAAGGCTGGTGGATCATCTGAGGTCAGGGGTTTGAGACCAGCCTGGCCAACACGATGAAACCACATCTCTACTAATAATACAAAAATTAGCCAGTGTGGTGGTGCGCACCTGTAATCCCAGCTACTTGGGAGGCTGAGGCAGGAGAATCGCTTGAACTCAGGAGGCAGAGGTTGCAGTGAGCTGAGATCTTGCCATTACTCTCCAGCCTGGGCAACAGAGTGAGACTCTATTACCAAAAAATAAATACATAAATAAATAAATAAAGGAATCTTCCATGACTTAGAGTGACCAACTGTGATGGTAAATACTGAGTGTCAACTTGATTGGATTAAGGTTACAAAGTATTGATCCTGGGTGTGTTTGTGAGGGTGTTGCCCAAAAGAGATTAACATTTGAGTCAGTGGGCTGGGGAAGGCAGACCCACCCTTAATCTGGGTGTACACAATCTAATCAGCTGCCAGGGTGGCTAGAATATAGGCAGGCAGAAAAACGGGAAAGGAGAGACTGGCCTAGCCTCCAATCCTACATCTTGTCTCCAGCGCTGGAGGCTTCCCACCCTTAAACACCAGACTCCAAGTTCTTCAGTTTTGGAACTCAGACTGGCTCTCCTTGCTCCTCAGCCTGCAGACGGCCTATTGTGGGATCTTGTGATTGTGTGAGTCGATACTGAATAAACTCCTCTCTCTCTCTCTCTATATATATACATTCCATTAGTTCTGTCCCTCTAGAGAACCCTGACTAATACACCAACCATCCCAGTTTGGTCAGGACTATCGTGGTTTTAGCAGTGAAAGTCCTGCTTCCTGGGAGGTCCATCCATTACTGGCAAATTGACAGTTAGGGATCCTTGTGCTCTCCCCCATCACCATTCCCAGCCAGCTATATCAAAAGGGTCCCCCGGCTTTGGATCATGGTTCTCAAGCTCAAGGCTGCATTGGTATTATCTGCAGGGCTTGTTAAAACACAGGTTGTTGGGCCCCAGCCCCCAGAGTTTCTGACTCAGTAGCTTTGGGGTGGGGCCCGAGAATTTACATTTCTAACACATTCTCCCAGGGAAGCCTGTGCTTGCTGCACGAGGGAGCACATTTGCAGAAATATTGCCCTAGGTCACCACCCTAGCTGAGTGGCTCTCAAACTTTGCTAAATATTAGAGTTACCTGGGGAGCAAAAAAAAAAAAAAAAAAAAATTCAAAACCTAGGCTGCTCTCCAGATCCATCAATCAAATCAGAATCCCTAAGAGAGGGTCCCATACATCAGTGGTGTTTAAAGCTCTATCGGTCAAGTTTGAGAACAGGTACCCTAGCTCAGTGTTTTCAAATGTGAATATCCCTGTCAGTTACCTGGGGGTCTTGTTAAAAATGCATATTCTTGGCCAGGCGCAGTGGCTCACACTTATGAGTGCAGAACTTTGGGAGGCCAAGGTGAGCGGATTGCTTGAGGTAGGATTTTGAGACCAGCCTAGTCAACGTGGTGAAACCCCATTTTTTGTGCTAAAAATTCAAAAAATTAGCCCGGCCTGGTGGTGTGCACCTGTAGTCCCAGCTACTTGGGAGGCTGAGGCATGAGAATCATTTGAGCATGGGAGGAAGAGGTTGCAGTGCGCCAAGATTGCGCCACTGTACTTCCGCATGGGTGACAGACTGAGACTCTGTCTAAAAAAAAAAAAAAAGCATATTCTCATTAGGTTGGTCTGGAAAAGAGCCTGGGATTCTGCACTCTTAGCAAGTTCCAAGGTTATGGTTGAGCTATTGGTCTGGGAGCTACACTTTGAGTATGTCAAATTAAGAATCTCTGAAATTGAACATTTTATTTGGGAAGAAAGAATTGTAATTTGGGGCATACACACAGACTGGGTGGTCTTTGGTATGTCAGAAGTACAAAGAAAAGGTTGGCGATTTTATTTTAAAAAGAGAAATGTTCTATATATATATGTGTGTGTATGTATGTATATACAGTATATATACATACACACACTATTTTTAAAGAAAATGCATTGATATTGGTAAGGTTTTCGGGAGTTGGCAAAGCTCTGATTGGTGAGTGACAGTGGTGGCTAAAATTAGTCTTAGAGTCAGTCACAGTCAGTTCTTTCAGTAGCTATTAGAGAAAACTGATCTCAGATTACAACAGGCAGTTTCAGCAGCCAGGCTTGCAGAAAATTACATTCTGGGAGCAATATTGTATGTCCTGGCTTCTCAACTCTGTTGTAGTTGGGTATGACAAGAATGATTCAACTGGTAAGATCAACATTTGCAAGTAGCACGATTTCAGATCAGTGGATCTAGATCTCTAGTGACTCTGTCTGCATTCAGAATACATGGAAAACGTTGCTAAAATCCAAAGATCACTAGGCACCCCCATCCCCAGAATTTCAGACTCAGAAGAACTGGGTAGGGGGTCTAAGAATTGTGTGTTTAATAAGTTCCCAAAGAAAGCTCTGGCTAATGTTATCAAAAGAAGGGTAGGGAATAAATTCTGAGTGAGACACAGCAAATGTTCACTACTTTAATATGGATCCTGGCCCCATTTTTTTTTTTTTGAGACGGAGTTTTGCTCTTGTTGCCCAGGTTGGAGTGCAATGGTGCGATCTTGGTTCACTGCAACCTCTGCCTCCCAGGTTCAAGCGATTCTCCTGCTTCAGCCTCCCCAATAGCTAGGACTACAGGTGCCCACCACCACACCCAGCTAATTTTCGTATTTTTAGTAGAAATGGGGTTTCGCCATGTTAGCCAGGCTGGTCTCAAACTCCTGACGTCAAGAGATCCATCTCAGCCTCCCAAAGTGCTGGGATTACAGGATTGAGCCACCGCGCTTGGCCGACCCTGACCCATTTTAAGGAAGCGCGTAAGACTCCTGCAATTAACGGCAAACACTACATCAGCCTGAAGTTCTTCATCTGACACTGGGAAGTGCTCATGAGGACAAAAACCTCTTAAAATCTCAATATTAACTAGATAGCTCCTGATATAGGCCAAACCAGTTTAGAAATATCTCACCGTCAAAATTTTTACTATAATAAAAAGAAAGAATGTGACTGTGACTACTGCCACAAAACTACCAATTAATGTTTGTAGATTGCTAAGTATCAGGCTCTGTCATAAGCACCTAAAAAGGTGTCCTTACAACAACCCCATGAGAGAGGAACTATTATCGCATTCAGATTGCTTTTGAGTAAACTAGGCACAGAGGAGCTAAGTAACATGCCTAGGATCATGAAACTAGAACCAGAAATCAGAAACCAGACAGACCAACTCCACGGTACACTGTACTGATTATTGTCCTGTACTGCTTCTCTCAGGGATGAGGAAAAATCTATAATCTGGACAGAAACAGCCAAATATTATCATTTATAATAATTATCGCTAATGTCATTTTCTCCTTCCCAACTCTTAAACTTGTGGTATTTGCTAAGGAATGTAGGGGCTTTAATATTTTACAGATACGATATAAAACTGCAGAAAGAAAGGCATGAAATGGTCAACCAAAAGCTAAAGGAGCACTGAATGCCTATAAATGCCCTGAATGTCTGTTGCTTTTTTTTTTTTTTTTTTTTAACACAGTCTCTCTCTGTCACCCAGGCTGGAGTGCAGTGGCATGATCACAGCTTATTACAACCTCCGCCTCCCGGGTTCAAGTGATTCTCGTGCCTCAGCCTCCTGAGTAGCTGGGATTACAGGTGTGCACCACCAGGCCCAGCTAATTTTTGTATTTTTAGTAGAGACGGGATTTCACCATGTTGGCCAGGCTGGTCTTGAACTCCTGACCTTAAGTGATCCACCTGCTTGGCCTCTCAAAGTGCTGGAATTACAGGCATGAGCCATCACGTCCAATGCCTGCTGCTTAGCGGAAGCTTTGGAAAACTCTTTCAGTCCCTGTCCTACAGATGGATGATGCTGAGTGAGTAGAAAGTATCTTCCAGCCCATCTGTGACTTTGGACATCACTTAATCTCCATTAGCTTCAGTTTCTTTATATGGAGAAGTGGGAGGAAGAACAGAAGCTACCTCTTTGGATTGAACTGAGAATTAAACAAGGTATCTCATGTAAAGCACTCAGCTTAATGTCTGCCCCATAGTAAGCGATAAAGAAGTATTAACTATAACAAGCTATTATTATCATCAGTTAAAAACAATAGACTTTGGGGCAGGCGCAGTGGCTCATGCCTGTAATCTCAGCACTTTGGGAGGCCGAGGTGGGCAGATCACTTGAGATCAGGAGTTTGAGACCAGCCAGCCAACATGGTGAAACCCCGTCTCTACTAAAAATACAAAAGTTAGCCAGGCATGGTGGTGTGTGCCTGTAATCTCAGCTGCTTGGGAGGCTGAGGCAGGAGAATCGCTTGAACCCGGGAAGCAGAGGTTTCAGTGAGCTGAGATTGTGCCACTGCACTCCAGCCTGGGTGACACAGCAGGACTCTGTTAAAAAAAAAAAAAAAAAGACTCTGTAGGGTTATTATGAGGATTAGAAATAATATATGTCCCACACCTGACATTACATAAACATAAAAAACTCTAGCCTTTATTAATATCCCCCCCGTGGGGATGCATCATGCTACCTTTGAGTGAATCAGTATTTATGAAATGCATTGTGTATCCAGCATTCATTAATTCATTCCTTTGTCACTCAACAATTATCCTGTTGTTTGTTTTTGCTTTTTTTTTCTTTTCTTTCTCTCTCTCTCTTTTTTTTTTTTTTTTTTTTTTGTGACAGGGTCTTGCTCTGTTGCCCAGACTGGAGTGCAGTGGTATGATCACAGATAACTGTAGCCTCCACCTCCTGGGCTCAAGTGATCTTCCCATCTTAGCCTCCCAAAGAGCTGGGACTACAGGCGCATACCACCACACCTAGCTAATTTTTGTATTTTTTTTTTTTTGCAAAGACGAGGTTTTGCCATGTAGCCTAGGCTTGTCTTGAACTCCTAAGCTCATACAGCCCTCCCGCCTTGGCCTCTCAAAGTGCTGGGATTACAGGTGTGGGCCACTGTGCCCAGCCACAATTGCCTTTCAAGAAGAGGTCCCATTCCACATATATGCTAAAGGTGGAGCCACTGGAATCTATGGATGGATCAAACGTGGAGTATGAAAGAGACGAGTGAAAGTTGATCATGAGGGCACAGTCCTACTTGCTACTGTGAAGCAAAATGAACACAGATGGAAACAGAAGGACATGAAGCTGGAGACACAGACAAAGTTTACATCATGAGGAAATCTGTACGCAAGAAATCTCTTCTTCATGCCAAGGGCAATGTGGAGACATTGAAAGGCTGCAAGCAGAGGGATGCTGAGTTGAAGATGAGACAGCGTGCAGTGGAACCAGTAGAAATTCTTACCTAATATAACAGTTAGGGTGAAATGAGTCCTGAACTAAGACAAGCCCAGCAGGAATGAATAGGGTCAGAGATGTGTGAGTGAAAGAAATGTTGATGTGTTGCTATGAATTGTTGGTTTCTTGAATGAGAAGGGTGAGGGAATGGAGAAATCTAGATGGAGCCCCAAGTCTCTGCCTTGAAAGCCATGGCAGAGATGCCCAGTTACCAAGCCTTCCCCATTTTCATCCAAAATACAGCTACCAAGGGACCACCCTTAAAAAAAAAAAGGCTTCCCAGAATTCTTTGCAGCTGAAGGTAACCATGTGACACCATTCTAGCCAATAAGATATAAGTGTTGAGTGGTGCTTTCTGGAAAGTTTCTTAAAGAGGGCTCACTCTGCTGGAACACACTATCTCATCTCACTTTTTTCTTTTTTCCTGCCTAGAACATGGCCAGGAAAGTAGATGGACGGTAGGTGAGCTACAAAATTGAGGCTCACCTGCCCTGCATCAATAGTGCAGAAGCCATATTGAAACCACAGAGAGGAGCACATACTAAGGACATCAAAGCAAAAATCCTGGGTTCCTAATGATCTCATGCAGCCATGGTGCTAACCCTGGACAGCTGAAGCAGCTACCGAAGAACGAAAAGATTGGGGAAGGAGCTACTACTATAATTTTCCTAACACATAGAGAAAATTAAGAAGAATCCTACAAAGGACCATTTTCTTCCCTCTGGTCTGAGGTTGAGCAATATGTATTATTTTCTCTGGGTTTTCACCATTTACTACAGACTACAAACACAGAACCAAAGAATTTAGGGTACACTTTCAAATCACTCTCATCTGCCAGGGGGAAATTAAATGACGCAGAATTGCCTCTAGTCACTAATACAACAGTCCAGGATGAAAATCTTCTCTGTGGCTACAGCCTGGTCCTTATTTCCACCACTCGCCTTCATCCATCCCCAGGCTGCACCAAGCAGTCTTAACGTATGCCCATACCAGCCACTTATAAGTTGCTTAGCCCTTTTACATACATTTCATCCTAGCTGCCCCTTCAAAGAGTATCTATGGGTGTGCTGGTCATGGTGGCTCACACCTGTAATCATAGCACTTTGGGAGGCAAAGGCAGAAGGATTGCTTCAGCCAAGGAGTTCAAGACCAGCCTGGGTGACATAATGAGACCCATTCTCTAGGAAAAAAAAAAAAAATTAGCCAGAAATGGTGGTGCATGTCTATAGTCCTGGCTACCTGGGGGGCTGAGGTGTAGGGACATCACTTGGGCACAGGAGTCTGAAGCTGTAGTGAGCTGTAATTGTGCCACTGCACTCCAGCCTGAGCAGCAGAACGAGACCCTGTCTCAAAATAATGAAATAAAATAAAATGAAGAGAGTATCTATGGATATATTTCTATCATGCAATGTTCTGAAACTCTTGGCTTTAAATGAAATGAGCTAGAAGACGTTGCACTCCGTAGAAGCAGGAATGGTTCTCCTCCATGAAGCTCCCTCATGATGTGGCTGTCCTGACCTTATTTAATAAACCACCACCCAGGACTTTACCTCTGCCCTTCTTCCTCCATGCCTAGAAATGTAATATTGTTAACTCATATAGAGAAGGTCCTTCTCTCAGAGGAAAACTCACATTAACCAAACCTGCAGGCTTGATGTATAAAACCAAACAGTGGCTTCTAAAAGTACAGTGGGACATTTATTTATAACTGCTACATAAAAATGGTGTTTAAGGAGCACACAATCAGAGTAAGAAGAATCTTTTAGCTGGACTGAATGTTTGAGAGCCTCAGAATGAAGCAGAATTTGCTTTAACAATGAGACTTGGAATGGGTTGACTACAACTTTCACATCTATCCTATGGTAGCGGTGCCTGTGGCTACAGGATCAGAAACTCTTAAAGATCTTCAGTTAAGGCTGGGCGCGGTGGCTCATGCCAGTAATCCCAGCACTTTGGGAGGCTGAGGTGGGCAGATCACTTGAGCTCAGGAGTTCAAGACCAGTCTGGCCAAATCATGAAACCCTGTCTCTACTAAAAATATAAAAATTAGCGAGACATGATGGTGCACGCCTGTAATCCCAGCTGCTTGGGGGGCTGAGGCAGGAGAATCATTTGAACCCAGGAGGCGGAGGTGAGTGAGCCAAGATTGCACCACTGCACTCCAGCCTGGGTGAAAAAGCGAGACTCTGTCTCAAAAACAAACAAACAAACAAAAAACCCCAAAATTAGCCAGGCGCGGTGGTGTGCACCTATAATCCCAGCTACTTGGGGGGCTGAGACAGGAGAATCGCTTGAACCCAGGGAGGTGGAGGTTGCAGTGAGCCAAGATCGCACCACTACACTCCAGCCTGGGCAACAGAGTGAGACTCCATCTCAAAACAAAAATGAAAACAAAAACAAGATCTTTAGTTCAAGCTCCATCTCCCTGCGTGATGTTACCTAGATTTCCGTGGAGAGTCTCCTGATTGCCAACGTCCTTCTTTGACTATGTGAGTAGCTATACTAAGACGGTTGTCTATTCTCACTGTCTCTTTAAGATGACTTTGCAGTATTTCCACTCTGATCTATTATGTATCTGTATTAAAGTTTAACACTCAGAAGGCATCGTTACTTCCCTCATTTCTAAGTTCTTAAAGAATGACTCACTTTCAGACCCCAAGGACTGACAAAAGCAATGAAAGTGGTTTGGTTTCCGCCTGTGTCACAGAATCTCTTCTCATAACTTCAGCGTCTAATGTTACGTTTAGTAACTGGTAAGACTTTAAATTCTGGGCCACAGGGAACTTTTTCAGGAAGGTCATACATAGTCCTCTCTGCTGGGAAAATAAGCCACTGGCTGGGTGCAGCAGCTCACTCCTGTAATCCCAGCTCTTTGGGAGGCTGAGGTTGGAGAATCGTTTGAGCCCGAGTTCAAGACCAGCCTGGGCGACACAGTGAGACCCCATCTCTACAAAAAATAAAAGAATAGCTGGGCATGGTGTCGCATGCCTGTAGTCTCAGCTACTTGGGAGGCTGAGGTGGGAGGATTGCTTGAAGCCAGGAGTTCGAGGGTGCAGTGAGTCATGATGGCACCACTGCACTCCAGCCTGGGTGATAGAAGGAAACATTGTCTCAAAAAAAAGAAAAGAAAAGAGGGAAGAAAGAAAGAAAGAAAAAGAAAGAAAGAAAGAAAGAAAGAAAGAAAGAGGGAAGGAAGGAAGGAGAAAGAAATAAAGAAAGAAAGAAAGAAAGAGAGGGAGGGAGGGAGGGAGGGAGGAAGGAAGGAAGGAAGGAAGGAAAAAAGAAAAGACCCTGCAATATTTCTAGAACAAGGCTTTACAGCAGGATCTCTATGGAATTCCAAGGCTGGCTAGGCATAATTGTGCCTCTGTTGGTAGGGGCCAGTGAACAGCTTAATTCATATTTGAATCTTATAGGGAAATCATTGGCATTGTAACATAACAATTTTCCTAACCATTGTCACTTCCTATAGTTCAAGCCCTCTCTCTTCTCCCTAGCAGGCCAGATTAATCATACTGTATTTGGACAGCTGACGAGTAAGCCCACGTATAAAAAGGGTTTTGCTGGCACCAAAGACAGGTTCCGAACACATTACTGATGAGATCGTCAATTTCTCTGGCACTGGCATGATGAAAACAACTTGCTATTGACATACAAGTCACCATATGCAAAAATATATCATTCCAAGAGGCAATTTGCATGGGTAGCTGCAGTGCTTAAAAACACGGGAGAGGAAAAGGAATCTATTGGCTCCCTTCTTCCTCTGAGCCAGCCTATGACTGTCCCCAAACAAACAATCCCTCCACCACCTGCCTGTCCAGGCCAGAAATGTCAGAAAGGAATTGAGGGGACCACAACTACTGCCTGTTCCCAGCCTTGCTAACAGTGAGTTCTGCAATACTCTCTGGACTTTCATCTGTAAAACGAGATGGGCTGAGCACAGTGGCTAATGCCTGTAATCCCAGCACTTATTTATTCAGTTATTTTATTTTTGAGACAGAGTCTCACTCTGTTGCCCAGGCTGGAGTGCAATGGTGCAATCTTGGCTCACTGCAACCTCCGCCTCCCGGATTCAAGCAATTCTGCCTCAGCCTCCCAAGTAACCAGGATTACAGGCATGTGCCACCACGCCCAGCTAATTTTTGTATTTTTTTTTTTTTTAGTAGAGATGGGGTTTCACCATGTTGGCCAGGCTGATCTTGAACTCCTGACCTCAGGTGATCCACCCACCTCGGCCTCCCAAAATGCTGGGATTATAGGGCATGAGCCACTGCACCCGGCCATCCCAGCACTTTTTGAGGCTGAGGCGGGAGGATCACTTGAGCCCAGGTGTTCGAGGCTACAGCGAGCTGTGATTGCGTCACTGCACTCCAGCCTGGATGACAGTGCAAAATCCTGTGTCTAAAAATAAATAAAATAAAACAAAACAAGATGGTTGAACTAGTAGGTTTCTAAAGCTCCTACCAATTCTCATATTCTATTTTATTTGGTGCTTTATTAAAATTACATAGCTCTTCAGGCACATAGGGATTCATTCTCTTCATAATAGAAAAAGGTAAGGAAGCAATAGCTCATTTGGCAAACATTTATGAGTCTCTTCCACATATAAGGCACAATGCATTCTAGGGCGTTCACGGTTACATCAATGTGGACATGCTATTTTCATTCTACGATTTTGTCTTGGTGACAATTTGATGAAGATGGAACAAGAAGTCATTAAAATTACAAGATTTTTATTTGATTGTTTATTCTTTCTTTCTTTCTTCTTCTTTTTTTTTTTTTGAGACAGAGTTTCACTCTTGTCACCCAGGGTGGAGTGCAGTGGCACCATCTCGGCTCACTGCAACCTCAGTCCTCTGGGTTCAAGCAATTCTCGTGCCTCAGCCTCCCAAGTAGCTGGGATTACAGGCATGCACCACGACACTTGGCTAATTTTGTATTTTTAGTAGAGACGGGGTTTCTTCATTTTGGTGAGGCTGGTTTCGAACTCCTGACCTCAGGTGATCCGCTCGCCTTGGCCTTCCAAAGGGCTGGGATTAGAGGCATGAGCCACCACGCCTGGCCTGCTTGCTTATTTTTTCTCTGCTCTGTGCCTGCCAGTTCTTCTTAGCAAGTATCTCAACTCTATCCCATCCCTATGGATCTCACAAGCTTCCCAGAGCTGTCTCCAGACTCAGGAATCGGATGGGGCAGGGAGGGAAAGAGGAGCTGAGTGAGTCAGGAATGGGCAAAACAGAGGAGAGTGTGGTGGTAAGGGGTGGATGGGGTCAGAGCCTTACTTCACTATGGGATCTGAGTTCAAGTGCAGCCTTTGCCATTTACCAATCTTGTATCATTGACCCTGTTTCCTTTATATAAAATAGGGTTAAGAATATACCTTCCTCACAGGCCCATTGAGAGATCAGGAGGAATGAATCTAATACATATCAAGTGCTTAGCACATGTCTGAATCATTTTGCATTGCTATAAGAGAACACCTGACCTTGGGTAATTTATAAAGAAAAGAGGTTTAAGCTGGGTGTAGTGTCTCGCTCCCGTGATCCCAGCACTTCGGGAGGCCAAGGTGGGAGGATTGTATGAGGTTAGGAGTTTGAGAACAGCCTGGGCAACATGGCAAATCCCCGTCTCTACAAAAAACACAAAAATTAGTTGGGTGTGGTGGTGCACACCTGTAATCCCAGCTACTCGTGAGGCTGAGATGGGAGGATCAATTGGGCCTAGGAGGTTGACGCTGCAGTGAGCCGTAATCATACCACTGCCCTCCAGCTTGGGTGACAGAGTGAGACCATGTCTCAAACAAAAAAGAAAAAGAAAAGGGGTTTATTTAGCTCACAGGTCTGCAGGCTGTCTGTACAAGAAGTATGGCACCAGCATTGGCTTCTAGTGAGGGCTTTGGGAGGCTCTTACTCATGGCAGAAAGGGAAGGGAAACAGGTATCACAAAGCAAGAGAGAAAGAAAGAGAGAGGGAGGGGTGCCACGCTCTTTTCAATAATCGCCTCTCGTGAGAACTAATAGAGCTAGAGCTCAGTCATGACCCAGAGGAGGCCACCAAGCCTTCCTCAAAGGACCCGCCCCATGACCCAAACATCTCCCACCAGGCCACACCTCTAACACTGGAGATCAAATTTCAACATGAGATTTGGAGGGGCCAAACATCCCAAAGGTATCAGCACAGTGCTTCGAACAGAATAAGTGCTCAGTTAAAATAAAGCTATTGTGAGCAAAGACATGGAATCAACCCAAATACCCATCAGTGATAAACTGGATAAAGAAAATGTGGTACATGTATACCATGGAATACTATACAGCCATAAAAAGGAATCACATCATGTCCTTTGCAGGGATGTGGATGAAACTGGAAGCCATTATCTTCAGCAAACTAACGCAGGAACAGAAAGCCAAATACCGCATGTTCTCACTTATAGGAGGGAGCTGAACAATGACAGCACACAGGGAGGGGAACAACACAGTGGGGCCTGTTGAGGGTAGGGTTGGGGGAGGGAGAGCATCAGGACAAATAGCTAATGCATGCTGGACTTAATACCTAGGTGATGGGTTGATAGGTGCAGCAAACCACCATGGTACACGTTTACCTGTGTAACAAACCTGCACATCCTGTACCTGTACCTGTACCCCAGAACTTAAAATAAAAATAAAAGTAAATAAATAAATAATAATAAAGCTATTTTGATCACCAGAGAAGGGCGAGATTTAGAAATTTGACCATCATCAACAATGTCTCTGTTCAGTTCCTAGGGGATTCAATAAAAGTCATAGGTATCACTATATCTGTGTCAAATCAGCCATGTCAAATGCTCCTCCTTCTTTACATAAAATATCATCTCTGGTCTCGCAAAGCTGAAGATAGAAAATGTGCATGACTGGCCGGGCGCGGTGGCTCACACCTGTAATCCCAGCACTTTGGGAGGCCGAGGTGGGTGGATCATGAGATCAGGAGATCGAGACCATCCTGGCCAACATGGTGAAACCCTGCCTCTACTAAAAATACAAGAAGTAACCGGGCATGGTGGCATATGTCTGTAATCCCAGCTACTTGGGAGGCTGAGGCAGGAGAATCGCTTGAACCTGGAACTTGGAAGTGGGCCAAGGTCACGCTACTACATTCCAGCCTGGGTGACAGAGTGAGACTCGGTCTCAAAAATAAATAAATAAATAAGTAAATAAATAAATAAATAAATAGGTAAATAATCTAGCCTTGAACTCTCTACAGGTATACCTAGGAAATATTGCAGGTTCAGTTCCAGACCACTGCAATAAAACAATTATTGCTACAAAGTGAGTCACACAATTTTTTTTAGCTTCTCAGTACATAAAAATTAGGTTTACACTCTATTGTAGTCTATTAAGTGTGCAATAGCACTATGTCTAAAAAATTTACATACCTTAATTAAAAAGTACTTGATTGCTAAAAAATGCTAACGATCATCTGAGCCTTCTGTGAGTTGTAATCTTGTTGCTGGTGGGGTCTTGCCTTGATGTTGATGGCTGCTGACTGATCAGGGTGGTGGTTGCTGACGGCTGGGGTAGCTGTGGCGATTTCTTCAATAAGACAATAGTGAGATTTGCCATATCAGTTGACTCTTCCTTTCACAAAAAAATTTCTCTATACCATGCAGTGCTGTTTCATAGCACTTTACCCACAGTAGAACTTTTTTCAAAATTTGGAGTCAATATTCTCAAGCCCTGTTCCTGCTTTACCAGCTAAGTTTATAGGTTTATGCAGTATTCTAAATCCTCTGTTGTCATTTCCTTTTTTTTTTTTTAATTTTTTATTGAGACGGAGTCTCACTCTGTCACCCAGGCCTGAGTGCAGTGGTGCGATCTCGGCTCACTGCACCCTCCTTCCCCGGGTTAAAGTGATTCACTTGCCCCAGCCTCCCAAATAGCTGGCATTACAGGCGCATGCCACCACACCCAGCTAATTTTTGTATTTTTAGTAGAGTCAGGGTTTCACCATGTTGGCCAGGCTGGTCGCGAACTCCTGACCTCAAGTGATCCCCTCACCTCGGACTCCCAAAGTGCTGGGATAACAGGTGTGAGCCACTGCACCTGGCTGCTTTGTTGCCATTTCAACAGTATTCACAGCATCTTCATCAGGAGTGAATTCCATCTTAAGAGACCCCTTTCTCTGCTTATCCATAAGAAGCAACTCCTCATCTGTTCAAGTTTGATCATGAGATTGTAGCAATTTAGTCCCATCTGCAGGCTCCATTTTAATTCTATTTCTCTTGCTATTTCCACCACATCTGCAGTTCCTTCCACTGAAGCCTTGAAACCCTCCAGGTCATCCACAAGGGTTGGAATCCATTTCTTCCACACTCCTGTTCATGCTGATATTTTGACCTACTCCCATGAATCACAAATGTTCTTAATGGCATCTAGATGGTGAATCCTTTCCAAAAGGTTTTCAATTGACTTTGCCCAGATCCACCAGAGGAATCACGATTTATGGCAGCTATAGCCTTATGAAAAGCATTTCTTAAATAATAAGACTTGAAAGTTGATATTACTCTTTGATTCATGGTTAGCAAAATGGATGTTATGTTAGAAGGCATGAAAAGAACATTCATTTCCTTGTACATCTCCATCGGAGCTCTTGGGTGACCAGGTGCATTGTCAATGAGCAGGAATATTTGAGAAAAACAAACCTTTTTTTTCTAAGCTGTGGATCCTAACAGTGGGCTTAAAATATTCAACAAACTGTCTTGTAAACAGATGTGCCATCAGCTTTGCTGTTCCATTTATAGAGCACAGGCAGAGTAGATTTAGCATGATTTTTAAGGGCCCTAGAATTTTTGGAATGATAAATGAGCATCGCTTTCAACTTAGTGACAAGCTGCATCAGCCTCTCACAAGACAGTCAACCTGTCCTTTGAAGCTTTGAAGCCAGGCATTGACTTCTCTCTAGCTAGGAAAGTTCTAGATGGCATCTTCTGACATGAGACTCTTTTGTCTATATTGAAAATATATTGTTGAGTGTAGCCACTTTCATCAATGATCTTAGCTATGTCTGGATAACTTGCTGCTTAAATGTCACACTTTTATGTTATGGAGACAGTTTCTTTCCTTAAGCCTCATGAACCAACCTCTGCTAGCTTCCAACTTTTCTTCTGCAGCTTCTTCACATCTCTCAGCCTTCACAGCATTGAAGAGAGTTAGGCCCTTGCTCTGGATTAGGCTTTGGCTTAAGAACATATTATGACTGCTTAAATCTCCTATTCAGTCCACTAAAACTTCCTCCATGTCAGCAACAAAGCTGTTTCATTTTCTTATCACATGTGTGTTCACTGGAGTAGCACATTTAATTTCTTTCAAGAACTTTTCCTTCGCGTTCAGAACTTGGCTGTTTGGCACAAGAGGCCTAGATTTCAGCCTAAATCAGCTTTCAACATGCCTTCCTCACTAAGCTTCATCATTTCTAGCTTTTGATTTAAAGAGAGAGACGTGTGACATGTCTTTTCACTTGAACACTTAGCAGCTTGGATGAATTGGCTATTAACTGGCCTAATTTCAATACTGTTTTGTCTCAGGGGATAGGAAGGCCCATAGAGAGGGAGAGAGGCCGGGAAGCAGTCGGTCAGTGGAGAACTCGGAACACATACAACATTGATCAATTAAGTTCACCGTTTTACATAAGTTACCATTTCACACAGTTTGTATTGCCCCCCAAACAACTATGATGGTAACACCAAAGATAACGTGTCATAGATCATCATAACAGAGATAATAATAATGAAAAAGCTTGAAATATTGCCAGGATTACTGCAATGTGACACAGAGACATGAAATGAGCATATGCTGGTTGGAAAATAGCGCTGGTAGACTTGCTTCATGCAGGGTTGCGACAAACTTTCTTTTTATTCTATTTTATTTTAGGTTCTGGGATACATGTGCAGGATGTGCCGGTTTGTTTCATAGGTAAATGTGTACCATGGTGGTTTGCTGTACCTAACAACCCATCACCTAGGTTTTTTTGTTTGCTTTTTGTTTGTTTGTTTGTTTGTTTTGAGATGGACTTTAGCTCTTGTTGCCCAGGCTGGAGTGCAATGGCACAATCTCGGCTCACCGCAACCTCCACCTCCCAGGTTCAAGTGATTCTCCTGCCTCAGCCTCCCGAGTAGCTGGGATTACAGGCATGCGCCACCATGCCTGGCTAATTTTGTATTTCTAGTAGAGACTGAGTTTCTCCATTTTGGTCAGGCTGGTCTCGAACTCCCGACCTCAGGTAATCCATCCGCCTTGGACTTCCAAAGTGCTGGGATTATAGGCGTGACCCACTGTGCACGGCCACCTAGGTATTAAGCCCAGCATGCATTAACTATTTTTCCTAATGCTTTCCCTCCCCCTACTCCACCCCCCAACAGGCCCCAGTGTGTGTTGTTCCCCTCCCTGTGTCCATGTGATCTCATTGTTCAGCTCCCACTTATAAGTGAGAACATGTGGTGTTTGGTTTTCTGTTCCTGCATTAGTTTGCTGAGGATAATGGCTTCCAGCTCCATCCATGTCCCTGCAAACCTAATTTATCACATAAACAGAACCAAAGATAAAACCTCATGATTATCTCAATAGACTCAGAAAAGGCCTTTGATAAAATTCAGCATGGCTTCCTGTTAAAAACTCTCTATAAAGTAGATATCGATGGAACATACCTAAAAATATTAACAGCCATTTGTGACAAACCCACAACCAGTATCATACTGAATGGGCAAAAGCTGGAAGCTATCTCCTTGAAAACCGGCACAAGACAAGGATGCCCTCTCTTACCACTCCTTTTCAACATAGTATTGGAAGTTCTGGCCAGGGCAATCAGGCAAGAGAAAGAAATAACGTGTATTCAAATAGGAAGAGAGGAAGTCAAACTGTCTCTGTTTGCAGATGACACGATCTTATATCTAGAAAACCCCATTGTCTCAGCCCAAAAGCATCTTAAGCTGATAAGCAACTTCCACAAAGTCTCAAGACACAAAATCAATGTGCAAAAATCACAGGCATTCTTATACACCAATTTCAACAGACAAACAGAGAGTCAAATCATGAGTGAACTCCCATTCGCAATTGCTACAAACAGAATAAAATACTTAGGAATACAGCTAACAAGGGAAGTGAAGGACCTCTTCATGGAGAATTACAAACCACTGCTCAAGGAAATCAGCAAGGTGACAAACTTTCAATTTGTAAAAACTGCAATCTCTGCAAAGTGCAATAAAGTGACATGCAATGAAACAAGATGTGCCTGTGTTCAAACATAATTCCAGCAATCCCTCTTGAGCCCCCTGCTGCAGCCCAGCTGATCTGGTCAGAGCACACCATCCTAAAACTCACCTGATGCACAAGACCCTTCCTCTCTCTTTTTAGTAGCACAGTTCCTCCTGCCTGGAGGCTCTTGCTTCTCTTCTCTTCTCTTCTCTTCTCTTCTCTTCTCTTCTCTTCTCTTTGCTTATCTTCACTTCACTTCTCTTCTCTTCTCTTTTCTTCTCTTCTTTCAGGAATATGTTCATCTCCAGCTTCCTTCATAGAGCCAGTCCTGACCACTCTGCCCTACAAAACCCCTCCTTTCCCTCAAAAGAGTGTTGTCCACCTGCTGATCTTGGTTGGCATGAACATGCTTCCCTCTCGATGCTGGGTGACATTTCACAAGTTTATGGAACTTCAACATTAATTTATTATTGTTATTATTATTGAGGCTAGGCGCGGTGCCTCATGCTTGTAATCCCAGTGCTTTGGGAGCCCTGGAGGGGAGAAGTATTTAAGGCCAGGAATTAGAGACCAGGCTGGGCAACATAGCGAGACCCCATCACTACAAAAAATTTTAAAAAGTAGCTGGGCATGGTGGTGCACTCCTATAGTCCCAGATGGGATTTATGAGGCAAGCAGGTGGGTGGCCAGAAGACCTCTAGGAGGCACCCTCCAGAGAGGGAAGGAGATGGAAAGTGAGGCAAGCAGTTCCATCCATTTCATAGATTGACCTGAACTTAAACAATCTGATGTCATCCCCATGTAAGGGTGGGAGCAGACAGGACAGGTGTCCTGTTTGGGAGGCTAAGGTGGGAGGATTACCAGACCCCAGGAGTTTGAGGCTGCAGTGACCCATGATTGCACCACTGCACTCCAGCCCAGCAATAGAGCAAGATCCTATCTCAAAAAAAAAAAAAAATTATTGACATCTCCTAAGGGCAAGATACCCTGCAGAGACGTGAAGGCATAATCGCACCCTTCAAGGCATTCGTAATCTGGCAAGGAAGATAGGTTCACAACCCCAAACTCAGAAGATAGCTGAATACAAGAACTGTTCCTTAGTTGTATGAGTAATGTGTGAATGGGTAAAAGATAAGAAATTCTGACACCTACTTCTCCTGTCAGGCTGAATACTCCTACTAATGAAGCAGGTAGGGCACTGGACACAAACCCACAATGTATTCAGAAAGCCACTGTAGAATTATTCCTGAGGTTTATCCTATTAGTACAGCGATTTCTTTTTGCTTTTCTTTAGAAATTGTCCACTTGGAAGGCACACGTATGTCTTCCTAAGGGGGCGCAGTAGAGGATAGTTCCATTGATAGGAAGAGAGGAGGCTCAAAAAGATGGAACATGGCACCTGGAAATGGGTGGCCAGAAGAGCTCTAGGAGGCTCCACCCAGAGAGGGAAGGAGATGGGATGTGAGGCAAGCAGTTCCATCCTTTTCGTAGGCTGACCTGAGCTTGAACAAGCTGGTGTCATCCCCAAGTAAGGGTGGAAGTAGACAGGGCAGGTGTCCAAGGTTTCTAGCAAGCTTGACAGTGAAACTGATGCCAAATGTCAGGGCAGAAAAAGCTGCTATCTGGGGTCAGACAGGCTTGAAAGTCAAGGCAGTAGGGTCTTAAATGGGATGGCTGTGGATGGTCAGGACGGGTGCACAGAGAGGAACCCATTCACCTGCAGGCAGAGGCTGCCCTCTTCCTGCCTGGGGAAGTTCTCTGCACTTATGAAGACATGCTTCTGAAGCCAGAAGACAATCTCAGTTGGGCCTGAGACCCCAGTAAAATGGTTCCCACCAAAGTCCTGACAATGCTGCCCTGTCCTTTCATGGACACCAAATGACTCCCAACTTTAAAGGGACAAAATATGCCTGGAATACTCAGACGCCTTCAGTCCCTGGCATGCAGTGGTCAGAGCTGGTTAATTCATTGCCGTTGTTTAGTACATCATCAGCTGCAGGTCTTCCAGAGTGTCTTCAAAAATCAGTTTCTATCTGAACCTGGCATTTGAGCCCAGTCATCCCTAGACAATATGGTAAACTGAGAGAAGTTGAAGAAGTTGGTTGCAATGACCCTCAGGACCACTTTCCCGTCACTTGATCACTTTCCTGTGGATTCAGGATTCCCACCCCCACCTACATACATGGAGATGTCCCTTTTATGTCTCTGCTAACCACTTACCTATAATAAGCTAGAAATAAACCCTGTCAACCTTTTCAGGAATGAGGAGAGGGAGTACAGCATTGCAGTTAAGTGAACTAACCATGGCATCAGACCACCTGCCTTGAATCTAGCTTCTGTTACTTATTTGCTGTGTGACTTTGGACAAGTTGCTTCACTTCTCTGTGCATGTTTCTATCAATAAAATAATAATGACAATAACAGTCACCACTCATAAGTTTGTCATAAAGATTACATTAAATCTATGTAAAATTCTTATGTCATTAGGGCCGGAAAAATAATAGCTATTGTTATTTGCTTTTTAAAAAAATGCAGGCAGCACTTTGTTCCAGGAAATGAGTTTTCCAGAGGTAAATGCCACACACTGAAGCAACCAAGTGGTCAATGGTGCGCAGCAGAACCAAAAATGCCAAACCTCTCCATGTCTATCACATAGACCTCCAGTCCTCCGCATCCCTGAGTAGAACTGGCATTGCCTGTGGGTTTAACTTTATCAGTTCTGCAATCCAACCCGCCTTCTTCATCTTTATTATTCTCTATGGTGATGTGATATCTTCATTCCTTTCCTCTATATAAATATCATTTCTGTTTTCTGTATTTACTACTCAAATTGATGCATTACACCACAAGCTGTATATTTATCTTCATTCTGAAGGGGTAATAGATCTTTTTTTTTCTTTTTTTCATAATTCAGTAATTTGGTTTTCTATACAAAGCAATTCAGGTTTCTATTCCTGAGGGAAAGGAAAAAAAAAAAAAGAAACAAGCAAATAGCGCTGTCTCAGTATGGAGAGAATAAAACCAAAACAGAGAGACACAGTTTGATGCAGAAGCCCTGAGGGTGAGAGAGAGTGCAATTTCAAAGGGACAAATTATCCTCACAGACATCCGAGGTCTTTCACACCATTTGAATCTCACACAACTATTATTGGCAGGGTCTGGTTAGAGCAAGAAGACAGTTAACAGGTCTGAACAGGGGGCTGTAAACAAGCCAAGAGTCTTATCTTCCAGATGCTCATGGAAGCCAGAAGAAAAAAGGCTGTCTGGAATTTGTATCAAGAGCTGGAGGGCACCCAACAGTGAAGGGGACAACTGCACACAGGAGAGCAGGAGGGAATCATCACTCTCTTGGCTGCTGGTGAGGTGAATCCTAACTTTTCTCCACTTGCAGTTAGTGGAATTGAATTTCAGTCAGAGCCAAGCAATTATCATGGGGAACTAATCAGTTAGTTGTATAGACTGTGCCAGAGAGGCAGCAGAGCAGAGTGGCTTTATGTTCAGGCTCTGAACCCAGACACTGGGCTCAGATCCTGGGGCCGCCACTCTGCAGGCTCTGAACTCAGAAAACTCTGGGCTCAGATCCTGGGGCTGCCAGTCTGCAGTCTCTGAACTCAGAAAACTCTGGGCTCATATCTGGAGGCTGCTGCCCTGCACCTGGGTGCCATTGAGCAAACGCTTCTCTGAGCCTGTTTCCACATGTATAAAACAGAAATGGCAAGGGTACCTACCTCAAAGGGATGCAGTGGTATCACAGTAAAGTGAGTTTATCTATAGCAAATCCTCAACATAGGGCCTGGCACATGGTAAACACTGAGTACATATTAGCAATTTTTTTTTTTTTGAGATGGAGTCCTCGCTCTGTTGCCAGGCTGGAGTGCAGTGGCTCAATCTCAGCTCACTGCAATCTCCAACTCTCTGGTTCAAGTGATTCTCTTGCCTCAGCCTCCCAAGTAACTGGGACTACAGGCACGTACCACCACCCCCAGCTAATTTTTGTATTTTTAGTAGAGACAGGGTTTCACCATGTTGGCCAAGATGGTCTCGATCTCTTGACCTCATGATCCGCCTGCCTCGGCCTCCCAAAGTGCTGGGATTACAGGCGTGAGCCACCACACCTGGCCTATATTAGCATTTTTTAATAGCTGTCTTACAGAAGAAAACTTGGTTTGTATCCCGTTTCACTAACAGCAACCAATACAACAATCTTAAAAACTTCATGTTAATCCTATAAATCTAACTGCAATTAACTCTGTGCCCCACATGCTAAACCTATAATTATTTCTGTGCTAGATCTCTCTAGGTTCTGTGGGTGAAGGTGAAGGTGCTATAAAGCAATGCCCTTAAGATTCTTAGCAGCCTTTTATAGTAGGCACTGTCCAAAATTTTTCTGAACTCTGAGCAAATGGTCTTACACTCACTCCCTCGATTTGGACCTATCCTAAGGCCAGATCTTAGTTTGAGAAACTTTTAACACACCAGGGATGAAGTGTTAATAATTTTATTTTTCAACCTAGCAGAGGCTAGGCCTTCTATATTTTCTGTAAATTCTGCTTAAAAACAAAACATTTTATTCCTTAGTTTCTCTGTCTTCCTGTATCTTATCATATGCAGATATAATTAATTAATTGATTAACTAAAGCAACTGATTCTTTCAACATTGCCGTTAAAAACTTTCTTAGCCAGCATTTCAAGCACACATGGTACATTTTCTCTCTCCCAGGATAACCATTTTGTCTCCCCAAGGTAATCGTTCCTGTACTATGTAGCATGGGTTGCCCTTTCTCCAGACTCCAGCCACTCTTCCAGCATCCACTAACAGTACTCACACTACAGTCTTCACCCACAGGAATCTTTAAATGGAATGGCTGTGGATGGCCAGGGTGGGTGTACAGGGAGGAGCCTATTCACCTGCAGGCAGAGGCTGCGCTCACCCCTGAGGGCTTCCTGCCTGGGGAAGTTCCCTGCACTTGTGAAGACATGCTTCTGAAGCCAGAAGACGATCTCAATGGGGCCTGAGACTCCAGTAAAATGGTTCCCACCAAAGTCCTGACAATGTTGCCCTGTCCTTTCATGGACACCAAGTGACTCCCAACTTTAAAGGGACAAAATGCCTGGAATACTCAGACGCCTTCAGTCCCTGGCATGCGGTGGTCATAGCTGGTTAATTCATAGCCATTGTTTAGTACATCATCAGCTGCAGGTCTTCCAGAGTGTGTTCAAAAATCAGTTTCTATCTGAACCTGGCATTCGAACCCAGTTGCTCCTAAACGATATGGTAAACTGAGAGAAGTTGAACAGATTCCAAAGCAATGCTATATATTTAATTTTTCTTTTCTTTTTTTTTTTTTTTTTTTTTTTGAGAGATGGAGTCTTGCTCTGTCGCCCAGGCTGGAGTGCAGTGGCATGATCTTGGCTCACTGCAACCTCCGCCTTCCAGGTTCAAGCAATTCTCCTGCCTCAGCCTCCAGAGTAGCTGGGACTACAGGCACACACTGCCATACCCTGCTAATTTCTTTTGTATTTTAGCAGAGATGGGGTTTCACACTGTTGCCCAGGCTGGTCTCGAACTCCTGAGCTCAGGCAATCCACCGGCCTCGGCCTCCCAAAGTGCTAGGATTATGGGCATGAGACACCGCGCCTGACATATTTTAAATTTTTCTTGTGGCAGCAGCCCATTTGTCTTTAGGTGTCGATTATCCCAAACGTAAGAGCTTAAAATTCTAGTGGTTTATTCTTTCTCATGATTCTTCATGATTTCACAAAATCACAATGAGCTTGCCTGTGCCATACCTTTGCTAATTTCTCCTGCGTTCCCTCACTCATGTGGTTGCCTCCACTGGAGGACTGGATGGCTGGAAGGTCAAAGATTCAAAGATGCCTCACTCATACATCTGGCAGTTCTTGTTGGCTGCTGGTTGGCGTGCTGCTGTGCTCTTTGTGGTTTCTTATCTCCCAAGAGGTTAGACTGGGCTTTCGCATAGCATGGTGACCTCAGTGACCCAAAAGAGTGAAGGCAAAATCCACAAGGCCTATTAAGATATAGCTTTGAGAGTCCCCAGTGTCATTTCCATCATATTTCTTTCTCATTAATTGTTTTGAGACAGGGTCTCACTCCGTCACCCAGGCTGGAGTGCAGTGGTGCAATCCTAGCTCACTGCAGCCTCAAACTCCTGGCTCAAGCAAGCCTCTTGCCTCAGCCTCCCAGTAGCTGAGACTCCAGGCATGCGCCACCATGCCTGGCTAATTTTTGTTTGTTTGTTTGTTTTTTGTAGAGACAGGGTCTTGCTGTGTTGCCCAATCTAGTCTTGGACTTCTGGCCTCAAGCAATCCTCACACCTCTGCCTCCCAAAGTGCTGTGATGGCAGGGATGAACCACCAAACCCAGCTGTTTCCATCATATTCTAATGGCCAAAGTCAATCATAGAGCCATCCCAGATTCAAGGGGAGAGAAAACAGTCTTCACCTCTCAATGAAAGGAGGGGCAAAGTCACATTTCAGAGAAGTATGTGAGAGGGTGCTGATTACAAATAATCTTCCAGAAGGTTTGTCACTGTCTCAGGCCTTAGTTTATTCTCATGTTGAATGAGAATAATTTGCAGAATTTGGTATTCTGTGGCTCTCAGGATGATGATGAAATCAAGTGATCACAAACAGAGCCCATAAATAATTCACTTTTCCTCTGTGTAGAAGTGGCCATCAGTCCCCTAAAGCCAGGTTCTTTCCTCCTTTTCTTTCTTAAGAAAATCCTCGGGCCGGGCATGGTGGCTCACGCCTGTAATCCCAGCACTTTTGGAGGCCTAGGCGGGGGGATCACGAGGTCAGGAGTTCAAGACCAGGCTAGCCAACACGGTGAAACTCCGTCTCTACTGAAAATACAAAAATTAGCCTGGTGTGGTGGCAGGCATCTGTAACCCCAGCTACTCGAGAGGCAGGAGAATTACTTGAACCCGGGAGGCGGAGGTTGCGGTGAGTTGAGATCATGCCACTGCACTCCAGCCTAGGTGACAGAGCAAGACTCTGTCTCTAAAATAAATAAATAAATAAATAAATAAATAAATAAAAAGTAAATAAACATTTATTTGATGAAAGCCACAATATGGAGCATTTTGTCAATATTTGTTAATTGGGCAATATGTGCCTCAACTTGGCCTTTGCTTCCAGAGTTTTTACACAGAGGGTGAATCAGAGATGCTGTCAGGCAGCTCCACTGAGCAACTGCTTCTCTAGCTCAGCTCTGAGCAATGCCTGAGGGCTGCAACCAGGTGCTCTGGTGCCCAGGTGCAGCGTTTACAGGAAGAAGGAGGAGCAGAGAAGGGGATCATGAACCACACACAAAAAAGCAGCTCCAGGCAAGAAACCTTTGTTTCTCACTTACCAGAAGATCATGGTGCCCATTATTAGGACTCAGAATAAGCATCAGACTTGGGGAGTAAGATTCGAGTGTAAGCACCCTTAGGAGGCTAATGCCAAGGAGCATACGGAGGGCCCTTCGGGAGGGGTCATGGACATGGCTCTTACAGGACTGAGAGCTCAGTGTTTGTACCTGGGTTACACCACCCCACTTCCTGGACATCAAGAAAGGGGACCCCCGTTCACCAAAGCTCACAAAGCAGGGAGAACCAAATGTCTTCACTTCATTAAAAAATATGTTTTAAGTTTTTGGTCTATGTTTATGTATATATGTTGGAGGTTAGGTAGACATTGGGGAAGACATTAAACTCAATAATACAATATAGGCTCTGCACATTGGAGAAATATACAGTCAGGGTTTCCTCTGTGGTTTTACAATAGTGTGAATTCCAAATCATTCATTCATCCCTTCAAACAATATTGAGTGTATTTCAGCTTATTCATTCATTCAAACACTATCTACTGAGCATATTCCACCTCATCCAGTTATTCATTCAAACATTATTTATTGAGCATATCTCAGCTCACTTATTTGTTAATTCAAACAATATTTATTGAGTGTATTTCAGCTAATTCATTCATTCATTCATTCAAACACTATCTACCGACCGTATCCCACCTCATTCATTCATTCATTCAAACAATATTTATTGAGAGAATTCCAGTTCATTCATTAAAGCAATATTTATTGAATGTATTTCAGCTCATTCATTCATTCAAACACTATCTACTGAGCATATCTCAACTTATTCATTCATTCATTTAAACAATATTTATTGAGCGTATTCCAGCTCATTCATTCAAACAATATTTGTTCAGCATAGTTCAGCTCATTCATTCATACAAACAATATTTATTGAGTGTACTTCAGCTCACTCATTCATTTGTTCAAACAATACCAATTGAGAGTATTCCAGCTCATTCATTCATTCATCCAACCAAACAGCATTTACTGGGCATGTGAGTAGCCATTGGGAATACTAAAGTAGATCAGGCAAGCACCGTCCCTGCCTCATGGTGCTTCCATTCCCAAGGACCCAGACAACAAACAGATGATGGATAAATATGGTGAACACATCATCATAAACAGCAATCAGTGCTCTGGGGGGAATCAACTGAGAATGAGATACAGGATGTGCAGGGTGGAATGGGGAGGGATCTGAAGAGCTCTCTGAAGAGCTCTCTCAAGAGGAAGGGAAGCTGAAGATTGCCAGGGACATGCATGCAAGGAGAAAGTGAAAAGTGATTCCTGCAGAGAGACCACCTGAGGAGGGAGAGAGAGGGTGGGGCTAGAGCCCATGAGCAGGACAGCAATTTCCTCTGCTGCTGTGAAGTCGAAGCCCTCTAGGATCCAGCCCCCACTCCAGGGACCTTCTTCTACTGTACCCCAACACCCATGCTCAGCTCTAGCCACCAGATGTCCTGGCTGCCCCTGCACCCCCTTCCTCCCTGCCCCAGGGTCTTTGACTCTGCACTTTGCCCTGAGTGGTGCCATCCTAGCATTCCCACCCTATAAATCCAATGCTCAGGCCTCCTTCCCATCCAGGTACCAACCAGACTGATCCTGCTTAGCTTCTGAGATCAGACAAGATCGGGTGTGTTCAGGTGGTGTGGATGGCTGTAGACATATTCAGGCCTCTTTTAAAGCTCATGCAAAGGCCTGTTTTTCAACACCTCCTAGTCTTACGTCTACGCTCTGACTAGAAGCAATCTTGAGCCGAGTGCAGTGGCTCGCGCCTGTAATCCCAGCACTTTGGGAGGCTGATGTGGGCCAATCACTTGAGGTCAGGAGTTTGAGACCAGCCTGGCCAATATGGTAAAACCGTGTCTCTACTAAAAATACAAATATTAGCCAGAAGTGGTAGCGGGTGCCTATAATCCCAGCTACTAGGGAGGCTGAGGCAGGAGAATCACTTGAACCTGGGAGGCCAAGGTTGCAGTGAGCTGAGATCGTGCCATTGCACTCCAACCTGGGCATCACAGCAAGACTTCATCTCCAAAAAAAAAAAGAAGCAATCTTGACCTCTTCTATGTTTATGTGTAAATATTGTACAATTTAACCCTTCAATAACATGGATTTGAACTATGCAGGCCCACTTATACACAGATTGTTTTACATAAATATACTGGAAAAGTTTTTGGAAATTTGCAACAATTTGAAAAAACTTGCAGACAAATGCATAGCCTAGAAATATCAAAAAAAAAAAAAAAAAGAAACAGGTATGTTGGGAATGCATAAAATATTTGCAGATACTAGTGTAATTATCTTTTTTGTTGTTTGTTTTTTGAGATGGAGTCCTGCCGTGTCATCCAGGCTGGAGTGCAGTGGCATGATCTCAGTTCACTGCAACCTCCGACTCCCAGGTTCAAGTGATTCTCCTGCCTCAGCCTCCCAAGTAGCTGGGATTACAGGCACACACGACCAAGCCCGGCTAATTTTTTGTATTTTTAGTAGAGATGGGGTTTCACCATGTTGGTCAGGTTGGTCTCAAACTCCTGACCTCAGATGATCCACCTGCCTTGGCCTCCCAAAATGCTGGGATTACAGGCGTGAGCCACTGCACCTAGCCTAGTGTATTTATCTTTTCACCTACGTTATTGGTAAGGCTTCCAGTCAATAGTGGGTGTATCAGTCCGTTCTTGCACTGCTATAAATAATTACCTGAGACTTGGTAACTCATAAAGAAAAGAGTTTTAATTGGCTCACAGTTCTGCAGGCTGTACAAGAAGCATGACTCAGCAAATTTACAATCATGGCCGGAAGGTGAAGGAGAAGCAGGCACATCTTAAATGGCCAGAACAGGACGGAGAGAGAGAGAGCAGAGGTGCCACACACTTTTAAACAACCAGATCTCAGGACAACTCACTCACTATCAGGAGAACGGCTCCAAAGGGGAAATCAGCCCCCATGATCCAATCACCTACCCCCAGACCCCCTTCCAACATTGGGGATTACCATTTGACATAAAATTTGGGTGAGGACACAGACCCAAATCATATCAGTAGGCTATTAGTAAAGTTGTGGGCTGGGATGAGGGGTTTCAAATGTTTTTGACTGCATGGGACTCCATGCCCCTAACTCCTTTCTGCATTGTTCAAGAGTCAACTGTAGGGTGGGTGAGGTGGCTCAAGCCTGTAATCCCAGCACTTTGGGAGGCCGAGGCAGGTGGATCATTTGAGGTCAGGCGTTCAAGACCAGCCTGGCCAACATGGCGAAGCCTTGTCTCTACTAAAAATACAAAAAAGTAGTCAGGCGCTGTGGCATGCACCTCTAGTCCCAGCTACTCTGGAGGCCGAAGCATGAGAATGGCTTGAATCCAGGAGGTGGAGGTTGTGGTAAGCCGAGTGCCACTGCACTCCAGCCTGGGTGACAGAGCAAGACTGTCTCAAAAAAAAAAAAAAAAGTCAACTGTACAACTGTATGTATCTGTCTCTATCTCTAAATTATATTATTTCGAAGCCAAATAAACTTTAAGAATGATCTATTTTAACCTCCTCCTTTTACAGATCAGGGGTTAGGTCCTAAAGTTTTAGGAGACTTGCTGAAGGTTACTTGGCTGAGATTTGAACCCAACAGGACACCTGCCCTATGATGGCTTAGGGTGCCCCTAGAGGTGAGTATTACAGGACTTAGATGACTTGTATTTACAAGATAAGCATGTTCAATTCAGGCTCCAGATGCCTCAATATTCACTCCAAGGAGGGATCCCTTCTCAAAGCCTTTTTCCCCTCCTCTCACGTTCACACCTGCTACCAGGACACCAATGTCACCACATTGGTTTATACATCCTTGTATTCCCCACAGTACTTAGAAATGGAAGTTGCTCAATAAATGTTTGTAAATGAACGAATGGTTGAGTGGGACACGAATAACGGGACTTCGCAGGGAGGTCCAGAGGGAATAAAGATTTACCTAACAATTTATGTCGCTCTTGACATGCCATGCTTTTTTCCTTGCCCAGGAGTCCGATAGCACAAATACATGCCTTGCCATGAAAAATTCACAACCGCGCATTAGTCAGATACCCTGGTGACATGACTTGCAAACTGGAAAGCCAAGGTCACAGCCGAAGCTGATGTAAATCAAATGTGTCTTAAACACAGCATCTTCCCATTGGGAAATCTGACCCATTTACTGTGCTCCCTCAAGGGAAGAGGCTACTTGGCACACCTCCCACTTAAAGAGAGAGAATGCCTGACACTCAGTGTGTCTGATGCCACCTTCCAGCCTTGGCCACCAGCCCCGAAGTCTCCATCTCCCCTGCCCCCAAGGCAGACCTTGTCATCCACACAGTGCATTAGGCAATTGCAGAAGGAGATAGAAAAAGCTTTAGAACTGCATTTCCCAAACTGTTCCATGTGATACTTCCAGGCGTTTGACAAATACCTGTTCCGTGGTCAAATCATTTGGGGAAGCCATGTGTCCTATATCCTATTCTTGAGGGTTTCATAAAGCATCCCTGAAGAATCCTGCAGGAAACAAACCTGTTTGATTTTGCTTAACCCAAGGTTTCCCCGTCATTTTGATAAGAAACCCTTTTATCCCAGGCAACAGCAACTCTGTGGCACTTTTGGCTCTGTGGTTATTGCTACTTACAGCTATAGAGGCTATTCAGGGTCCTTATGCCAACCTGCCTTCATACTTCCTGGGGCCCTTAAGAGAGAGAAGATTAACAGGAGAGCATCACCAGCATGGGAGAGCAGTGATTCAGCTTTGCTTTGCCACAGTGTCAAGGAGAAAAATCTGCATCCAGCCTTCTTGTTCACTCAGGTCCTCAGGTGCCTGCCCAGTGCCCCCAGGACTTAGGGGCTGTCAAGGAAAAAAGAAATCTGGACTTAGCAAGAAGAGACTTCTGTTCAAAAGGGTTATTGCACACTGTGTTGGGCAGGAAGGTAGGAAAAGGACTCTTGCAATGGGGGCAGGAGACTATTCCACTAGGAGGAGGAAGAGGACAATCGCAATAGGAGTAGGGGGACTATTGCAACAGGAAGAACACTCTGACCATAAAATCCACACAGTTCCAGAGTTAGTCTACAGGCAGTAATAAATGCTGGCCAAGATGTGGAGAAAAGGAAACTCTTGCACACTTCTTGTGAGAGTGTAAATTAGTACAACCACTATGGAGAACAGTTTGGAGGTTCCTCAAATCTAAGAACTGATCTACCATATGATCCAGCAATCCCACTGCCAGGTATACACCCAAAAGAAAAGAAATCAGTATTTGGAAGAGATATCTACACTCTTTTGTTTATTGCAGCATTATTGACAATAGCCAAGATGTGGAAGCAACCTAAATGTCCATCAACAGACGAATGGATAAAGAAAATGTGGTACATATACACAACGGAATACTATTCAGCCTTAAAAAAAGAATGAGATCCTGTTATTTGCAACAACATGGATGAACTGGAGGTCATTATGTTAAGTGAAATAAGCCAGGCACAGAAAGACAAACTTTGCATGTTCTCACTTATTTGTGAGAGCTAAAAATTAAAACAATTGAATTCATGGAAAGAGAGTAGAAGGGTGGTTAGCAGGGGCTGGAAATGGTAGTGGGGGTGGTGGGGGTGGCGCATGTTGAAGGGGTTTGAGGGTGGTTAATGGGTATAAAAATATAGTTAAACAAAATGAATAAGACCTACTATTTGACAGCACAACTGGGTGACTACAGTCAACAATAATTTTTTCTATATCTTTAAATAACTAAAAGAGTATAATTGGTTTGTTTGTAACACAAAGGAAGGATAAATACTTGAAGTGATGGATACCCCACTTACCCTAATATGATTATTACGCATTGTATGTCTGTATCAAAATACTTCATGTACCCTATCAATATATGCACCCACTAAGTACCTATAAAAATTGTTAAGGCCAGGCGCGGTGGCTCTCCCAGTGGCAGAGGTGCAGAGGATACAGTAGAATAAAGCCAGACAAGATCTCTGCTTTTGCAGTGCTTTAGTGAATTGTCTTTCATAATGAATTTCTAACTGCCTGCCTTTGAGCAAGTCCTCTTTGTACTAGGAGATCTAGAGAGCCTGATAATGATAGTGAAGATGACAATGTCAGCTTACATTTATTGAGCACGTACTATATCCCAGGCATTGTTCTAAGTGCTTTGCATGTATTAGCTTACTGAACCCTCAGAAAATCTCCAGTTTGTCATGGCACTAAGAGGCTACATTTGGCTCAGATTACCCTCTCCCTCAAACATGGGAAGTGTCATCCATCCAACGTGGGTGGATCACCTGAGGTCAGCAGTTCAAGACCTGTCTGGTCAACATGGTAAAACCCCGTCTCTACTAAAAATACAAAAATTAGCCAGGCATGGTGCCGGGTGCTTCTAATCCCAGCTACTCAGGAGACTGAAACAGGAGAATCACTTGAACCCGGGTGGCAGAGATTGCGATGAGCCGAGATTGCACCACTGCACTCCAGCCTGTGCAACAGAGTGAGACTCTGTCTCAAAAATAAATAAATAAATAAATAAATAAATAAATAAATAAATAAATAAGGATTAGGCAAAAGTGCCTCCTTTCACAGAGAAAGATAAGCAAAGCTAGAGAAAAGTAGGAATGAGGAAGTGGGATGAAAGGGTAACATAATCAGATAACGGATCCAAGAATATTTCACCCTGAAGCCAGCCTGTTCTCAAGAGTGTATGCTAGCTCAGGCTCAGGGTTGGCCAGAGATCGGGGGAGCCTTGAAGATGGGAGCCATGCAGGAAGGATGGTAGAAAAGGAAAACAGAACAAACTTCCAGCCAGCCCAGAACTACTACCTCCATGCTTCTATTTCTTTAGAAAAATAAATGAATACATTGCTTTTTCATTAAGCAATTGTAACTTCCAGTCTCTGTTGGCTCTGCCCGATGCAATTTCTGATACACAGGCAAGTGGAAACAGAAACGGTCGAAATCGGGGATACTAAAAATACTTTCTGCTATTATCGTCTGAAAATCTTTCCTTGCACCCCAAGGCCAAGCTCACTAAGTACAATACTTTTTAGAGGTAAATTCTACCAAGAACTCCTCCTCCAGACCTGTGTCGTGGTCCACAGGGCCCACGGGCAGGGCTAGGTGCTGAAATGCTCTTCAAACTCCTTTTCCTAAGAGCTGAGGATAGAGTGTGACAGCTGCAGGTGTGAGCCAAATGGTCCCAAGGGCTTTGCCTTGCTGATACCACTAAGTGCCAAGTTCTCAGAGAAGTGCTGCTTGCAGCTATGGCTCCTGGGGAAAACAAAGAGAAATTCACAAAGAGAGAAGGCACTTAATTGAAATTCACTCACCCAGGAAGAAAATGACGGAATTCAGCCAGGCGCGGTGGCTCACGCCTGTAATCCCAGCACTTTGGGAGGCCGAGGCAGGCAGATCGCTTGAGGTCAGGAGCTCCAGACCAGCCTGGCCAACATGGTGAAACCCCATCTCTACTAAAAATACAAAAACTAGGTGGGCGTGGTGGCACAGACCTATAGTTCCAGCTACTCGGGAGGCTGAGGCAGGAGAATCACTTGAACCCATGAGGCGAAGGCTACAGTGAGCCAAGATGTCATGACTGCACTCCGGCCTGAGCAGCAGAGGAAGACTCTGTCTCAAAAAAAGAGAAAAAGGAAGGAAGGAAGGAAGGAAGAAAGAAAAAGAAAGAAAGGAAAGAAAGAGAAAGAAAGAAAGAAAGAAAGAAAGAAAGAAAGAAAGAAAGAAAGAAAGAAAGAAAGAAAGAAAGAGAAAGGAAGGAAGAAAGAAGGAAAGGAAGGAAGGAAGGAAGGAAAAAGGAAAGAAAAGAAAATGATGTACAAACAGGTAACTGTACCCAGGTGAGGTGAGAGTCACTCTCAGCCCACTTGGCTGCCTGCCTCCAGCCTCCTAGCTAAAGGAACAGAGAGAGGAACTGTGAAAAGATGTGGTGTGAGCAACTCCTCTGGAACTGGAGCCCATATGATTGAGGTGCTGTGTTCTAAGCCTGCTCTCCACTGCCAATCATTCACAGCGAGCAAAGGAGCCCAATGTGATGGTTAAGACCAAAGGTCCCCAGGTTGAGCCTCTGACTCACCATTCATAACCTGTGTCACTTTGGATGAGTTACTTAACCCTCTGTGTACCGTGCACTTGATCTGCAAAATAAGGATGATAGTGTACTCATCTCATATTGTGGGTGGAAAAGAGTTACTTAGTAGAGGACATTAAGAACAGTGTCTGGCACATAGAAAGTCCCCAATAAATGCTAACCGTTATTATTCAGAGACACGTCTCCCTGACCTCTTTAACTAATTGGCACATCGAAACGTATTTGCTTCTCCTGATTAGAAGAATTGTGAGAAAATCGAAAGGCATCAAACTTTCCTTCTGTCATTACTGCAAACTCTCTGGATAAGTTGCTTAGGGGTTAGTCTATGAGCCTTCGTTTTCTTACCTGCAAAACAAAAAGGTTGACCTAGATCATTATCACACAGAATCTTTTGAGCTTAAAACTTCTCACTGTTGCTCCATTTTCTCATAGCCAGGGATGGGAGGGAAAAAGCCAGAGTGTGCATACAAATGCTCCACCTGGCTCCTTCACAAAAGAGTCTGCACCTGCTGTGTTTTCCCAGGTGCACAGGAAAATGGTAGGTCACAAAAAAAGGGAAGAGAATGTGCTAGAAGAATCTGGCATCTCTCTCTCTCACACACACACACACACACACACACACTTCCATATAAGCTCTGCACAACTTGCTTCCTTCAATGTTAAGCATTATCAGTGTAGAAGTCATGTCTGGTTTGTTTGTCTTGCTAGCCCCAGAGCCTGGCACAAGGCCTGGAATTGCATAGGTGCTCAGTCAATATTTATTGAGTAAATGAGGCACAGGAGGTCCAGTTTGCAAAGCTCCATCACTCTGCAAGTCTAACAGCCTCAAGAGGTTATGTGGTCCTGTTTGTTGTCACTGCAGTTCCAGATCCACCCTATAGATTCTATAGCCTCTCTTCTTTGGGGACAGAGTCTTCGTGAACTTTTAGGCAGCATGTGACAGCAGAAGAAGCACCAGCCAGGGGTTCAGGGTTCCTGATTTCTAGTCTCTGTTACAGTGGGTGGCTAGTCAGGCATAAGCAGGGCAGGAGAGGGCTTTCCCAGCCCCACCAGGAATGTGAGGCAGCCATCAGGTGATGGTCAGGCAGTTGTTAATGAGCTCTCTAAAATAATAATTGGTCGCAGCTGGCGCCAGGGAGAGGCCGTCTCCCAACAGATAGAAACACCTGAAACTGGTAATCAGAAGCTTCCTGATAACATCTCAGGAGTTGGGCAAGTGGGCTCATGCATGCATATTAAGAGGCAAAATGGCAGAGCTTACCTGGTTTATGACCTTCTAGGAACATTCGACTGGAAAGGGCAGAACACCTCCGGTAAGCATGTGTACAACTCCAATAAACACACTGCGCGTGCTCACTTCCCAAGTGCTAACAGGCCACTGTGCAAGTGGACAGCCCACCCCAAGGGAGGAATCATGGGAGAAGGGATGCAAGACTCTGGAAGTACGCCAATGCATAAAACCCTAAGTCAAAGGTCAAACAGAGCACTTGATCTTTCAAGCTGTCCACTTGGCCCTCTTCCAAGTGTACTTTCCTTCCTTTCATTCCTGCTCTATAGCTTTTTAAGAAACTCTCACTCCTGCTCTAAGACTTGCTTTGGTCTCTTCTTCTGTGCCCATACCTCCTCGGTCATGTGGAGGCAAGAATCAAGGTTACTGCAGACCCCTAGAGATTCACCACTAGTAACCATCCCATTCTCACGTTTCTTTTTTTTTTTTTTTCTTGAGATGGAGTCTCACTCTGTTGCTCAGGCTGGAGCGCAGTGGTGTGATCTTGGCTCACTGCAACTTCCATCTCCCAGGTTCAAGCAATTCTCCTGCTTCAGCCTCCCGAGGGACTGCAGGCGTGCCCCACCACACCCAGCTAATTTTTGTATTTTTAGTAGAGACGGGGTTTCACCATGTTGGCCACCTGCTCTCGAACTCCTGACCTCAAGTGATCCACCTGCCTTGGCCTCCCAAAGTGCTGGGATTATAAGCGTTAATGACTGTGCCCGGCCTCCATCTCACAGTTGACTCTCTGTGTATCCTTAGGCTTGTAGGGCTCACCCAGCCCCTCTGTGAAATGATATTGCCCCTTAAAAAATGTTAGCGATTGGGCCTAGAAGGAAACACATTAAGGTATTAATAGTGTTTACATCTCAATGCTAAAATTCCACTGGACATCTAATTTCTTCCTTACACTTTTTCTGTATTTCCAAAATCTCTAACAATGGAAATGTGTTTTTATCAGAAGAAGAAACAGTGCATGCTATTAAAATGTGAGCTCATTCTGGGCCCTGTTTTGCTTATTTAGAATAATTTTAAAACTATCATTTTTGGTCAGGCACAGTGGCTCATGATTGTAGTCCCAGCACTTCAAGAGACCAAGGCAGGAGGACTGCATGAGTCCAGGAGTTCGAGACCAGCCTGAACCACGTGGCGAAACCCGGTCTCTACCAAAAATACAAATATTGGCCAGGTATAGTGGCACACGCCTGTAGTCTCAGCTACTTGGGAGACTGAGGCAAGAGGACCACTTGTTCTTGGGTGGTGGAGGCTGCAGTGAGCTGAGATTGTGCTGCTGCAGTCCAGCCTGGGTGACAGTGAGACCGTGTCTCAAAAATAAACAAACAAACAAACAAAAAACTATTATTTTGAGTACTTTCTCCCTTTATTTCTAAACCCAACACACATCACACATTCTCACCTCAGACAGCGGGATCTTCTGTTGATAGTAAAAAGTTAAGCTGCAGGGTGTTGGAAATGTCACCACAAAACAGTATGGTATTAGCCAAGGCATTTAGCCTTTCACATACTGTGTCTCCTCTTTTTATAAAGCAAAGGGTCTAGATTAACATTGCTCTGGCTCTGAAATTTTATGCTTCCCTATGCAATCAGCTGGACGTACTTTGAGTGATCCTCTGGAGAAATCAGATGTGTGTTACTGGAACAAGAGCCACAAGGCTTGGGGGTTCGGTTTGCCATTCCCTCTGGAGAAACCTCCATGCCTTGCAAAGCATCATGTCTCCTGGAAAGAGAACTGGTTTTGTGAGGGCAACTGGGGATCCGTATCAGGCACTTGAGTCCTCCTCAGACTGGCTGTGAGAAAAACAGAATCTCCCGATTAAATCTGTAGTGGAAAACATTCCAGCCAACTTTCTGGAGTCAGTAGTTGGAATGATTCCAAAGTTATGAATGAATAACAACAATGACAAACATGTATCAAGGGCTATGTCAGTCATCACAGCCTCAGCCACTTTACCTCCCAATTCCTTGCCAAACAGGGAAGAAAACCTCTATTTGGAGGGGAGAAAGCATGCTTTGTTTCTCAGTCCCTCCTTTTGTCTATCTTTTTTTCTGTCCCTCCCATTGGCAGCCACAAAGCGAAGCTCGACTTTCAGTCTGCTAAGGAACAGCAGGTACTTGTTGGCAGTCACCAAGTTCTTAGAGGTGACTTCTAAAATGGTGAGCAACTGTAAATTGTTGTCCTCTGCTGATGGAAGTTCTCCAGTTTCCAGTACCTAAAAGGGAATGTAATACTAGTCATTAGGATTCTTTCTTAGCTGAGTAAGGACAAGGCATTCTTCAAGCGGGAAATTAACCTTGGATGATATCTGGGCTTTCTTTTTCTTGTCCTACTTCTTTTTTTTTTTTTTTTTTTTTTTGAGACAAAGTCTCGCTCTATTGCCCAGGCTGGAGTTCAGTGGCATGAACTTGGCTCACGGCAACCTCTGCCTCCCGGGTTCCAGCGATTCTCCTGCCTCAGTCTCTCAAGTAGCTGGGACTACAGGCAGGCACCGTCATGCCCGGCTAATTTTTTTTATTATTATTATTTTTTTGGCAGAGACGGGGTTTCACCATATTGGCCAGGCTGGTCTCGAACTCCTGACCTCGTGATCCACCTGCCTTGGCCTCCCAAAGTGCTGGGATTACAGGCGTGAGCCACCACACCCGGCCTTCTTGTCCTACTTCTTGATACGAAAGATGATGGTTTACTTATCATCAATGCAGACTGCAGCTCAAAATTAAAGAGTTCATGAATATAGCTGAGGCCTAAGAAGAATGAGAATGTTTCTGTAATCTGACGTCTTTCAAGGGCTCAAAATAATTAGGGAGCTACTGTGTATAGAAAGACCTGGCACTACGGGAGCTCTAAGGGGCTCCTTGACCACATTCCTCTAAAGCTACTCAAGACCAGTGGGTCATTAATCAAGTCTCATAACAAAACTTGGGTGAAATTAATCATCTAAGAGGAGGCGTTCCTACATGCTCATCTAAGAAGCAGTGAGCCCTGCCTCTCTTCCCCTTCAGCCCACAGAAGCTCACAGAGGACCCTCCCTCCCCTACGCTTCTGAACCACTCAACATTAGAATAAGCCGACTTCCCCTTCATTGCAATGAATCTCTCAGACACTGACCTAGCACTTTTCATGTGCCAATCATCAGTCAGGACCTGGAGGAATTAGCAAAATAAGATTATTTAGGCTGTGAGCAGAATGCAAGTCACAAAGAGACATAGATAGCAATGTTTTCTCTTTCGTCATATGGACAGAATCAGGGATGGGACCAGAAGCACAATTGCAAAGTCAAAACTGGAAACAAATAAATGCTGAGATGGAGGCTGAGTACAAGAAACTCTGGAAACCCAAGAGAAAAAGTGATCTGTTCAATGTGGGAAGTTTAGGGAAGGCTTCCCAGTAATTTACAGCAGAATGACAGTCATAGGAATGGCTATTAGTGGACAGGCATGAACATATTTATTTGGTTATGTTAGAGTTGCCTGATGGGTCGGGCATGGTGGCTCATGCCTATAATCCCAGCACTTTGGGAGGCTGAGACAAGAGGATCACTTGAGCTCAGAAGTTCGAGACCAGCCTAGGCAACATAGTGAAACCGCCGTCTCTCTCTCTCTGAAAAAGAGAACTGCTTGATGATGGATTTTGGATGGAACAATAGAAAAGAGAAGAGTTAAAATTAAACTCCAAGTTACTGCCTTTTATACCTAGGTGATGGTGGTGCCACTTACCAACAAGGGAAGGACCGGGGTAGACAGCTTTATCAGATTTATGCCACTAGCACTGCCAAGGACCCCTGAAAAGTGCCAGTTGACCTCAGCATCCTGCGTGTATTCATGGTCCATATGAAAGAGTTTGAGATCCAGGAATGGTAGAGACGGCACTGCATTGGAAGAAGTACTAAGACATCCAAGTGTCCACTTCCATATTCCCAATGAGCACAAATGCTGTCTCTTAGGGTTCATGTATTGATGCCAACTTTCAGGAGGACTCCTCTAGTTTCTACTGGAGGACCAAAAAAGGAAGAAAGCCATGACATTAACAAGCACAACAGGAAAACAAGGAAGAGTAAACGGTCCTCATCCTTCCTTCTGCAGATTTCCAACCTCCCTGCATTGCCCTGTGCTGGCAGAGCCTAACTTGGAACCCACTGACAAAGAAATGTGATGTGGCTGAGTCCCAGCCCCAACACAGCAAAATACAGTACAGGATAGTTTTGGAGCTTGACATGGTTTCGATATTTGTCCCCTCCAAATCTCATATTGAAATTTGATTCTAATGTTTGAAGTGGGGCTAAGTGGAAAGTGTTTGGGTCATGGGGGTGGATCCCTCATGAATGGCTTGGTGCCCTCCCTGCAGTAACTAGTGAGTTCTTGTTCTATTAGTTCACACAACACCTCGTTGTTTAAAAGAACCTGGCATCTCTCTTCTTCTCTCTCCTGCTCCCTCTCTCACCATGTGACACATCAACTCTGCTCCTTCTACCATGATTGAAAGCTTCCCGAGGTCCTCACCAGAAGCAGGCACTATGCTGGCACTATGCTTCTTGCACAGCCTGCAGAACTGTGAGCCAAATAAACCTCTTTTCTTTGTCAATTACTTAGTCTCAGGTATTCCTTTACAGCAATGCAAAATGGACAGATAGAGGGCTGAAAAACAAGAGTTTAATTACCTGCACACCATTCAGGACCTCCACCCACACCCACTGACACCTTGATATCTAACCTGCAGAGTCACTAATGTTTTCCAGTATGAAAACATTTCCAGCCTCACCCCACTACTAGGATTCCTCCTAGCAGCAGCAGGCAAATCAGCTCAATTAGGCCTTCACCCCTGACTCCCCTCAGCCATAGAAGGCCCCACCCCTGTCTGTGCACAGATGAATATGAATCAAGAATGGTGCCCAGTGGGCAATGAAAATGACCCTTCCTGCGGGGAGTTACTGAAACACAACTTAAGGTTCCTGAGATTGCTACCATCAGCAGTCCAACTTCTCCTTTCAGAAACTCTCACTGCATAATCATCACAAGGACCTCCCTAGAGGTATCAGATGCTAAGTTATACTTACCCAATAAGAATGGCCTCAGGCAAGAAGGAACCCCACAGGAAGAACGAATTGACCCTCACAAGAACAATCATTTATTCCTGTCATGGGATACCCACTGTAGCCCCTATTTCTCAAGGCTTGGCCTCCTCCCTGGATTACAGTTCTTAGTGACCTCTCAGTGTCTTCTTAGTTTTTTTGTTTGTTTGTTTGTTTTTCTGGGAGCCACCTTTAATATTATCCATGACTCTGTATTCAGATCATGGACTGTGCTTCAGTGGATAGATACCTAGTCCTGACCCTGTGAACTTACGACTTTGAACTCTTCCTCATGCCAACATATGCTGAACTTCAAAGGCTTCCAAAGGGGAAAAGAATTGTGACCTTGAACTCTTCCCCATGCCAACACCATGCTGAACCTTAATAAGAGCTTCCAAAGGGGAGAAAGAATCCCGACCTTGACCTTTTCCTTATGCCAACACCATACTGAACCACAAAGGCTTCCAAAGGAGAAAAGAATTCTGACCTTGAACTCTTCTCCATGCAAACACCATGCTGAACCACAAAGGCTTCCAAAGGAGAAAAGAATTCTGACCTTGAACTCTTCCCCATGCAAACACCATGCTGAACCACAAGGACTTCCAAAGGAGAAAGAAATTCTGACTTTGAACTCTTCCCCATGACAACACCATGCTGAACCTTAATAAGAGCTTCCAAAGGAGAAAAGAATTCTGACTTTGAACTCTTCACCATGCTGAACCACAAGGGTTTCCAAAGAGGCAAAGAATTCTGACCTTGGATTCTTCCCCATGCAAACACCACGTTGAAGCTTAAGAGCTTCCAAAGGAGAAAAGAATTCTGACCTTGAATTCTTCCCCATGCCAACACCACGCTGAACCTTAAGAGCTTCCAAAGGAGAAAAGAATTCTGACCTTGAACTCTTCCCCATGCCAACACCATGCTGAACCACAAGGGCTTCCAAAGAGGCAAAGAACTGTGACCTTGAGCTCTTCCCCATGCCAACACCATGCTGAACCTTAATAAGAGCTTCCAAAGGGGAGAAAGAATCCCGACCTTGACCTTTTCCTTATGCAAACACCATGCTGAACCACAAGGACTTCCAAAGGAGAAAAAAATTCTGACTTTGAACTCTTCTCCATGACAACACCATGCTGAACCTTAATAAGAGCTTCCAAAGGAGAAAAGAATTCTAACTTTGAACTCTTCACCATGTTGAACCACAAGGGTTTCCAAAGAGGCAAAGAATTCTGACCTTGGACTCTTCCCCATGCAAACACCACGTTGAAACTTAGGAGCTTCCAAAGGAGAAAAGAATTCTGACCTTGAACTCTTCCCCATGCAGACACCATGTTGAACTTTAAGAGCTTCCAAAGGAGAAAAAAATTCTGACTTTGAACTCTTCCCCATGCCAACACCACACTGAACCTTAATAAGAGCTTCCAAAGGAGAAAAGAATTGTGACCTTGAACTCTTCCCCATGCCAACACCACGCTGAACCTTAATAAGAGCTTCCAAAGGGGAAAAAGAATCCCGACCTTGACCTTTTCCTTATGCCAACACCATGCAGAACCTTAAGAGCTTCCAAAGGAGAAAAGAATTGTGATCTTGAACTCTTCCCCATGCCAACACCACGCTGAACCTTAATAAGAGCTTCCAAAGGGGAAGAAGAATCCCGACCTTGACCTTTTCCTTATGCCAACACCATGCGTAACCTTAAGAGCTTCCAAAGGAGAAAAGAATTGTGACCTTGAACTCTTCCCCATGCCAACACCATGCTGAACCACAAGGGCTTCCGAAGAGGCAAAGAATTGTGACCTTGAGCTCTTCTCCATGCCAACACCATGCTGAACCTTAAAGACTTCCAAACGGGGAAGAAATTCTGACCTTGAACTCCTTCCTATGCCAACACTATGCTGAACCTCAGGGGCTTCCAAAGGGAAAAAGAATTAGGGCAGATGTACACCCCTGACCAGAGCCAACCAGAGAGGGGATTAGTATGAACATAATCTCAAGATCATCCCAACCATACCCCCTATTTACTCCCTCTCTGGGAGACTAATAGAGCCCATTAAAAAATATATATACTATGCCAATGTCTGGAGTTCTCTAAAAAAGAATAGGCCAATTCTACAAAGACAAACAGGGGAAAATCCTGAGTATCCAGAGGCCTGTAAAATGGAGACAATTGTGCCTACTGCACAGACTCCTCTGAGGTCAGAAGAGATGAAAGCACAGCTGTCAGTGAACTGGAGAATATGTAATATCAGTGGAAGAATTGTTGATACCACGTATGCACTTGATCGAAGACAATTTCCAAGTTGATAGAAGAGTAAGAGGAAAAGCATCAAAAGCAAATCTGCTTGACCTCTTTTTTTTAATCACTGCATTTCATCAGCAACTTTTGCTGTTCCCCTGCAGAACAAACTTTATTCCACCTCAGAAGGGAGCAGGTGAACACAGTTGTTTACGTGTTCCAGAAGCTATCAGGCTGACTTCAACACACACTTAGAACAAGCCCCATTTTATCCAAGTGAATAATATGGTTTCCCTTCTGTAAGCAAAACCATGATATATAGGCAAACTCCACGTTAATTGGATAAACCAGTGGTAAAGCCCCAGAAGAACAATTAACTTGCATGTGAAATACTCCCAGCTGAAATCTTGGAAAATTTGCATGTAATTAGTACTCCCTTCCAGCTCTCCGAAGTATAAAATACAATACATTAGGGCTTGTAACACTAATATCGCTGAGAACACAGCTAATGTGGGAAGTCTAATTCGCCACTAATATGCAGATGCCAAGCTAGTTGGTGCTTGCTTTCACCTGTTTTGGCTAATTGTTTTCGGTGTGATTTAGAAACTCCATACCTTATGATGCAGTTGTACCTGATGCAACAACTCACCAGTGCTGGACTGTGGGAGGTCACATCATTTAGACTGCAAATTCAGAAGTGACTTTCGAGGAAATTTGGTCCCGTTCCCAAGCAATAAAGCCGTCGCATCATAATCAGCTTAGAACAATTTGCCAATGATAGTTTTCTGTGTTGCGCCATCAGAGATTCTGATTCAGCAAGTCCTCGTTGGATCTCATACATCTCAATTAAAAATCAACAATAGATCGGGCGTGGTGGCTCACGCCTGTCTGTCATCCCAGCACTTTGAGAGGCCAAGCCAGGTGGATCAGGAGTTCCAGACCAGCCTGGCCAACATGGTGAAACCCCATCTCTGCTAAAAGTACAAAAATTAGCCAGGCGTGGTGGTGCATGCCTGTAGTCCCAGCTACTGGGGAGGCTGAGGCAGGAGAATAACTTGAGTCCGGGAGGCGGAGGTTGCAATGAGCCAAGATCGTGCAACTGTACTCCAGCCTGGGTGACAGAGCAAGAATCTGTCTCAAAATAAATAAATAAATAAAAATAATAAATAAATAAACAATAAATGTCTTTTTGAACGCGACCAGAAGATTTTGTGGTGCATCCAGGATTGGGAACCACTGATATCCTGAACCTACTCAATGCATGAATTCCCAAAACTGCGTGACCAGTGGGCAACCAGTCTCTGCTTGTATACTCCCAGGAATAAGATTAATTTCTCAGGCCAGGCATGGTGGCTCACTCCTGTAATACCAGCACTTTGGGAGGCCAAGATAGGCAGATCACCTGAGGTCAGGAGATCAAGACCAGCCTGACCAACATGGTGAAACCCTGTCTCTACTAAAAATACAAAAAAATTAGCCAGGCGTGGTAGTGCACACCTGTAATCCCAGCTACTTGGGAGGCTGAGGCACAAGAATTGCTTGAACCTGGGAGGCAGACATTAGAGTGAGCCAAGATTGTGCCACAGCACTCCAGCCTGGGCAACAGAGTTAGACTCCATCTCAAAAAAAAAAAAAAAAAAAGATTAATTTCTCAGTTCCAGTCAAAAGTGGTTGCTTGTGTCCCATGTTGAGAGGTCTTCTAAGGCTGCAGCTGGATTCAGTGGAAGAGATTGCCAAGTTGATTAGTACTCTGTAGGTGCAGGTGACGGCAGCATTCCTGCCTATATTTTTCACCCCTGATAGGAGATATGTACTTGAAATCCCATTCAATAGCTTTCAGTTTGTAAAGATTAAAAACGGTGGTTTACACATAAGTGGGAGCTGAATGATGAGAACACATGGACACGTGCTGGGAAACAACACACACTGGGGCCTGTTTGCGGGGGGATGGGGAAGGAGAGCATCAGAAAAACAGCTAATGGATGCCAGGCTTAATACCTAGGTGGTAAGATGATCTGTGCAGCAAGCTGCCATGACATATGTTTACATACGTTTACCTACATAACAAACCTGCACATCCTGCACGTGTACCCCTGAACTTACAACAACAATAGTTGAAGGGCCGGGTGCGGTGGCTCACACCTATAATCCCGGCATTTTGAGGGGCCAAGGCAGTTGGATCACCTAAGGTCAGGAGTTCGAGACCAGCCTGGCCAACATGGTGAAACCCCATTTTTACTAAAAATACAAAAATTAGCCGGGGGTGATGGCAGGTGCCTGTAATCCCAGCTACTCAGGAGGCTGAGGCAGGAGAATCGCTTGAACTCAGGAGGCGGTGGTTGCAGTGAGCCATTGGTGCCAGAGTGCATTGCACCATTGCACTCCAGTCTGGGCGACAGAGTAAGATTCCATCTCAAAAAAAAGGTTGAAGGAAAAAAAACGGTCTAGTTCATGCACTGGCCTTCTATTAGAATAGGGGTGGTCCAGACTTTTGGCTTTCCTGGGCCACACTGGAAGAAGAAGAATTGTCTTGGGTCAGACATAAAATACACTAACAGTAACAATAGCTGATGAGCTAAAAAAAAAATTGAAAAAATTTTATAATGTTTTAAGGAAGTTTACAAATTTGTGCTGGGCCACATTCAAAGCCATCCTAGACCACATGCAGCCTGTGGGCCAGGGGTTGGAGAAGCTTGTGTTAGAATATTGCAATGGATGGCGGGGCACAGTGGCTCACTCCTGTAATCTCAACAGTTTGGGAGTCCGAGGCAGGTGGATCACCTGAGGTCAGGAGTTCGAGACCAGCTAGGCATGGTGGTGCATGCCTGTAATCCCAGCTCCTCGGGAGGCTGACGCATGAGAATTGCTTGAACCTGGGATGTGGAGGTTGCAGCAGTGAGCCAAGATCATATCACTGCACTCCAGCCTGGGCGACAGAGCGAGACTCCATCAAAAAAAAAAAAAAAAGTATATTGCAAGGGAAACAATAGGAGATCAGAGTCTGAAAACTTGTTTTTAGCTGTAACTCCAGCACTTCCCAACAGTATTATTAAGTCGGTGCAAAAGCAATTGTGGGTTTTGTCATTGAAAGTAACTTCTCAATACCTTGAGAAATTTGCCTAACCCTCCAAGTGTCGAGTGCTCGTTTATCAAATAAGGACATGATATCTGCCTGACTTAGCACATGAGATTATTTTAAGGAAACTCAAATAAGCCTGCGAATGTGAAGAAGCTTTGAAAATATTAACACTTTATTTAAAAAGGTAAAGTACTCTTACTGTCAGTATACTCTCAAACATTAGCGGTATTTTCCCAGGAGTATGGGAGCTTCAGCAGGTAGCCGAATGTATACATGTTGTAATAGAGAATTCAAAACACTGAGCCCTTCTTCACATAATGATATCGAGACTTCTTTTGTTATCAGAACAAAGGCTTGCTCAAAGCCAGAGCAATCAGAAAGTGGGTTTGCCTGATTTTCAAATGGCTTTTGTAAATATTTTATAAACATCTACCTCTCTGCTTTTCTCTCTGCCTTGAACTGCAAGCCTGATGGCTGATTGGAATTCTACTGACTGGCCCTTTGCTTAAGCACATTCTATGCAATTGTGTCACTCAAATGGTAACTTGGCCTAATGGGCCTCACTGACTCCTGGTATTTTGAACTGAATACACTTAATTTGTTAGATGCTGGACAACATAGACACTGCCTAGCCTGAAAGCACCAGATCGTAAAAGTGATGGAATGATCGGGTATGATTTGATATTAATCTCCTTAAGGGCAGAGAATAGGTCTTACAGTTTCCTAGTCTTTTTTCTTTCTTTCTTTCTTTTTTTTTTTTTAATTTGAGATGAGTCTCAAACCTGTGTTTTAAAAGTGACTGATTAAGAGCTCAGTGCAGTGGCTCACGTCTATAATCCCAGCTGCTCGGGAGGCTGAGGCAGGAGGATCACTTAAGGTCAGGAGTTTAAGGCTGCAGTGAGCTATGATTGCACCACTGCACTCCAGCCTGGGCAACAGAATAAGACTCTATATCTTAAAAAAAAAATTAATGTAAAGTAAAGAAAATAGGTAGGTCGTGTGCAGTGGCTCACACCTGTAATCCCAGCACTTTGGGAGGTCAAGGCGGGTGGTTCACCTGAGGTCAGGAGTTCAAGACCAGCCTGGCCAACATGGTGAAAACCTGTCTCTACTAAAAATACAAAAATTAGCCAGGCATGGTGGCACATGCCTGTAGTCCCAGCTACTTGGGAGGCTGAGGCAGGATAATTGCTTGAACCCAGGAGGCAGATGTTGTAGTGAGCTGAGATCGTGCCACTGCACTCCATTCAGCCCGGGCGACAGAGCCAGACTCCGTCTCAAAAAAATAAAATAAAATAAATAAAATAAAAATTGCTGATTAAATCTTCTATAGTTCAAAATAAAAAAAACCAAAAATGTAGTCATATCTATTGTACATACAGAATGGACATTGGAACTGAATTTATAAGTGATGCTGTATCTGGTGTCAAGGATTTCTCACTGTTAGAGCGATATTCTCATATTTAAAAATAAATGGCATTGATTTAGCATTAGTGCCTTTTTATATAAGAATTTATCTCAACAGAACTTTTAAAGATATAAAACATACAGTTTATGTAGCCTCAGGTTTCTTAGAGCCAAATCAAACCGAATAATAAAGTAAAATGGAATAATAAAATGATCAAATAGTGTAAGATCAAGTCAGGGATGATTTGGAAGCAGCTTTTATAATTACTATGCTGGAAGCAGTCTCTGTAGATTCAGCAGAACTGAATCATGAAATGAATTAAGACCATACCAAATTATTAATACTTTTCATATGCTGTGAAAAGCTTCTCTTCATGCCTCTCTGGGAACTGGTGCAAAATGTCTTGCAGAGCAGGCAGGGCAAATTGAGGAAAATTAATAAATAGGATAATGCTTATTGTTCCTTAATATCCACTTGTCTAATCCTTTGAACATCTGTGGGTCTTTATTCTTTTCAAAGAACTTTGAAGCGCTTTATCTCTTTTCATCTTCCTAACACCTTGAGTAAATCAAGATGCAGTCAGTGGTTCAGAGGTTTTTAGACCTCAGGCTCTGACACTCTTAGCTCTGCACCTGCCGGCAAGTTCTTAACTGGTCCGTGCTCCCCTGGCCCCACCTATATGATGATTGACAGCAGAATGCAATTGTTGAGTGCGGTTGCTAAATGCAGTTAGTAATACCTTCAGGGTCCACCTCAGTTTAGGGGCTGAGGTTACTCTCACCCAGCACTGTCATTTTTTTTCTCTCTCTCTCTTTCATGGTTCTACTATATTTTCTTCCAAATTTAAAATCGACAACCAAAAAAGCAAACCCGATAGGCCGTCATCGTTCTGTGTTGCTTGCAGCTATGAGCCCTCAATGACACAGAAATCCACCAGCTTTGTGACCTTGGGGAAGACACTGTACTTCTCCTGTCTCAGTTTCTTCATGCAATACCAACCTCAAAAGTTTTGGGGCGGGGGCTTGGTGTGGTGTCTCACGCTTGTATTCCCAGCACTTTGGGAGGCCGAGGTGGGCAGATCACCGGAAGTCAGTTCAATACCAGCCTGGCCAATATGATGAAACCCGGTCTCTACTAAAAATACAGAAGTTAGCCGCGTATGGTGCCAGGCGCCTGTAATTCCAGCTACTCAGGAGACTGAGGCAGGAGAATCACTTCAACCCAGGAGGCAAAGGTTGTAGTGAGCCGAGATCGCACCACTGCACTCCAGCCTGCGTGATAGAGCGAGACTCAGTCTCCAAAAAAAAAAAAAAAAAAAGTTTTGGGAGGGTGAATGGGTTAAGGTATAGGATGTGTCACAGGGCTTGGCTCCTGAGAAGCATTTAATAAATAATAGAGCAAAGAGAAGAATGGAGTAACTGAGCGAGTTATTACAGGGGTACTCGGGCCAGGTCAATTCCACCCAACATGGGATTCCTTGAGTGGGCAATTTGTTTTCTGGAACTCTCCATTGGGCTAGCAGAGGCTTTGTCAGACCTGCATTGTTTGGACAGCTCTTTCTGCTGAACGCTGCATTTTTCTTCCTTATCATTTATAGATGTTACTTCCCTGTGACATTTTGCATTCCTAATTCTCTCAGCATCTGCTTCCAGAGGCACCAGGGGCCTACCTAATCATGATACCTATCTGGGCAGACCATTGCAAAATAATGCAGATTAAGTTCTTTTTTTTGTTTTTAAGAGACAGGGTCTTGCACTGTTGCCCAGGCTAACATGCAGTGGTGCGATCACAGCTCACTGAAGCCTCGGACTCCTGGGTTCAAGTGATCTTCCTGCCTCAGCCTCCTGAGTAGCTGGGTTTAAAGGTGTGTGTCACTGCAGCCAGCTAATTTTTAAACATTGCTTCTTGCAGGCCGAGCATGGTGGCTCACACCTGTAATCCCAGCACTTTGGGAAGCCAAGGCGGGAGGATCACTTGAGGTCAAGAGTTCAAGACCAGCCTGGCCAACATAGTGAAACCCCATCTCCACTGAAATACAAAAATTAGCTGGGCGTAGTGGTGCATGCCTGTAATCCCAGCTACTCAGGATGCTGAGGCACAAAAATAGCTTGAACTCAGGAGGCTGAGGTTGCAGTGAGGTGAGCTGAGAGTTCGCCATTGCACTCCAGCCTGGGTGACAGAGTGAGACTGTCTCAAAAAAAAAAAAAAAGTGCTTGCAGAGATGGGGTCTTGTTATATTGCCCAGACTGGTGTCAACTCCTGGCTTCAAGTGATCCCCCCATCTCAGCCTTCCAAAGTGCTGGGATTGCAGACATGAGCCACACCACCCAGAAAAGGTGAAGTTCTTAGCCTAGCGTTGCCCTGTGATAAGTGCTGCGTAAATGTTAGCTGCTGCTGCCATGCACCCTTCATCCACCTGTTTTACTCTTAGAAGAATGTAAGCAGTTAAATGATTAACAAACTAAAATAAGTTTGCTCTACCAGTCAGTGACTTAAAAAGTTGTCATCTCAGTGGAGACTTCTTGACAGTCACATTTTATTTGACTTTGTGTGTCAGTCGTAGCCAATAAATCATATCTGGGTCACTCTCAAGAGTGTAAAGTGGGCTTGGCATAGTGGCTCAGGCCTGGAATCCCAGCACTTTGGGAGGCTGCGGCAGACAGACCACTAGTTCAGAAGTTCGAGACCAGTCTGACCAACATGGTGAAACCCCGTCTGTACTAAAAATACAAAAATTAGCCAGGCGTGGTGGCGTGCACTTGTAATCCCAGCTACTCAGGAGGCTGAGGCAGTAGAATCGCTTGAACCCAGGAGGCAGAGGTTGCAGTGAGCCGAGATTGCACCATTGCACTCCAGCCTGGGTGACAGAGCGAGACTCTGTCTCAAAAAAAAAAAAGAGCTTAAAGTATTAATTAAGGTCTGTGCATTTCTAAAGAAAGTGAGCCAGCTTACATTAGGACTGTACGTGAACAGCCTGGCTCTTTTGGGACTGGCTGTCCACATCATCCCAGTCTGTGGTCCCTAAAGAGGCAGAAGTCCAGGTGGTTCTCTGTAGACTCTTTGCTACATGATAATGACCTGTTTCTTGGACTTTTTCTGTTATGTCTCAACTGGCTAGCTTTATCTTTTCACAGTTGCATCTCAATTGATTACCTTTATGGCATGGGTTGATAGTAACCTCTAAATGGCACGTGGTGGTTTTCAAAATGTACAAACCCCTCTGAAATGAAGTGTATTATTCCCATTTCCGTGTGACAGTTTTACTTTTTTTTTTTTTTTTTTTTGAGATGGAGTCCTACTCTGTCACCCAGGCTGGAGTGCAGTGGCACTGTCTCGGCTCACTGCAACTTCTGTTTTCTGGGTTCAAGCAATTCTACCGCCTCAGCCTCCCGAGTAGCTGAAATTACAGGTGCCCGCCACCAAGCCTGGGTAAGTTTTGAATTTTTAACAGAGACAGGGTTTCAGCACATTGGCCAGAGTGGTCTCCAACTTCTGACCTCAAATAATCCACCTGCCTCAGCCTCCCAAAGTGCTGGGATTACAGGCATCAGCCACCACGCCTGGCCGTGACAATTTACGTCTGTATAATTTCTGTCATCTTGAGATTTTTCTTCCTATGCAGGATGTAAGTATTATTCCATTCTTCTCCTTCCCCTACCATTTATTAAATGTTTCTCAGGAGCTAAGACCTGTGACAAACTCTTTACACCTTACCCCATTCACCTTTCCCAAAACTTTTGGGCTTTACTGTTTTATTGTTTTGTTTGTTTTTTTTTTTTTTTTGAGACAGAGTCTGGCTCTGTCACTCAGGCTGGAGTGCAGTGGCATGACTCAGCTCACTGCAGCCCCCACCTCCCAAGTTCAAGCGATTCTCCTGCCTCAGCCTCCCAAGCGTACTAGGATTACAGGTGTGCACCACCACACCTGGCTAATTTTTTGTATTTTTAGTAGAGACGGGATTTCTCCATGTTGGCCAGGCTGCCCTCAAACTCCTGACCTCAGCTGATCTACCTGCCTCGGCCTCCCAAAATGCTGGGATTACAGGCGTGAGCCACCACACCCAGCCTCACTCTCTCCCAAACTTTTGAGGTTGGTATTACATGAAGAAACCGAGAATAGAGAAGCTCTGTGTCTTACCCAGCATCACACAGCTGGTAGGTTTCTGTGTCATTTAGGGCAGCAGTCCCCAACCTTTTTGGCACCGGGGACCAGTTTCCTGGAAGACAATTCTTCCATGGATTGGGGTGGGGGGTGGTTTTGGAACGATTCAATCCCATTACATTTCTCATTAGATTTTCATAAGGAGCCGGAAACCTAGATCCCTTGCACGTGCAGTTCACAATAGGGGTTGCACTCCTATGAGACTCTGATGCCACTGCTAATCTCACAGGAGGCAGAGCTCAGCTTCACTAACGCACCCACCGCTCACCTCCCACTGTGCAGCCCGCTTCCTAACAGGCCACAGTCCTTGCTCCGGGGGTTGGAAACTCGGGATTTAGGGCTCATAGCTGCAAGCTACCAAAGGCGATGATGAGGCTGGGCACGGTGGTTCATGCCTGTAATCCCAGCACTTTGGGAGGCCAAGGTGGGTGGATCACCTGAGGTTAGGAGCTCGAGATCACCCTGACTAATATGTTGAAACCCGGTCTGTACTAAAAATATGCAAATTAGCCAGGCGTGGTGGCATGCACCTGTAATCCCAGCTACTCGGGAGGCAGAGACAAGAGAATCGCTTGAACCCCAGGGGAGGAGGTTGCAGTGAGCTGAGATTGTGCCATTGCACTCCAGCCTGGGCGACAGAGCAAGACTCCGTCTCAAAAAAAAAAAAAAAAAGGCAATGATGGGCCAGCAGCAAAGGTGTATATTAAAAATATATTGAAAACATATATAAAATAAAAATAAAATAAAACAAAAAATAAAACTTTGGAAGGGAGTGGCCGTGAGGTTTACAGATACATTGAAAGGGCTAAAGACCCAGTGTTGAGTCTACGCAGCTGGGAAAAATGCCCCATGCTTCAGTCAAAAGTTCTGCTCCTTGCTTCTTATGTGTGTCTCATGCCCAAGCCCAGTGTGGGCACCTCTGATGGGCTGAGCCCAGGTCACCAGTCTGGGTCTGGAAAAGGAATTGTCTATTATAGTCAGGCCCTTGGAGTGGGAGGTAGCCTCTGCACACCACCAACTCCCAAAAGTTGGGGACTTTCCGCAACATAAGCAGGTATGGAAGTCAAAACAATGCCTCTCCAAAGATGTTCACAGAACCTATGAATATATTCAGTTACATGGCAAAAGGGAATCAAGGAAGAAGCAAATGGAATTAAGGTTGCTAATCAGCTGACCTTGAAATAGGAAGATTATCCCGGATTATCCATGTGTAATGTCATCAATAAGGTTCGATGTAATCAACAATGGTGCCCCTAAATAGAAGAGGGGTACAGAAGAGTCAGAGTCAGAGAGAGGCAGCCTGAGAATGACTCAGCTGAACATCCCTGGCTTTAAAGATGGAAGAAAAAGCCATGAGACGAGGAACATGGGTGGCGTCTGGAAGCTGGAAAAGACGGAAATGGATTCCATCCTAGGGCCTCCAGGAAGGAACCCAGCCCTGCAGACACCTGGATGTGAGCCTAATGAGGCTTATTTGGACTTCTGAGCCTCAGAACTGTACGAAAATAAATTTCTGTTGTGTTAGGGTCACTATATTTGTGGCAATTTGTTACAGTAGGTCGGATGCTGGGTCTTCAAGACACATGTCTGCTAGAACACAGAGTTCAAGATTCAAAACCAGGTCTGTCTGTTTCCAAAGCCCATGCTCAAGAGCACTGTGCCATAGTGACTTGCACTGGGGATGATTCAAAATGAGGGCACTGAGGGTTGGAACAGAACCGCGTGGTGAAACAGATGGCATGAAAGGTGTGGAGTGTTGCAGTAATCCAAGTGAGACATGGAGGAAATGGAGAGAAAATAAATCCAGGCTTTAGAAACGCTGTCTGGTGTCTGTAGGGGAGAATGAGCTGAGATTCAAGTAAGGGGCCTGCCAACCTGTGTTTTGGTTTGAAGGTACCATGTAAACCTGTGCGTGAGGGCTGAGGGTTTGAGAAAGACTTTGAAAGCATTAGGGGCTAAATAAAGTTATGCAAAATTTTCACTATCTCACGCATCCAAGTTCCTCAAGGGCTATAGTGTGATCCAAGAAGATAGAATTAACAACCGTAGCAAAATCAGAAACACACCGAACATTTGGAGGGAGGATCAGATTTGGAGTAAGTCTCTTTAGCGTCTATATTAACTGCAGCAAAGCACAACAAATTCATTTAGGACTGCAAAGAAGGGAAAGTGTAAAAACTTTCTAGGTCACAGAAGGATGGTACATGCAAAATTACTAAATTAAGACATTTAAAATTAGATTGATATCTTCTATATTTGGTATGCTATTTTTTTCCTTTTCTTAAAAAAACATATTTCTAGGGACTTTCAGATGTTTGCTACTGATTCTTGTCTCTGAGTTTTCTCCATGAGATCTTAGATCCCTCCATTGTAAATCAACTATGGCAGCAATGTAGAAACTGAATGGACAAATACAGCTCCTGCAGTCTGGGAGAGACATCTAGAAGTAACTTTTTATAGAATTCAGCTTCAGTTTTTTTTCTTTTTTGACACAGGATCTCACTATGTTGCCCAGTCCAGAGTGCAGTGGAACAATCATAGTTCACTGCAGCCTGGAACTTCCGGGGCTCAAATGATTCTCCCACCTCAGCCTCCTAAGTAGCTGGGACTATAGGTACATGCCACCACAACCAGCTGAAATTTTTCTTTTTTATAGAGACAGGGGTCTCACTATGTTGCCCAGGCTGGTCTCAAATTCCTAGCTTCAAGCGCTCCTCCTACCTCTTAGCTTCCAAAGTGCTGAGCTTTACAGGCATAAGCCACTGTACCCAGCCTCAGCTTCTAGTTATTTCCCCAGCTATTTGGGAATCATAGCTGCAGACCATGCTTTTATTTTTTTTTAATTTTTATTGTCTATGTTGATGGTACACAACATGATATTTTGAAATACACATATGCAGTAAAATGATTATTACAGTCAAGCAATTTAACATGTCCATCAACTTACATTATTACCTTTGTGTATGTGTGTGTGTGCATATGTGTGGGTTTGTGTTTGTGGGAAGAGCACCCAAAATCTACTCTGTTAGCAATTTTCTTCTACACAAGTAAAATATTATTAACTACAATCTTCATGCTGTACATTAGAGCTCCAGACTTACTCCTCCTACATAACTGCAACCTTGTACCCTTTGACCGACATCTCCCCATTTCTCCCACCTACCTGCCTTTGGTGACCACCATTCTGTGCTCTATTCCTGTGTATTTGACTCTTGTTAGATTACACCTATAGTGAGATTACGCAGTATTTTTCTTGCTGTGTCTGGCTTATTTTACCTAGCAGAGTTTCATCCACATTGTTGCAAATGGCATGCTCCTCTTCTTAATTAAGGCTAAATAAGGTCAGGTGCAGTGGCTCACGCCTGTAATCCCAGCACTTTGGGAGGCTAAGTTGGGAAGATTGCTTGAGCCCAGGAGTTCAAGACCAGCCTGGGCAACATAGCAAAACCCTGTCTCTACAAAAAATACAGAAATAAAAATGTGGCTGGGTGTGGTGGTGCACACCTGTAGTCTCAGCTACTCAGGAGGCTAAAATGGGAGGATCCCCTGAGCCCAGGAGGCTGAGGCTGCAGTGAGCTAGGATTGTGCCACTGCACTCCAGCCTGAGTGACAGAGCAAGACTCTATCTCAAAAAAAAAAAAGTGACCAAATAATATTCCATTGTATGTATACACAATTCCTTTATCCATTCATCCATTGAAAGACAAGCTGTTTCCACTTGGCTATTGTGAATAATGCTGCAATGACCCTAGTATCTCTCTAGGAGGCACTGATTTTATTTCCTTCATGTATGTACCCAGTAGAGGAATTGTTGGATCACTTGGAAGTTCTGTTTTTAATTTTTTTAGGAACCTCCATACTGTTTTCCATAATGGCCACACCAAGTTACATTCTCACCAACAATGTACAGGGTTCTCTTTCCCCTGCATCCTCCACCAACGCTTTTTGCCTCTTTTGTTTTGATAATAGCCATTCTAACATGTATGAGGTGATATCTCTTTATAGTTCTGATTCACATTTCTCTGATGATTATTGATGCTGAGCACCTTTGCATATATCCGTTGGCCATGTTTATGTCTTCTTGAGGAAAATGTCTATTCAGTGAACCATGGTTTGTTGTTTTGTTTTGTTTTGTCTTGATTTTATTTTCTTTAGTCTCTGAGTTTCCCTAGTTGTCCTTTAGTAACACAGAAGTTGGTCATGAATTCTGATCATCTAAAATAGGGGTCCCCAACAGTACTGGTCTGTGCCTTGTTAGGAACCAGGCCACACAGCAGGAGGTGAGCGGCAGGTGGGCGAGTGAAGCTTCATCTGTATTTACAGCTGCTCTCCATCGCTCTCATTACCCCCTGAGCTCCACCTCCTGTCAAATCAGCAGTGGCATTAGATTCCAACAGGAGTGTGAACTCTACTGTGAACCGTGCACACGAAGGATCTAGGTTGCACGCTCCTTAGGAGAATGCAATGCCTGATGATCTGTCACTGTCTCCCATCACCTCCAAGTGGGACCATCTAGTTGCAGGAAAACAAACTCAGGGCCCAATGATTCAACTCACCATGATGGTGATTGTAGAATTATTTCATTATATATTACAATGTAATAGTAATAGAAATAAAATACATGATAAATGGAATGCACTTAAATCGTATCCAAATCATTCCTGCCCCCCAACCTTGTCAATGAAAAAATTGTCTTCCATGAAACCAGTCCCTAGTGCCAAAAAGGTTGGGGATCACTGATCTATCAGGACACTAATCGCTCATTCACTCAGAAGGCCAACCAGTACAAATGAAGAAGGAACAAAGTCAGCAAACTCCTTTGAACCTCCTCATGAATCTTAGCTCATTCTTAGAATCCAGAAAGCCAAACATCTTCTGGCATCTTTAGCCCTTGTTTTGTAATCTCTGTTCTGCCCAGTGTAACTTACCCTTCTCTCTCCCTGGCCCAGCTGGACTTCCAGCCTGGATGTGACTCTGAATCGTGCTCCCAGTAACTGGCCCCTGCCTGCCCCTGACTTCACACACTGAAACTGGAGCTAAGAGATGCCTGCACTCTAATCCAGCCAGCCTGACCTAGGGTAAGAAACGTGTATGAGTCTCCTTCTTCCTAGGCCTGGATGCTCATACAGATTCCATGGGTATCCTAGCTCTGTTTGTCTTTTGAATTTTTAATTTTTTCATCATCTTTTTTTCTGATTCAGTCTTGATTTCTTACTATGCGGCTTTCTCCCTTGGGCATATGTGCTCAATCCAAGCATCTGCTTACAGCCTCTTTTTGAATACTCGGGCAAATATTCATTGAATTTCTGTTTCATTGTTTTCCTCCTTTCTCAATAAATTATCCTGTCTCCTCTTAGAGGCCACCATGTCTCCCTTACTGAACTATACACTCTCATGTGCATGAAAAATCCCTCTGAATTTATCTTCATCTCCACTGCAACCTCAACTTGATTATTTTCTGTAGCCAGCTCATTCTTGCCACTGTCGGATATTAATGCATTACAGAGCCCACAGAAAAGTTTGCTGACTTTGTTCTTTCCTTGTTTGCATGGTTGGATTCCTGAATGAATGAGCTATAGGGAAAGAGATGGCTGCCTGAGCATAGACCCGCAGGCAACCCCAGATTCCAGGGCCCTGTGCCACCCAAAATCACCAGCCCAGAGCCTGCTTCCCAAACTCATCAGGCCATTTCTGCCTATGTCAGGGAGGGTGAGTTCAAAGCTGAGCAGAATGATGGAATGGCATCTACTGGCCCCAGCTGCCACGTCTGGGTGTGGTCCAGGTCTACCCCAGTACTTCTCAGTCCCTATATAGGGCTTATAAACCCGAGGATGATGGTGATGCCACTGTTTACACTCTAAGGATCACCCTGCTTTAAAATTCAAGAGATGATTCGAGTTGTTTCACGGTGGCAGTTCTACGCAAACCTGCTCCTGAAGTCCAAGGAAGTTGAGAGGCTGAAGAAAGAGGCTGACAAATCCTATTTCTTTTTTCTTTTTCTTTCTTTTTTTTTTTTTGAGACAGAGTCTTGCTCTGTCACCAGGCTGGAGTGCAATGGTGCAATCTCAGCTCACTGCAACCTCCGCCTCTCAGGTTCAAGTGATTCTCCTGCCTAGCCTCCCGAGTAGCTGGGACTACAGGTGCCTGCCACCACGCCTGGCTAATTTTTGTATTTTTAGTAGAAATGGGGTTTCACCCTGTTGACCAGGATGGTCTAGATCTCTTGACCTCGTGATCTGCCCACCTCAACCTCCCAAAGTGCTGGGATTACAGGAGTGAGCCACCATGCCTGGCCATCCTATTTCTTAGAAAGAAACATTTACCACCCTGGCCAACAGGGAGAAACCCCACCTCTATTAAAAATACAAAATTAGCAGGTCCTGGTGGCACACACTTTTAATCCCAGCTACTTGGGAGGCTGAGGCAGGAGAATGGCTTGAACCCGGGAGTGGGAGGTTGCCTTGAGCAGAGATTGCACCACTGCACTCTAGCCTGGGAGACAGAGTGAGACTCCATGAAAAAAAAGAAAGAAAGAAGGAAAAAAAGAAGGAAAGAAAAAGGAAGGAAGGAAGGAAGAGAAAGAGAGAAAGAAGGAAAGGAAAGGAAGAAAGAAAGAGAAAGAAAAGAAGAACAAGGAGGAGGAGGAAAGGAAGGAAGGAGAAAGAGAAAGAAAGAAAGAAAGAAAGAAGGAAAGAAAGAAAGAAAGAGAAAAGAAAGAAGGAAAGAAAGGAGAAAGAAAGAAAGAAAGAAAAAGAAAGAAAGAAAGAAAAAGAGAAAAGAAAGAAGGAAAGAAAGGAGAAAGAAAGAAAGAAAAGAGAGAGAGAAAGGAAGAAAGAAAGAAAGAAACATTTAATATGGACTTATGAACATAAGCCATGCCTGTGTCTTGGGCGGTGGTGAGATGAGATGGTGGATCCCACACCACAACTTCGGGACTGAGAGCTTATCTACCATTGGGAAAGGGTGATTCAGAAGGGAGGCTTGGGATAATTGAAATGCAATAACATCAAGGTTGTTTGATTTAAGGGCAGGATTTACAATAAGTAGCTGCTTTTATACAAGGAACAATAGATAAACTGGAAATCTTAGATGTCTTCCCAGAACTGCTAGTTAAGCAGAAGCCAACATGGCAGATTAGCTTCCAAGATGGAGTTGCTTTGACCTCCATATAAGTATAAAACAGTGTATTCCAGGCTGAGCATGATGGCTCATGCCTGTAATTCCAGCACTTTGGAAGGCCGAGGCAGGCAGTTCACCTGAGGTTAGGAGTTTGAGACTAGCCTGGCCAACGTGGTGAGACCCCATCTCTACTGAAAATACAAAAAAAATTAGCCAGGCATGGTGGTGCACACCTATAATCCCAGCTACTTGGGAGGCTGAGGCAGGAGAATTGCTTGAACCCAGGAGGTGGAGGCTGCAGTGAGCTGAGATCATGCCACTGCACTCCAGCCTGGGTGACAGAGTAAGACTCCATCTCAAAACAAAACAAAACAAAAAAACGGTGTAGTCCAACATACTTGGGGGAGAAAATATAAACACCATACAAACGTCAGGCATCACTCTATGTGCCAATCCGTCCCCACATTCCTCAGGACCCTGTAACTTCCAAAAAACACCAAAAACAGGGATTTCATTCTTTGCCACTCCAAATAGAGACTAAGGGTAAAGGAACATTTTTTTAATCCTAACATAAAAGTGGGGAGCATTTCCCTTGTGACTTCTCTTTAGGACATGATGGAATAGTTCACAGCTCATCAGTGGAAGGCAAGGGGGCCAGGGAAACACCATGGCCCTCATGTTTGCAAATGGTTCCACCTTTTCTAGCTGCACAGTCTGGGACAAGTTATTTAATTTCCCTGAGCCTCTATGTCCTCTTATGTAAAGTGGAGGAAATATTTCCTATGTTGCATGTTTGCCTTACAAAGGAAATGAGACAACACACTTCGTTGCAGTGTCTGCCCTTCTCCCTAGGTTCTGATCTGGTAATGACCTTCCAGGTTTGGTATTGTTACCAAAACACCAGGGGCCGGGTCTAGATCCTGCTGCTCACTGCACAAAAAGCCAATCACTGAGACAATTAGCATCGCCAGTGAAGAAAGGCTTTAATCAGGTGCTGCCACTAAGGAGATGGGAGCTCAGTCTCAAATCCATCTCCTCTGAACCAGTTAAGTCAGGGGTTTATATAACAGGGAAGAAATGTAACTACATGCCGAAAAACAGGAATTATGGAGGGATAAGGAAGATGAGTTGGTCAACAGGCAGCAGGGATTGGTTAGGCAATTATGACAGGTGAGGGGTCTGGTGTCTCATTGTCCTGGTGATCTGGTGAGTTTCAGTTCCTTGATACTATCTGGGAGGACTGATGGTTGGTTTCCTGAGAAAGTAACTTAGATAAGATAAATGTAAGTTTCTCAAGTTTTAAGGCTGAAAGGGTCAATTTCTATGTTTATTCAAATAAAACCATAAGCATCGATTCTATGGGACAATTGGGCAGGTTTTAGCATTAGTTTGTAATTTTGTGAGACTTTGACCAGTATAAAGAATTCTCTAGGCAGCAGGACTGCCCAGGTTCTGGTCTTACTTTTGTCCCTAGATTGTTGAGGGATCTTAGGCAGGTGATAAACAGGATAGTAGAACTCATAGGATTTGGGGAGGATTTAAAAGAGATCATTGATGTGAAATACTCAGCAGATATTTCTAACTCTTATTTTTTTTAAAGAGACAGGGTCTTGCTCTGTCACCCAGGCTAGAGTGCAGTGGTGCAATTATAGCTCACTGCAGCCTTAACCTCATGTGTTCAAGCAATCCTCCCCACTCAGCCTCTGGAGTAGCTGAGACTACAGGCATGCATCACCATGCCCAGCCAAATATTTCTAACAAATATTTATTAATATACAAGTTCGTGATTATTTTGACATCTTATAATTTCCCTAGGAGAATACAGATGGGAAGTGTGGGGTTAAGTTGAATATACTTGCCAGCTAAAAGAGAAGCCTACGTTGATGTTTATAGCACCTTTCTATGTATAGAATTTTGTGTACATTGATCCAGTAAACCCTGAAATGAGTGAGGCAATTCGTAATTACTCCCATTTTACCAGGGAGGTAATTGGGAAGTGGAGAATGTCAATGGCTTTTCCAAGGTCATAGGGCCAGTAAGTGAGAGCACCAATCCTTGTGACACTCAGCTCAATGATCCATAGTCCGCTGACTTTCACAGTGAAAGTTGAGTCAATGGGAGCATGTCCTCCAGGCTGGAGTTAAGACAATTTTCTTTTAGACCTTTAATAAAGCCATTTGTTTGTTTTAGAGCCTCGTGTAGTTTTTTCCTCTTCTCTGCCTGCCACTTGCCTCTTAGCAAGAAAAGGACGACAGCTCAGTTATTCAGCTGGTCTTTGAGATTCTGGGCATCAAATAGAATCAGTCTCTGAGGTCAATCCAAATGATTATTTGAGGGACTCAATTTCCTTTAGAGAAGGCACATTGTCAGTTCAATCTGCTGTGGAATTTGTAGTATTAATGAATTGAAGTATGCTTTAGGGATTTCTCCCAGATGCTTATTTTAATTTAAGCTCTAGGGGTTTAACTTTTTCAAAATACTCAATTTTGTTCATTATGAAAACTAATAACTGGCTTATTTCACTGCTAATTTGGGTACGAAGGTTAATTATCTATAGTGGAGTGGTGTCGAGCTAATCTGAAGTCTACCTGAACAGGGCACTGTGGCTAATTTATTCCCCTATGCACTGAGAAATGAGTATTTCTTTGTGGGGGAAAAAAGCTCCACTTGATGTAGATTCTTTTTGTCTCTGCTCTTTGTAAAAGGAGCTGTAAGTCTCCAAGATGGCAGGCAATCTTTCCATTTGTAGGGTGTTGTGAAATTCATTTAGTTATCTGAAAGAGAGCATTCTACTCAGTTCTATCTCAACATCTTCCTGTACCCCACAATAGGCAATGTGAATGTCTATTTTAAATTGTGGCTGGGCACGGTGGCTCATGCCTGTAATTCCAGCACTTTGGGAGGCCGAGGCGTGTGGATTACCTGAGACCAGGAGTTTGAGACCAGCCTGGCCAACATGGTGAAACCCTATCTCTACTAAAATTACAAAAATTAGCTGGGCATGGTGGCACGTGTCTGTAATCCCAGCTACTCGGGAGGCTGAGGCAGGAGCAGAATCACTTGAACCTAGGAAGTGGAGGTTGCAGTGAGTGGAGATCGTGCCATTGCACTCCAGCCTGGGACAGCGAGTGAGACTCTGTCTCAAAAATAAAACAAAACAAAACAAATAAATAAATAAATTATGATAGCATGACTGCAATCCAATTAGAATGCCTTGCCTTCTAACATACACCAACAACAATAATATCAACAGCAGCAGTAGTAATGCGTTATTCTTTATGGTTTCAAATGGGGCAAAAGATTTCGCAGCATTTCCAACATTTTCCTATCCTAAGAGCCCTATTAAGTACTTTATTCCACAACTTCGCGAATGAATAAATTGAGGTCCAGAGAGATCCAGGTGTCCATGGCATGCAGGTGTGAAGAGTGAGAACTGAATATGGGTTTCCTGCTTCCTAATTCTTCACTCCATTTTGCCACACCACCTATGTTATCTGTAATGTATTCCAAAAGCCATGTTACTTTTAGGGTCATCTACTATATCAGACATACAGCTATATAATTCTGTTTTGTGTACTCTAAGAAATCCAGTTTTGGGCTCTGTAAGGTGGCTTATGCCTGTAATCCCAGCTCTTTGGGAGGTCGAGGTGGAAGGATTGCTTGAGGCTTGGAGTTTGAGACCAGGCTGGGCAACATAGCCGATTCCATCTCTAGAAAAAAATATATTTTTTAATTAGCCAGGCATGGTGGTACATGCCTGTAGTCCCAGCTACTCAGATGCTGAGGCAGGAGGATTGCTTGATCCCAGAAGATCAAACTATAGTTGTGCCACTGCACTCCAGCTTGGGCACGAGAGTGAGACCTTGTCTCTCCAAAAGAGGAAGGAATGAAGGAAGGAAGGAAGGAAGGAAGGAAGGAAGGAAGGAAGGGAGGGAGGGAGGGGAAAAAGAGAGAGAGTGAGGGAGGCAGGGAGGGAAGGAAAGAAGGAAGGAAGGAGGGAGAAGGGAAGGAAAAGAAAAAAGGAAGGAAGAAAGGATGGAGGGAAGGAAAGAAGGAAGGAAGGAAAGAAGGGAGGGAGGGAGGGGAAAAAGAAGAGTGAGGGAGGCAGGGAGGGAAGGAAGGAAGGAAGGAAGGGAAGGAGGGAGAAAAGAGTGAGGGAGGCAAGGAGGGAAGGAGGGAAGGAAGGAAGGAGGGAGAAGGGAAGGAAAGGAAAAAAGGAAGGAAGGATGGAGGGAAGGAAGGAAGGAAGGAAAGATTTCAATTTTGCCTCCAGGAAGAAAGATGAACTAACACTGCCTGAAGGCCCCTAGGAGCACTCTTCATCATTTGATGATACCTTTGTTTGTCTTTTTTTGCCTATAGGGTCAACACTTTCTCCCTCTGCTGGCCCTGTTCTTCGGATAGCAGGCGCGGTGTCTGAACCTAAGTGATGCTCGCATTCCTCTCAAGGAACTAAAGCCAGATTTGGCCCTGAAGTTTCTTTCTGCACGTTAGTCTTTGGAGCTCTCTTTCCCAGTCCACCTCTGATTTATTTAAAAATTACTTTCTAAACCAACTTGAAGCCACTCAAAATTAATTTAAACTCCCCCAAAACTGAATTTGTCCATGTCCACCATTGTAATTTGTTACCTTGCATTATAACCTACTACAGAACCATGGTGATGTCAGAACTCCAATGATGTAGTGTGGTCTCCATGTACAATATATCATAAGAGCGGTTTCAGCTTGGATGATCGATGGAGTAAGCCTGGGAAGAATTTAAAAAGAGACCGAAATTTCTCAGATTTTTTTTTATTCCCTTTAAGTGGTTGAAGGCGTCACCCCCAAGAGATTACTGAAAGTCTAAATCATTCTTTCCCCTTCTTGCTCTGCATCACACAGAGGTCTGCAAAGGCAATTAACCCAGCATGTTGGCAGAAGTGCTGAGGCATAATTGGCTGTTGCTGTGGCCTTGTAGCTTTGGCCATGACATTGTCCTGTCCACTGGGAAAGGGGAAACAAACCTGCTTTTGCTTAAAGACGTCACCAATGAGGCACAATCATGTACCACTCATCCCTTTGGCAGGCTCCAGAGCTTTGGGTCCTTAGTAAGGTTTGTCCCTGAGAAAGGGGAAAGAACTCACTTCCAGTCTGCACACCTGGGCTTCCCTTTGAGGTCAGTGCCTCCCAGGCAATCAGCTGGGTTTAACTCATCAATACCAAGCTGAGGCTCTGTAATCAGGGAGAATAACCAGAACACTCTGGAAAAATAATAAAATGTCCTTTACTTATAAGCGAGATAGAATATTTTGCTTTTTTAGCAACAGGTTCTCACTCTGTTTCCCATGGCTTACTGCAGCCTCAACCTCCTGGGCTCAAGTGATTCTCCCACTTCAGCCTCCCAGGTAGCTGGGACCACAGGTGTGCACCACCACACTTGGCTAATTTTTGTATTTTTTTGTAGAGACAGCGTTTCACCGTGTTGCCCAGGCTGGTCTTGAATTCCTGAGCTCAAGTGATACACCCACCTCGGCCGCCCAAAGTGCTGGGATTACAAGTGAGCACCACTGCACCAGGCCAACATCGGTACTTTTTATCCATTCAACTTGCTTTCTTGAGTGAAAGAAAAAGGGAGAGTGGTAACCATTGCATTGAGAATTGTAGGTGCTCCTTTGGGATTAAAATTCACACTAATGTGCAAATGACTTGTGTAAGACCTTGATGGAATCTATTAAATTTAGCCAAATATGGCTTCCTTACCTATTTTAAGTTCAACTTAAAGCTCTCACTGTCCATAGTGAACTGTGACTTAGCTGAATGTGTAAGCAGACTATAATCTACTCTTCTGCCGATTGCCAAGTTTTGGCAAATGAAAGGCAGCCAACTGTTGAAACCATGTTCAAATAAGATGTATTAGTCAGGGCTCTCTAGACAGACAGAACTAACAGGATAGATACACATATAAAGGGGAGTTTATTAAGGAGTATTGACTCACACAATCACAAGGGGAAGTCCCACCATAGGCCATCTGCAGGCTGAGGAGCAAGGAAGACAGACTGAGTCCCAAAGCTGAAGAATTTGAGTCTGATGTTCGAGGGCAGGAAGCATCCACCGTGGGAGAAAGATACAGGCTGGGAGGCTAAGCCAGTCTGATCTCTCCACATTCTTCTGCCTGTTTTTATGCTGGCCATGCTGGCAGCTAATTAGATGGTGCCCACCCAGATTGAGGGTGGGTCTGCCTTTCCCAGTCCACTGACTCAAATGTTAATCTCCTTTGGCAACACCCTCAGAGACACACCCAGGAACAATACTTTGCATTCTTCAATCCAATCAAGTTGACACTCAGTATTAACCATCACATAAGGCAAATGTTGAGCTGTAACCAATCTGGCTATTTCTGTACCTCACTTCCATTTTCTGTACATCACCTTCCCTTCTCTGTCCATGAACTTTCCACCATGTGGCTGCACTGGAGCCTCTCACAGAGCCCCTCTCTGCACTGGAGCCTATTCTGGTTTAAGGGCTGCCTGATTCACGAATCATTCTTTGCTCTATCACACTCTGTTATATGTAATTATTTATTTATTTATTTATTTATTTTTTGAGACAGAGTCTCACTCTATAACCCAGGCTGGAATGCAGTGGCATGATCTGGGCTCACTCCAACCTCTGCCTCCCGGGTTCAAGTGACGTACAGGGGGTGCAGGATAAGGAGGCCCCCCCCAGGGTGAGACCCTGTGTTTTCTCTGAACAGAATTTTGTTCTTGAGTACACAATGCCATCTTGGATGTACTGCTAGGGGTTTTATTTTTATTTATTTGTGTATTTATTTTTTGAGGCATGGTCTCATTCTGTCACCCAGACTGGAGTGCAGTGGTGCAATCATCGCTCACTGCAGCCTCGACCTCCTGGGCTCAAGCAATCCTCCCTCCTTGGCCTCCCAAGTAGCTGAGATGATAGGCATATGCTTGATGTGGGTTTTAAAGAGAAATTGCTTTCTCTCTCCATCTCTGAACACAAATGGGTGAGTACCTATTCTGAAGAGCCTCAGGGATGGGAGAGAAGTTCAAGGGAAGGGAAGGGAAGGGAAAAACTCTGGTTGTGGAAAATGTAGCCAGTTGTATCTTCAATCTGATCTTCTTCCACAAGCAGATACTTCCGTACCATAGTATCCACCTGCCACTGCCTGAGCTGCATGATGTTAGGGAGGAGGTGATAAGGAGGAGCTGGGGATAAAGAGAATATCATCCATAGTTCTCCTACCCTTATTCTTTTGCCATTTGTTGCCCCTGAATTTATTTATTTTTAAATGGCTGGGCATCCCAGTACTTTGGGAGACTGAGGTGGGAAGATCTCTTGAGGCCAGGGATTCAAGACCAGCCTGGGTAACAGAGTAAGACCCCCGTCTATCCAAAAAAAATTAAAACGTAGCTGCATATGGTGGTGCACACCTGTAGTCTAAGCTACTCAGGAGGCTGAGGTGGGAGGATTTCTTGATCCCAGGAATTCGAGGTTGCAGTAAGCTATGATGGCACCACTGCATACCAGCCTGGGTGACAAAGCCAGACCCTGTATCTGTAAAATGGAAAAAAAATCCTCTAAACAGGGAAAAGAGAGTGAAGCTAAGGGATAGAAAACATCCTTTACAACCTGCTTCCCTTGGCCAAGTCCTAGAAATAGAGGAAAAGAAGCAACAAGAAAGTCAACAGGTAGATATGAGGAGTCAGAGATCAGAGAATCCTGGATTTCCTCAAACTAGGCAGAGCCCAGAAAGGCAGCAAGACCCTACCAACAAAAGATCTCATGATGCACAAAGTCCATGAGTTTTCCCACCTCTCAGGGCATCTTAGGTGAAGAGTACTTTTCTTGGATGCCCAACAGCAGCACAGACTTGGCACAAAACTCCATGAGAGATGAAGGGGCTGGGCAAAAAAGAGTTAACATAGCAGGTCAGAGACTTGTCCTTAGAGAGACTTCTTTGCAAGATTGGCCTTTGGCTGGCATCTGTGAACTTGAATTTTGAAAGAATTTCTCTAACTGATAAGACTGACTCACTGTGCCTAATTGGTTTGAACAAACAATGTGATAAATGCTGAGTACCTGCTTTGCTTATGGGAGCCTGTGCTGAACAGAGGATGCCTATGTGATGAGCCTCCAATAAAAACCTTGGACACTGAGTCTCTAATGAGGCTCCTTGATAGACAGTGTTTCTCACATGTTGTCACACTCTTTCCTGAAGGAGTTAAGCACATCCTAAGTGACTCCACTGATAGAGGACTCTTGGAAGTTTGAACCTGCTTTTCTTGGACTTTGCCCCATATGCTTTTCCCCTTTGATGATTTTGCTGTGTATTCTTTCACTGTAATAAATCATAGACATAGGCTGGTCATGGTGGCTCACGCCTGTAATCTCAGCACTTTGGGAGGCTGAGGTGGGTGGATCACCTGAGGTCAGGAGTTCAAGACCAGCTTGGCCAACTTGTCTCTACTAAAAATACAAGAAATGGCTGGACATAGTGGCAGGTTCCTGTAACCCCAGCTACTCAGGAGGCTGAGGTAGGAGAATCACTTGAATCTGGGAGGTGGAGATTGCAGTGAGCTGAGATTGTGTCACTGCACTCCAGCCAGGGTGACTCTATCTCAAAATAAATAAATAAATTAATTAATTAATCATAACATAAAGACAAGTACAGGCTGAAATCTGCAAGTTCTCCTGGTGATTACTCCAGCCTGGGGCTGATCTTGGGATCCTCAACAAAGAGGTTGTCCATTAGATCAGAAAGATATAACAAAGAAAAACCTACGTGGACCAAATGTCAAAGTCCAGACAGGTAGGGAGATGCTCTGGAGGACACCAGTCCATATAGATAACAAAGAAGAACCCCTACCACCAGGACTGGACCACCAAGACCCTCGACCCCAGAACTGACTGAGACGACCATGAATCAGCTGAGATAATATTCACACCATTTGGCAGAATGCAGGCTTGTGAGAGAAATTAAGTTCATTTTGTTTTATTTTTATTGATTTATTTATTTTGAGACAGAGTTTTGCTCTTGTTGCCCAGGCTGGAGTGCAATGGCATCATCTTGGCTCACTGCAGCCTCCACCACGCCAGTTCAAGTGATTCTCCTGCCTCGGCTTCCCAAGTAGCTGGGATTACAGGTGCCTGCCACCACGCCTGGATAATTGTTTGTATTTTTAGTAGAGACAGGGTTTTGCCATGTTGGCCAGGCTGGTCTTGAACTCCTGGCCTCAGGTGATTCACCCATCTTGGTCTCCCAAAGTGCTGGGAATACAGTCATGAGTTATCACACCAGGCTGAAATTAAGTTTAATTTTGAAAAATTAAGTTACATTTCTATACCTTTCATACTTGTTCTTGCTATCTTCAAGATATCCAAGGAGAAAATGTGAATCACAGAGGATTAAGGGGAGGCAGTAACACAGAGGTGTAGCTCACCCCAGTTGAGCTAATGTGTTTCCTTACACTACCCAAGAGTATGGAGTCTTAGTCCTCCCATTTTTTTTTTTTTTTGAGATTGAGTTTCACTCTTATTGCCCAGGCTGGAGAGCAATGGTGCAATCTTGGCTCACTGCAAGCTCTGCCTACTGGGTTCAAGTGATTCTCCTGCCTCAGCCTCCCAAGTAGCTGGGATTACAGGCATGCACCACCATGTCTGGCTAATTTTTTTTTGTATTTTTAGTAGAGACAGGGTTTCTCCATGTTGGTCAGGCTGGTCTCGAACTCCCAACCTCAGGTGATCCACCCACCTTGGCCTCCTAAAGTGCTGGGATTACAGGCATGAGCCACTGCGCCCAGCCCCCCAAATCTTTAGACTGTGCCCTTGACAACTGTTGAGTCTGCCTGTGTCTCCATGAGCCTCTATCCATTCCTCCTTACGTTCCCCTCACTTCCATTCCCCCTCATCCTTGTGTCTTTATAACATCCCTGGCTCCACATTCTCCAGTTAAATTGTTCTAAAAAGTGAGCCAGTCCCACCTGTCTCTTGTATCTGGTACCTCTTCACAGCATTGGACCTGAGCCAGACGTGATGAGTACCTTGTCCTCTAAGTGGCTCTGCTCTTGGTAGAAAGGAAGGATAGAGCTGGAGGGGACTGCGGAGGAGGAAAAACTGGGAGATAATTTAGTTCCATGTTTCTTTTTTACTTGCATGCACATCATGTGGGCAGAGGGAGGCACCTGGCTCTCCAAGGATTAAGATCCTACCGATGCCCGTTATCAGGTCTACATGCGAGATCCATAATCTCCCAGCTCACTCAGCTTTGGTCTAATGCTTAAAGAACTTTTCCTGAATTTACATCCCTAGATGCTTTACAAGGCAGTCTTCCAGTATCTCAGCACCAGGAAGAGCCGGGCCTAAAAGCCCTGGTCTTCCCCTCCTTATCTCCCATATACCCTGGAAAAGAGACTCATGGAAGGAAGTTTTTTCCACCACATACCACATATTTTGTAAAATGTGGGTTCCTTTAACAATTTCATTTGAGACAAAAGTCCAACCAGGCGTGGTGGCTCATGCCTGTAATTCCAGCACTTTGGGAGGCTGAGGTGGGAGGACCACCTGAGGTCGGGAGTTCGAGACCAGCCTGACTAACATGGAAAAACCTCGTCTCTACTAAAAATATAAAAAATTAGCCGGGCATGGTGGTGCTTACTTATAATTCCAGCTACTGGGGAGGCTGAGGCAAAAGAATGGCTTGAACCCGGAAGGTGGAGGTTACAGTGAGCCGAGATCACACCATTGCACTCCAGCCTGGGCAACAAGAGCGAAACTCCATCTCCAGAAAAAAAAAAAAAAAAAAGTCTTGAGGTTTTAAATGCATAAATCAACAGATTGTTTTATAGTTCTCAACCTAGTGCCCCTCATTTGACAGGGCCCCCCAGTGATATGCTGTGGGAGGACACAGGAGGCAGGAGTTCCTTTGTCCTTCCTACCTTTCTTTCTTTCTTTCTTTCTTTTTTTTTTTTTTTTTTTTTTGGTTTTTGTGTTTTGAGACAGGGCCTCACCTCTGTCTCCCAGGCTGGAGTGCAGTGGTGCAAGCATAGCTCATCTCAGGCTTAAATTCCTGGGTTCAAGAGATTATCTCACCTCCTCCGCTTCTTGAGTAGCTGGGACCACAGATGCATGCCACCATGCCCAGCTAATTTTTAATTTTTTGTAGGAATAGGGTCTCACTGTGTTGCCCAGGTTGCTCTCGAACCTCTGGCCTCAAGTAATCCTCCTGCCTCGGACTCCCAAAGTGCTGGGATTACAGGCATCAGCCACCACACCTGGCCAGGCATGGGAGTTCTTGATGTCAGCCTCAAAGGTGGTACTTTGAACATTCCTAACTTCTCCTTAATAACACACAATACATCTACTATTCATGAGCTTATCTAAACGTTTTCTTGAAGTACTTTATATTGTCAACCTCTAATGTAGTCCTATTTGCCAAAACAGAATTAAGTTTGAAGGTAGTTTGGACCATTGTATAAAGTCCTTGGTCAAGGCCGGGCACCGTGGCTCATGCCTGTAATCTCAGCACTTTGGGAGGCCGAGGGGGGTGGATCACCTGCGGTCAGGAGTTCAGAACCAGCCTCACCAACATGGAGAAACCCTGTCTCTACTAAAAATACAAAATTAGCTGGGCATGGTGGTGCATGCTTGTAATCCCAGCTACGCAGGAGGCTGAGGCAGGAGAATCACTTGAACCCGGGAGGCAGAGGTTGTGGTGAGCCGAGACTGCGCCATTGCACTCTAGCCTGGGCAACAAGAGCGAAACTCTGTCAAAAACAAATAAATAAAAAAAAAGTCTTTGGTCAAGTAATTCCATTGTGGGTCTCTCCCAGAGTCCAATAATGTTTCAAAGTGCCCAAAACCATGAGAGTCCTATTGTTAAACCATAACTGGAACCTACTTTTTCCATTGTAACAGCCTTCCATACCTACCTTTCTCCATTCTATTTTTTTTTTTTTTTTTTTGAGACAGAGTCTCGCTCTGTTGCCCAGGCTGGAGTGCAGTGGTGCCATCTCAGCTCACTGCAAGCTCCGCCTCCCGGGTTCACGCCATTCTCCTGCCTCAGCCTCCCGACTAGCTGGGAATACAGGCGCCCACCACCATGCCTGGCTAATTTTTTTTAATTTTTAGTAGAGACTGGATTTCACCATGTTAGCCAGGATGGTCTTGATCTCCTGACCTCGTGACCCGCTCGCTTCGGCCTCCCAAAGTGCTGGGATCACAGGCGTGAGCCACCGTGCCCGGCCCTTTTCTCCATTCTTACGAGTAGGTTCTTCATCAATTGCCACTTCTAACCTACGTCCACCTACTCCAATAGAATGCCTAATATCAAAGAACTAAAATGCAGTATTGGAAGGCATGATTCCTTTCTATTTTGTCTCACTGGAGTAGCCATTGAACCGGACTTGATATTTCAATTTAATTGCAATGAGAATGCTGTCCTCCACAAAGGTTTTATTCGTCTCCACAACAGCCTCAACACTCTATTTTATCTGAACTTTCTTCATTTTACTCTTTAATGTTAACAGGGCACTTTTATTTTCTGTTCCTTTGAATGTTTTATTTTAATTACCAGATGAATGTTTTTGTACATGAAAGGAAACAGGAAACCAGGCTGAAAACTTCATTTCTTTCAGTAGCATCAAATGTGATGAGCTTTTACGTGAAATACAGCATAATGGGTTACGTTTGATGTGAATAGAGTGTGTGTCTTTTAAAAGAGTAATATTCTAATAATAAGCACAAATTGTAGACAGCGGTTCCCATTTTCCAAAGTGCTCTTCTGGTCATGATCTCACCCTGTGAAAAATGAGGGTCAATAGAATTATAGTCACTTTATAGATATAAGAACAAGCTAAGTGCCTGGGGCCATTCACAGACAGTCCCATTCTCTGGCTGTGGTGTCATGATGCTATCCAATCAGGGCAGTCTGACATCTAAAAGGTATTCACACCAAACTTGATCTCCAGTGTCAAAAACACTTCAATTCACACTCACACACACATGCACACGAGAGCACACACACACACACAGGAGTGCATGTAAAATGGTTGAAATCCAAATAAGGCCTATGGATTACTCTTAACTCCACACATGATTTGTTACATGAGATGGTCACATAATCTTATATAGAATAAAATTCAACCAAAGCAAGAGATGCCATGGCCTGGGTTATTCTAATGTAAATTTCCTGGTTGTGATATTGTACTATGGTCATTCAAGATATTACTATTGGGAAAACTGTGAATCTATAATTTTATTTATTTATTTTTTTGAGACAGGGTCTCACTCTGTCACCCATGCTGGAATGGCGTGATCTCGGCTCACTGCGACCTCTGCCTTGTGGAATCAAGCAATTCTCCTGCCTCAGCCTCCTGAGTAGCTGGGATTACAGGTGCATGCCACCATGCCCGGCTAATTTTTGTATTTTTTTTTAGTAGAGATGCGGTTTCACTATGTTGGCCCGGCTGGTCTCGAACTCCTGACCTCAAGTGATCTGCTTGCCTCGGCCTTCCACCTATAGTTATTACTTCCACCGATGTTAGTTAAATTTAATTTTTTTATGTCCTTTATTTTTCAGCAGGATGTCTAAATTTGCTTTTCCAAAATAAAAGACTCAATCATCAATTACACACACACACACACACACACACACACACACACAATGCATTGCTCCACTACATGAGGGAAGTAATGGCATACTTTTGTCTTATATGTTATTTTTTAGTGATGACTTCTAAAGTTATTACCACAATGAATTCCCAGAATAAAATAAAATGAAAATTTATTTCAAAGGATTGGGGCAGTGGGTGACATCTCATATAAAATTTAACAGGGTTAAGCATAAAGCAGACACGTAGATTTTAGTGATTGAAACCACACATGATTCATTGCATGAGATGGTCACATAAACTTATATAGAACAAAACTCAACCAAAGCAAGAGATGCCATGGCCTGTTTACATCCACATTAGCAATATAATATCCATAATATTATTCTCTTCAAGTTGGGGCATCATAGTTTGAGAGGGGCATCAATTAACAAAAGTTGAAAACCAAAGAGAATGACAAGATTTCTCATCATGAAGAAATAGTGCGGAAATATTTCATCAGGACCAGGTGCAGTGGATCGTGCCTGTAATCTCAGCACTTTGGGAGGCCAAGGCAGGAAGATTGCTTGAGGCCAGAAGTTTCAGACCAGCCTGGCCAACAAAGCGAGATCCCTTTTTCTACTGAAAATTTAAAAAACTGCCAGGTATGGTGGTGCATACCTGTAGTCCCAGCTACTTGCTAAGCTGAGGCAGAAAGATCACTTGAGCCCAGGAGTTTGAGGCTACAGTGGGCTGTGATAGCATCGCTGCACTCCAGCCTGGGAAACAGAGTGAGAACCTGCCATTATAGAAAACAATTAATCTGGAGAAATAGAAATAGAGCTGTAAATGGAGCTTGGGAGCTGTCTTCTCATATTTCAAAGGCTGTCATGAGGAAACAAGATTAAATCAATCTACAGAAATTAAAGCTAAGATCAGTGATAAGAATTAGGGAATGGACCATTTGACTCGATATAAGGAAGACTGAGAGTCTCATTAAGACTTGTCAGCTTCAACTATGTCCCCAGATGGCCTTCTATGTGGCTGGAAGTCCCTACCATTTATGTCACTCCTTCAGGATAGGGTAGCTTTGTCAAGAGGTTCATATTAATGGTTTACCTGAAAAGGATAACCTCTCAAATCATTAGTTCCAACTCACACATTTGCAGATTAATTTCAGAAACAAGCTGTCACCTAGGAGAGCAGAAAGAATGTTTCTAAAAGAATGTGACACCACACAACCATGCAGCCCAAGTGAGCCTGCAAAGACAGCTGTGTTAGGGGAGGTGGGGTTGGGAGGAAAAAACACATTCAACAGGATGCACCCATTGAAGGTTTTTCCTCCAAAATCCCGTTTGCAGACAAAAGGGGCTTCTACTACATCCCCTTCTTTTCCAAGATGAGTGGTTCTAGAGAACCTCTTAACTTTAAACACACACACACACACACACAATGAATGCACGTAATGGGGGGGGAGGGGAATCTCAGTCAGGTCCTTAGATTATCCTGGTGTCAATTTCCCAATTGTGATATTGTACTATCATCATATAACAGGTTATCATTGGGAGGAAGCTGGGTGAAGGGTACACAGGACCTCTCTCTATTATTTCTTGTAACTTCAAGTGAATCTATAATTATTTTAAAATAATAAGTTTCGTGCTCGCCTCAACAGCACATATACTAAAATAACAAGTTTAAGGAGGCCAAGGCAGGGGGAACACTTGAGGTCAGGAGTTCCAGAGGAGCCTGGCCAAAATGGCAAAACCCCCTCTCTACTAAAAATACAAAAAAAAAAAAAATTAGCCAGGTGTGGTAGCGGGTGCCTGTAATCCCAGCTACTCAGGAGGCTGAGGCAGGAGAATCACTTGAACCTGTGAGGCGGAGGTTACAGTGAGCTGAGTTCACGCCACTGCACTCCAACCTGGGTGACAGATCAAGAGTCCATCTCAAAAAAAAAAAACCTCTAAATTTAGTTGAATTTTATTTTTTATCATTTTTATTGTTTCAGCAGTGTATTTAATTTTGTTGACAATATATAGATTCGTTCATGAATTACACATGCCAATACCCAAAATATCCAGCACCACCACAACAAGTCATTAGAGAGTTCAACCCACTCCATTTATCACTCCTCCACCCTTTCCTCCCAAGAGAATAGTCAGGAACTCATGGTCACTCCTCAGATAGCAGGGACAGTGCAGAGAGAGAAGAAGGAAATAGGTCAAGCAAAGAAGGAAGAAAAGGAAGAAAGGAAAAGGAGGGAAGAAAGCAAGAAAGAAGAAAAGCCAGCAGCTGTCACTCAGAAAGATAAACATTTTACAGCCCAGCTTGACTGTGTCAAGAACACTTGTGTTTTAATAGTATGCCTGCAAGCTTTCAAAACAAGTGTTTACCTGTCACAATAAACAGTTATGAGTGAGGAACACAAAACAGACAGAACCCAGAGCTGGCAGGTTGCCAGCGCTGCCACGTGCTGCTCTGAGCTGAGCCTGTCATCCAGGCTGCAGCAGCAGTGTCTCTGTCGTCTCTGTCCCTGGAGTCCCCTATCACGCGTCACTGAGCCTGCGGGGTTAGGGGAGGCCATCAGAGTGCCAAGGGCCTGGTAGAACTGGATCGCTGGACGACACAGAGCGGTGGCTGACCAGAGGGCAGCCCACAGAAGCCAACGAGTCACAAGAGATGGGAACCCCCCAAACTTCCGGAAAGGCCCTTTATGGAGCAAAAACAGAAAGTGCCACATACTTCTCATCCTTCCTTTCCTTAAAGGGAGGCTGAGGCAGGAGGATCACTTGAACCCAGGATTTGGAGGTGGCAGGGAGCTATGATCGTGCCACTGCACTCTAGCCTGGGCATCAAAGTGAGACCCTGTCTCAAAAGAAAAAAAAAATCATCCAGGCGCGGTGGCTCACGCTTGCAATCCCAGCACTTTGGGAGGCCGAGGAGGGCAGATCACCTGAGGTCGGGAGTTTGAGACCAGCCTGACCAACATGCTGAAACCCCATCTCTACTAAAAACACAAAATTAGCTGGGCGTAGTGGCACATGCCTGCAATCCCAGCTACTTGGGAGGCTGAGGGAGGAGAATCACTTGAACCCGGGAGGTGGAGGTTGCAGTGAGCTGAGATCGTGCCATTGCACTCCAGCCTGGGCAATAAGATCGAAATTCCGTCTCAAAAAAAAGAAAAAAAATCACTATAGGCTCATGCACAAAGTAAGTAAAATGGCAAATGCCATACCTATATTTATTATATATTTGTAATCTGCTACCAGGAACTGATAATCTCATAAAAACTTTTATGGAGTACTTATACTATGCAAAGAAGCTTTCATATCCATCAGTCCCATTTAATCTGCACAGTAGTCTCTTAAGATAAACCGGGCAAATAGTATCATCCTCATTTTGAGGAAACTGCGTAAGTTACTTTACTACCGAGTCTCCAAATCCAACATCCAATAAACAGACAAGCGAGGATTCCAACACACGAACATATGGTTCAAAATATTGATAGTTCTCAATCCCAGCACTTTGGGAGGCCGAGGTGGGCGGATCACGAGGTCAGGAGATTAAGACCATCCTGGCTAACACGGTGAAACCCTGTTTCTACTAAAAATACAAAAACTTAGCCGGGCGTGGTGGCGGGAGCCTGTAGTCCCAGCTACTCAGGAGGCTGAGGCAGGAGAATGGCATTAACCCGGGAGGCAGAGCTTGCAGTGAGCCGAGATCCCGCCACTGCACTCCAGCCTGGGCAACAGAGCGAGACTCCGTCTCAAAAAAAAAAAAAAAAAAATTGATAGTTCTCAAACCTGGGTGTGCAGAACAAACCCACCTTACTAGTTTAAAATACAGATCCCTAGGCTGGGTGCGGTGACTGACGCCTGTAATCCCAGCACTTTGGGAGGCTGAGACAGGCAGATCACCTGAGGTCGGGAATTCGAGACCAGCCTGACCAACATGGTGAAACCCCATTTCTACTAAAAATAGAAAAATTAGCCAGACATGATGGCGGGAGCCTGTAATCCCAGCTACTCAGGAGGCTGAGGCACGAGAATCACTTAAACCCAGGAGGCAGAGGTTGCAGTGAGCTGAGACTGTGTCACTGTACTCCAGCCTAGGGGACAGAGCGAGACTCTATCTCACAAAAACAAAAAACAAACAAACAAAAGACAGATCCCTATACCTTAACCCTAGGGCCTTAGAGTCAGTAGATGTGGGTAAGTACCCAGGGATCAGCAATTTTAATCATTCAGGAAGCTCATGACAACCAGGTGATTCTGAAGCAGGTATTCAGGGATATGCAATTTGAGAAATGTTGTCCTGGAATCTAAGAAGAAAGATGAGCAGCAGACATCCCAGCCCTTATAAATTTACTATCCAAGCTGAACTGAGCTGTCACAGTAGCAACTAGCCCCGTGTTTGGCTGTTGAGTGCTTGAAATACGGTGAGTGGTACATGTTGAGATGACATTTGGATATATTAGGTTAAATAAAATATGTCACTGAAGTTAATTCCACTGTGATCCCAGCACTTTGGGAGGCCAAAGTGAATGGATCACTTGAGGTCAGGAGCTTCAGACTAGCCTGGTCAACATGGTGAGACCTTGTCTTTACTAAAAATACAAAAATTAGCCAGGCGTGATGGCGTGTGCCTGTAATTCCAGCTACTCAGGAGGCTGAGACACGAGAATTGCTTGAACCCGGGGGGCAGAGATTGCAGTGAGCCCAGATCGTGCCACTGCACTCCAGCCTGGACAACAGAGTGAGACTCTGTCTCAATAATAATAATAATAATAATAATAATAATAATAATAATAATTCCACCCCTTTCTTTTTACTTTTTTAATGTGTTTACTAGACAATTAAAAATTACCCATGAGGCATACACTCTGCCTCGACAAGACAGCGCAGGTCTGCAGGAGTTCAAGGGTTGTATGAATGGCAGATTTCAATACTTTATGACAAAGAAGATTCGGTGACTCTAGGAAGATGCCCAGGAGGTGTTTTCCCCTGCCCAATCTAGTCTCAGGGATAAACAAGGACACAGAGGAAAGGTGGGAACGGCTGCAGAAGGAACGGCCACAGTGGCAATCAGCCAGGTGAGGTGACTCATGCCTGTAATACCAGCACTTTGGGAGACCGAGGTGGGCCAATCACCTGAGGTCGAGAGTTCAAGACCAGCCTGACCAATATGGAGAAACCCCATCTCTACTAAAAATACAAAAATTAGCCGGGCATAGTGGCAGGCGCCTGTAATCCCAGCTACTTGGGAGGCTGAGGCAGGAGTATCGCTTGAGCCTGGGAGGCAGAGGTTGCGGTGAGGCGAGATAATGTCATTGCACTCCAGTCTGGGCAACAAGAGTGAAACTCTGTCTCAAAAAACAAAAAAATTAAAATTAAAATTAAAAAAAGGAACAGTGGCAATCGGTGATGGCTTCAAAGCATTTGGTGTAACTCTGAAGGGAGCAGAGATGATATGGGAGTAGCAAGCTGGAGCCTGTCAATGAAGACTTCGATGCCATGCCAAGAAGCCTGAAGATGATCTAGAGAAAACTGCCAGTCACCAAGGGAAAAAGGAAAAAAGAAAACAGCAAGATCAAAATTGGCATGGAGACCGTTCACGCTGGCTGCAGTGGGAAGGATGGATTTAAAGGACATGAAATTTCTATCAAAACAACTTAGGGCCGGGCACGGTGGCTCACGCCTGTAATCCCAGCACTTTGGGAGGCTGAGGCGGACGGATCACCTGAGGACAGGAGTTTGAGACCAGCCTGATCAACATGATGAAAACCATCTCTACTAAAAATATAAAAATTAGCCAGCATGGTGGTGGGCACCTATACTCCCAGCTACTGGGGAGGCTGAAGCAGGAAGATAGCTTGAACCTGGGAGGTGGAGGTTGCAGTGAGCCAAGATCAGGCCACTGCATTCCAGCCTAAGTGACAGAGTGAGACTCTGTCTCAAAAAAGGAAAAAAAAAAAGAAGAGAGAAAAAAAAAAAAACCACTTAGTCAGTGACAACAATAGACCAGTAAGTGAAATAAAGACCCAAATTAGAGTAGTGCTTGAAAGTTCGGAGAGTAAGCCACAGAACCAAGAAACTCAAGAAATCCTTTAGGAGAGGTAAGCTCGGTGGCGTGTGCCTGTAATCCCAGCTACTCAGGAGGCTGAGGCAGGAGGATTGCTTGAGCCTAGGAGTTCGAGGCTGTTGTGTGTGATTATCGCACCTGTGAAATAGCCTCTGCATGCCAGCTTGGGCAATATAGACAGACTTTGTCTCTAAAAACAAAATAAAATAAAATTTACAAATGAAGAAATAAGAAATGCTTATGAGATAAAAATTGGCAAAGCTTGCTGTCTCTGAGACTCCACTGAAATCCAAAGACATAAATAGATTGAAAGTGATAGGATGGGCTGGGTGCAGTGGCTCACACCTATAATCCCACCACTTCCGGAGGCCAAGGTGGGTGGGTAATTTGAGGTCAGGAGTTCAAGACGAGCCTGGCCAACATGGTGAAACCCCGTCTCTACTAAAAACACACACAAAAAAGAAAAATTAGTCAGGCGGTAGTGGCACGCACTTGTCATCCCAGCTACTTGGGAGGCTGAGGCAAGAGAATCGCTTGAGCCTGGAAAGTGGAGGTTGCGGTGAGCGGAGATCATGCCACTGCACTCCATTCTGGGTGACAGAATGGAGAAAAAAAAAAGGGGAAAGTGATAGATTGGAAGAAAATACTGTATGCAAATAATAACCAAAAGAGAGCAGGGGTGGCTATACTAATATTAGACAAAATAGACTTTCAGTCCAAAAAGTTTACAACAGGCAAAGAACATTATATGTTAATAAAAGGCACAATGCAGCAAGAAAATATAAGGATTATAAACATGTATGTACCTCATAACAGACCATAAAAATATACAAAGCAAAAACTGATAGAATTGAAGGGCGAAATAGACAGTTCTACAATAATAGTTTGAGACTTCAATACCCCATTCTCAATAATGGGCAGAACAATCGGACAGAAGATAAGTAAGAAAATAAATGACTTGGCTGGGTGTGGTGGCTCATGCTGGTAATCCCAGCACTTTGGGATGCCGAGGCAGGTGGATCACGATGTCAGGTGTTGGAGACCAGCCTGGCCAACGTGGTGAAACCCTGTCTCTACTAAAAATACAAAAATTAGCCACGTGTGGTGGCACACACCTGTAATCCTAGCTACTCAGGAGGCTGAGGCAAGAGAATTGCTTGAACCTGGGAGGCAGAGGTTGCAGTGAGCCAAGATCACGCCACTGCACTCCAGCCTGGGCAACAGAGCGAGAGTCTGTCTCAAAAAAAAAAAAAAGAAAGAAAGAAAGAAAATAGAGGACTTAACACAATAAACCTACTAGATCTAACAGACATATACAGAACACTCTATTCAACAACAACAGTATACACATTTTTCTCATTGTACGTGAAACATTTTCCAAGACAGCCCATATGTTAGGCCACAGATTAACTCAAAATGTGTTATATACATTCAATAGAATATTATTCAGCCTTAAAAAGGAAGGAAATTCTGACATATGCTATAATATAAATAAATCTTTTTTATTTATTATTTTTTTTTTAGACAGAGTTTCACTCTGTCTCCCAGCCTGGAGTGCAGTGGTGCTGTCTCCAGGCTGGTCTCGAACTCCTGACCTCAGGGGATCCACCTGCCTCGGCCTCCCAAAGTACTGGGATTAAAGGCATGAGCTACCGTACCCAGCCAAATAAATCTTAAGGACATTATGCTAAAAAAAAATAAGCTGATTACAAAAGACAAATACTGTATGATTCCACTTATATGAGGGAATTGACATAGTCAAATTCATAGAGACAGAAAATAGAATGGTGGTTGCCAGGGGCTGGCATAGGGAGGATGAGGAGTTATCGTTTAATGGGTATAGGGTGAAGGAGTTAAGGCTGTGTCACCCCAAAATATGCCCAATTTGCATATTGATTATTTTGATTTGAAGACATTGGAGAAACTGCAGTTTCAGAAAGGGCTAGCTGACTGTCTCTTCCTGCATGCAGAAAGCCATAAAGATTCCTTCCGCATACCAGAAGGAGAACACAGCCCTTATTACCAGAGACAGGGAACTGAGCACTGCATTGGACCTGAATAAATAAACTTACCGAAGTAACCCTTATCTTCCACTAGTTCTGCACACTTCCATGTATCTCCTAGTGACTCCTAGAAATTTACTGTCCCTGGCCTGATCTCCTATGTCCTGTCATTTCTTCTCTAATTTATCCTTCTTTGTCTAAAAAGTATAAAAGCATCTTGCTTTGACCACTTCTTCAGACTTCACTCCCTTGTAAAGATCCCGTGTATACGTAAAACTAATAAAATCTGTACATTTTTCTCTTGTTAATATGCCTGGTGTCAATTTGGTTTCTAGATCCAGCCAAAGAGCTTAGTAAAAGCTAAAGGAGGGTTGAACGTGGTCTCTGGCTCAAAGCTTTCCTTTTTTTTTTTTTTTGAGACAGAGTCTCACTTTGTCGCCCAGGCTGGAGTGCAGTGGCGCCATCTCAGCTCACTGCAACCTCTGCCCGCTCCGGGTTCAAAAGATTCTCCTGCCTCAGCCTCCTGAGTAGCTGCGACTACAGGCGTGCACTACCATGCCCAGCTAATTTTTGTATTTTTTAGTAGAGATGGGGTTTCACATGTTGTTCAGGCTGGTCTCGAACTCCTGACCTCGGGTGATCTGGCCGCCTTGGCCTCCCAAGGTGCTGGAATTACAGGAGTGAGCCACCGCGCCCAGCCAAGGGATTCCATTTTGCAAGATGCAAAGAGTTATGGAGATGGATGGGAGAGATGGTTGCACAACAGTGTGAATGCCACTGAACTGTCCACTTAAAAATGAACATGACTGTAAATTTTATGTTACGTGAATTTTTCTACATTTAAAAAAATGGGGGAAAATGTTGGCGGAGTTGGGTGATTCACTGGATACGGGGAATGGGGGAAGGACTCTGGGCTTTGGTGATGGTGAGGGTGACTGGTGACCACACAAATTGAGCCTGGAGGCCGGGCATGGTGGCTCATGCCTGTAATCCCAGCACTTTGATAGGCCGAGGAGGGCGGATCACCTGAGGTCAGGAGTTTGAGACCAGCCTAGCCAACATGGTGAAACCCCATCTCTACTAAAAATACAAAAATTAGCCAGATGTGTTAGCGGGCGCCTGTAATCCCAGCTACTTTGGAGGCTGAGACAGGAGAATCACTTGAACCTGGGAGAGGAAGGTTGCAGTGAGCCAAGATCGCGCCACTGCACTCCAGCCTGGGTGACAACAGTAAGACTCCATCTCAAAAAAAAAAAAAAAGAAAAGAAAAAGAAAAACAAATTGAGCCTGGGATCCCAGGAGGTAGAGCATGTATCTGCCCATTTGGAATAAGACGATAAATTTAGTCATTTGCAGGTTGCACAATAAGGTTGCACAATATATGACTTTCAAATACACGTATCACTATTGAATAAGTTGGAAATGTGAGCTGGACGTTCAGACACGAGTAGAATGTTATTAATATTTGGGGGTCATTTGTGCAGAGAGTAATCCAGACCCCAGAGTAGATGGAGATCACAATGGGAGAAGCCAAGTACAAGCCTAGAGCCAAGTACAGAATCCTGGGTCATAGCAGTGTTTGTTTCTGAAATTCAGCATTGTTCAGCCTAAATAGTACCACACACTCATTTGATTCATGTCTACCCTACTGGCTCAGGTGAGCTCATGGGCCCAGGACGGAAGTCATTTCTGAGACATTTTCCTGTATTGTTATGGGATAGATTTGCACATATGGACTTGCCCAGGTAAACTCAAGAAGAGTTAGGAGGCCGGACACAGTGGCTCATGCCTGTAATTCCAGCACTTTGGGAGGCCAAGGCCGGTGGATTTCTTGAGGCCACAAGTTTGAAACTAGCCTGGCCAACATGGTGAGACCTGGTCTCTACTAAAAATACAAAAAACACTTAGCCAGGCATGGTGGCACATGCCTGTAATCCCAGCTACTCAGGAGTCTGAGGCAGGATAATTGCTTGAACCTGGGGGTGGAGGTTGCAATGAGCTGTGATCGCACCACTGCACTCCAGTTTGGGTGACAGAATGAGACTGTCTCAAAAAAAAAAAAAAGTTAGGAAAAGACATTATATTCCTCTGTTTCTAGAAATCATTGTACAATTTTTTCTTGTTGGCTGAAATTGCACAGAAAAACACAATGCAACTGAGGTTTTTCCATGTCTTTTCAAGTCTCTTAATAGAAGGGAAGTTTCAGAGAACAGAGATACATATTCAAAATTCTTTTGCATCTTCATCCTACTCCTGCCCTCAGGGATTAGCAGAGTGACAGACAAGTAAGAAAACATCATCTTGAGAAGTAGGCTTTCTGTTTTTTCTTTTTTCTCCTTTCTTTCTTTCTTTTTTTTTTTTTTGAGATGGCTCTGTCACCCAGGCTGGAGTGCAATGGCACCATCTCGGCTCGCTGCAACCTCTGCCTCCCAGGTTCAAGTGAGTCTCCTGCCTCAGCCTCCCGAGTAGCTGGCATTACAGGTGCCTGCCATGACACCCGGCTAATTTTTGTATTTTTAATAGAGACAGGGTTTCACCATGTTAACCATGCTGGTCTGGAACTCCTAACCTCAAGTGATCCGCCCACCTCGGCCTCCCAAAGTGCTGGGCTTACAGGTGTGAGCCACCAGGCCCCGCCAGAGGTAGGCTTTCAATAAATATTTGCTCAAAAAAAAAATCTATACCCCCATGAACATATGTTGCAATTATAACAAATGAATGGATGACTATTCTGTTAAGTGCCCTTGGGCTATATCAATAGAGTATTAAAATAGTTACCAACTATTAAAGCCTCCCTAAGGAAATCCACCCTGTCCTATGATTCAAATAACACCTGAGACAGTGACTTCCAATTTCTTATTTTCATAATTTTCCCTTTAAGTTCCAAAGATGTGTACCTTATTGCCTACTTTGAGGTTTCTACTTTGATGTGTAGAGGGAATCTGAATTAACATAATCAACACAGAACTGTTGACTTTTTTCTTCAAATTCGCTCTTCTCTTTTCTTCCCTAGTTACTGAACCATTTGGTTCAGTAACTCAATTCTTCTAACTCAAACTCAATTATTCTATTTCTTTTATGTCCCCATATCCACCCTAGTAGTCTAAATTGTTCACTCACCCTCATTGTCAATGCCACCTCCCTTGTCCAAGTCACACCATGGACTATGACAATGACAATGGCCTTCGAACTGGCCTCTCTGCCTCTTCTCCTGACTCCTATAGTTCATTCTTTACTCTTTAGCCAAGGAGACCTTTTTAAAATGTAAATCATATTGAGTCACTCCTCACCTGCTTCGTAGTCCAACTTCCTTTATTTAAAACCCTCCAGTGACTTATTGAATTTGAAACAAAATCCAAACTCCCGACTAAGACTTCCTTACAATATCGACCCTGATTTCAATGCTGATATTATTTCCAAGCATTTTCCCTACTTTCACTTTTTCTCTAGCCCTTCTTCCTGCATGAAATATTATTCACATGACTGACTCCTTGCTATTTATAATGCAAGGTAAATGACACCCTCCTCAAAGGTACCTTCCCCAATCACCTAAACTAATTTTAGCCCATACAGATCAGCTCTACCATATATTAAAAAATAATGCAAAACATCTATAACTAAAACAGTGTGGCCCTTGCCAATTAGTAGACAAATAGACCAATGAGACAGAATAAACAGCCTAGAAATCTGGGCATGGTGGCTCATGCCTGTAATCCCAGCACTTTGGGAGGCCGAGGCAGGCGGATACCTGATGTGGGAGTTTGAGACCAGCTTGACCAACATGGAGAAGCCCAATCTCTACTAAAAATACAAAATTAGCCAAGTGTGGTGGCGAATGCCTGTAATCCCAGCTATTTAGGAGGCTGATGCAGGAGAATCGTTTGAACCGGGGAGGCAGAGGTGACAGTAAGCTGAGATTGCACCATTGCACTTTAGCCTGGGCAACAAGAGGTAAACTCCGTCTCAAAAAAAACAAAAAACAAAACAAACAAACAAAAAAAAATAGCCTAAAAATAGACCCATCTCCATATGGAAATTCACTATATGAGAAAGACCCACCTCAAATTTCTGGGGAAAAAATGACTTTGAAATTCAGCGATGCTGGAATAACAGAATAGCCATTTGGAAAAAGGTAATAATGAATTCACACTCACATTATGCACCAGAATAAACTCCAGATAGATCAGAGCTACAAATGTAAAAACTAAAACCATCTAAGTACTAAAAGAAAATATGAGTGGATCTCTTCATGGCCTGAATGTAGAGAAAACCCTTGTAACTCCGACTCAAAATCCAGTTGCAATAAAATAAGATTGATTGGCCAGGTGAGGTGGCTCATGCCTGTAATCCCAGCACTTTGGGAGGCCAAGGCAGGTGGATCACCTGAGGTCAGAAGTTCAAGACCAGCTTGGCCAACATGGTGAAACCCTGTTTCTGCTAAAAATACAAAATTAGCCAGATGTGGTGGTGGGTACCTGTAGTCCCAGCTACTCGAGACACTGAGGCAGGAGAATCACATGAACCCGGGAGGCGGAGGTTGCAGTGAGCCGAGATCGCCCCACTGCACTCCAGCCTGGGTGACAGAGTGAGACTCAGTCTCAAAACTAAAATAAAATGAAATAAGGTTGATCAATTCAACTCCATCAATTTTTTAAAAACTTAAAAAAAAAACTTAAAAAATTTTTAAAAATACTTTTGCACATGTATTGCCGCATAACAAATCAGTCCAAAACTCAGTAGTGTAAACCACAATTGTTCATTACAGCTCTGTCATCTCTGGGTCAGCTAAAATGAACCGGGCTCTGCCAGGCAGCCTCTCCATTGGGCTCACTTATGCACTTATCGAGTACTGGAGGTTGGCTGATCTGCATTGGACTCAGCTGGGATGCCTCTATTACATGCATCTTTTCCTCCTTGAGCCAGCAAAAGAGCTGACGCATATTCTTCTCAAAGTGAAGTCAGAGATACAGAGAGGATAATGACAAAAAACTACCTATCAGGTACTATGCTTATTACCTGGATGATGAAATAATTTGTACACACAATTTATCTAGATAACAAATCTACACACATGTACTGCTGAACCTACTATACACGGTTTTAAAAAGTAAATAATAAATAAAAATGATCTTCCAGCCATCCAGAGGTTATGCTTTTATGAAAGCAATTGAGGGCTGGGAGCAGTGGCTCACGCCTGTAATCCCAACACTTTGGGAGGCTGAGGCAGGCAGATCACGAGGTCAAGAGATCAAGATCAGCCTGGCCAACATGTGAAACCCCATCTCTACTAAAAATACAAAAAAGTTATCTGGGCATGGTGGCACACACCTGTGGTCCCAGCTACTCGGGAGGCTGACGCAGGAGAATCAGTTAACCTGGGAGGTGGAGGTTGCAGTGAGCGGAGATTGCGCCACTGCCCTCCAGCCTGGTGACAGAGAGAGACTCCGTCAAAAAAAAAAAAAGGGAAAAATAAAGCAACTGAGGCCACAGGTCCTCCAAGAGATCCAAAGACAATCTTTAAGACCAGGTGCAGTGGCTCATCCCTGTAATCCCAACACTTTGGGAGGCCAAGGCAGAAGCGTCTCTTGAGGGCAGGAGTTCAAGACCAGCCTAGGTAACACAGCAGACTCTCATATCTACAAAATAAAAAAAGACATTTTTTAAAAAGACCCAAGAGAATGAATGGCTGGGCGTGGTGGCTCACACCTGTAATCCCAGCTCTTTGGAAGGCCGAGGTGGGTGGATCACTTGAAGTCGGGAGTTCGAGACCAGCCTGACCAACATGGAGAAACTCTATCTCTACCAAAAATATAAAATTAGCCAGGCGTGGTGGTGCGTGCCTGTAATCCCAGCTACTTGGGAGGCTGAGGCAGGAGAATCGCTTGAACCCGGGAGGCGGAGGTTGCGGTGAGCGGAGATCGCGCCATTGCACTCCAGCCTGGGCAACAAGAGCGAAACTCTATCTCTAATAATAATAATAATAAATAAACAAGAGAAACAATTAAATTCTGAAGCGACAGAACAATTATGCACCAGCAAGATTTTCGGTAGGTTGTACAGTAGTTTCTACCATACATAGAAACTGGAGAAAACCCAGAGGAACTCATATGTTTGAAGGAGTCAGAACAGTTTATTACTAAGCATATAAAACCCAGTCAATCTTCTATTGTTCAACCCTTAGTTCTCATTGACCAGGAAGCCCCCTGACCGATACTGGGTGTTGTTGAATGACTTGAACAGCACAGCCACAGAAGGTCCTAATATATCCTGGGCATTAGCATCAAAGGGTCCGGATTGTCCCAGACCCAATTTGAGAAGGAGCAAGAACCCCTCTGAGGCACTTGTGGGCGCCCCCATGCATGGAAATAAAGGAGAATCCTGAGTTCCTTCCAGGGAAGTTCCAGGTACCTAGCTAGCTAGCCCTGAGAAGTGCATAAGCAACTCGATAAGCAAGAAGGTAATTGTAGCTTAAAACAACATCGAAGGAAGCTGGAGACACGAGATGCCTTGTTCCCTATAGAAACGAAAGATAACATCTGAACATATGTCCCTGAGTTGTTTTTCAGAAACGTGGACCCCACCGAGTGGATCCCCTGGCACACAGAACTCAGATAAGGGGAAAATGAGAACCGAAACCTGACCCCTCCGCACCCCCCATCCCCCCACCCCACCCCCACCCATTCTTTGTTCTGAGTTTCTTCCTAAGGAGCCTGGAGGAGGTCTTACCCACAGGCCAGAGCTAGCATTCTTTTCTGCTGACCCCAAATTTTTACTTTATTTTATTTTATTTATTTATTTTTGTTATTATTATTTTTTGAGACAGAGTCTCGCTTGGTTCCCCAGGCTGGAACGCAGTGGCACGATCTCAGCTCACTGCAACCTCCACCTCCTGGGTTCAAGTGATTCTCCTGCCTCAGCCTCCCCAGCAGCTGGGACTACAGGTGCCTCCCACCACACCTGGCTAATTTTTGGTATTTTTAGTAGAGACAGGGTTTTGCCATGTCGGCCAGGCTGGTCTCGAACTCCTGGCCTCAAGTGATCTGCCCGCTTTGGCCTCTCAAAATGCTGGGATAACAGGCATGAGCCACCGCGCCCGGCCCGACCCCAAATTTTTAGGTAAATCTTCGCCTCCTTAACCAGTCACAAATCAGAAAAATCTTTGAATCCACCTATGACCTGTGGGCCCCTGCCTTGAGATATCCCCACCTTTTTAGGTCAAAATAGTGTAGTGGCTCCATGTACTGATTTATGATTTGACCTGTAACTTCTGCCTCCCTTTAATCATCTTTATCTGTTAGCCATGGGGGAGTTCGAGTCTTTAGCTTGAACTGCCTGATCTCCTTGCTTGCTGCCCTGCAATAAATGACTCACTTTCTCTCACTGTGATTCCGATGTCAGTGTTTACCTTTGCTGCACCAAGGGAGACCCAAGTTCGGTTTAGTAGCAAGTTCATCTAAATTTGTAGCATTGGCAATTTTGAATCCACCAGACACTTACCCCTGAGGGGTGGAGGGTGGATTGGAGGTAGACACAATGTGAGTCATATAAGTGAATCCAGAGGATATAGAATTTTAGATGGTGGAAAAGATGAAGAAAAAGAGGGAACAGATACCAGCACCATTAAGGGAAACAATTTAATATGAAACATTTGAAAGTTTCGGGATACTCCTGCAATTAGGCAATTGAGAGAACTGCTAAGAATTTTATATTTATTTATTTATTTATTTATTTTATGAGACAGAGTTTCACTCTTGTTGCCCAGGCTGGGGTCCAATGGTGCGATCTCAGCTCACTGCAACCTCTGCCTCCTGGGTTAAAGCGATTCTCCTGCCTCAGCCTCCAGAGTAGCTGGGATTACAGGTGCACGCCACAACGCCTGGCTAAATTTTTGTATTTTTGGTAGAGACGGGGTTTCACCATGTTGGCCAGGCTGGTCTCGAACTCCTGACCTCAGGTGATCCACCTGCCTCAGCCTCCCAAAGTGCTGAGATTACAGGTGTGATCACTGCGCCCAGCCTAGAATTTTATCATCAGCTTTGCAGTTTGCATTTTAATTCCTACCATTACCTGTGAGTGAGTGGTTCTGCCCATGCACATGTGGTCTGAGTTTTTCCAGGCCCCTTGGTCTTTGGCTGTGATGAAGCCAGACAAGTGCCCTCAGGAGAGTTTGCTAGTGTAAGATCAATGCAGGCTGGGCACAGGGGTTCACGCTTGTAACCCCAGCACTATGGGAGGCTGTGGCAGGCAAGTCACTTGAGGCCAAGAGTTCGAGATCAGCCTAGCCAACATGGCGAAACCCCATCTCTATTTAAAAAATACAAAAATTAGCCAGGTGTGGTGGTGCAAGACTGTAGTGCCAGCTACTTGGGAGGCTGAGGCACGAGAATCGCTTGAACCTAGGAGGCGAAGGTTTCAGTGAGCAGAGATCGTGCCATTACACTCCAGCAACAAGAGCAAAACTCCATCTCAAAAAAAAAAAAAAAAAAAGAAAAAAAGAAAGAAAGATCTCCAACATGGAAGGAGAGGATGATATTATGAGCCTGAAGAGAGGCCTAGGTGTCTTTCTATCTTCCCAAGTTTCCCAACAAAGCATTTTGCATAGAGATGCTTAATAAATGCTGGTTCTGGAATTTTCTGGAGGTAGGTGGGAGAGTTCTAGATCAGCAGCTGCAGCAGCACTAATGAGTATTTACTGAATATTTCCGGGAGCCTGGCACTTTGCCCAGTACCGGTGGCCTGGATCCTTCATCCTTCCTCATTCCTCAGCTGAGCAGAAAACAGGGACCATCTTTAAGCCAAAGACAGAAAATAATCAAAATTCCACCTAACATGTTCCTGTTTAAGCTGTTTATGTAAAAAGATAGGGAATGGGCATGGTGGCTCATGTCTGTAATCCCAGCAATTCGGGAAGCTGAGGTGGGCAGATCACTTGAGGTCAGGAGTTCAAGACCAGCCTGGCCAATATGGTGAAGCACTATCTCTACTAAAAATACAAAAATTAGCCAGGCACGGTAGAAGGCGCCTGTAATCCCAGCTATTCGGGAATCTGAGACATGAGGATTGCTTGAATCCAGGAGGCGGAGGTTGCAGTAAGCTGAGATGGCACCATTGCACTCTAGCCTGAGAGACAGAGGAAGATGCCATCTCAAAAAAAAAAAAAAAAAAAAGTGGCTGATTCAGTGCCCAGTGCAGTGGCTCACATCTGTAATCCCAGCTACTGGAGAGGCAGGAGAATCCTTTGAACCTGGGAGGTGGACATTGCAGTGAGCCGGGATCACACACACTGCACTCCAGCCTGGGCAACAGGGCAAGACTCCATCTCACAAAAAAAAAAAAAAAAAAAAGAGAAAAAAAAAAAAAAGAAGAAGGTTGGGGCCGGGTTGTTGCTCATGCCTGCAATCCCAGCACTTTGGGAGGCCGATGTGGGAGGATCACCTGAGGTCAGGAGTTTGAGACTTGCCTGGCCAACATAGCAAAAACCTGTCTCTACTAAAAATGTAAACAATTAGCCAGGTTTGGTGGTGCACCCTTGTAGTCCCAGCTACTCAGGAGGCTGAGGCAGGAGAATCGCTTTAACCCAGGAGGCAGAGGTTACAGTGAGCCGAGATTGTGCCATTTCACTCTAGCCTGGGTGACAGAGTGAGACTCTGTTTCAAAAAAAAAAAAAAAAAAAAGGGAAGGGAAGGAAGGAAAAGGGAAGTGCCGGAAGAATTTTAAGTATATAAATGTACTAATCCTATGATAGACTATTTCAAGATACCTCAGCTTCCCAAACCATCACCCCCATCTCTTGGCACTTTTTGCTCTCCTCACCTTTGGGTCTGTTATATTCCTAAATAAGGAGGTTTTAGGTTTTCACTTTCCAAAAACTGCAAGTAACAAAAATAGGTTAATTAGGCTGTACTTAGTCACATAGAAAAGGGATCCCTGGCTTTGTAAAAGATTTGACTGTGGGGTTAATTTAAATAGAATAATTTCCTTCTGTTTTTCAAACGTGATCAGATTTACATGCAGCTTCTTTTGGGCAAGATGAAGTACAGCCATAAAGGGATTCTGTAAATATCTCTGTTAAATTACAAGTTGCAGAAATGTATTCACTTCAGTGCGTTGGAGTTCAAGTCATAGTGTCCCAGGATTCATAGATTAAATTAAAAGATGGAGGGAGAACTGGACCAACTCAAGTGGCCTTGGGCAAATCACAATTCCACCATATACATCAGTTTCCTTATCTGTAACATAATGAGATAGGGCTAAATTTCTCCTCTGGATTTCTCAAGTTTATAAATTGGTGAATTATTCATTTCCTATTTGTGATTTTTTTTTTTTTTGGCCTTGGATTAATTCAGAAGAACTGAATGCATTTACAGACGTATCCATTTCCATTCAATAAAATTTACCTGCCAGGCTCTGGGTGCCCATGAGACCGAGATGAATACGATGAGGGGACCCCTCCCTGGAAGCTGATAGGAGAGGGCTATTGAAGGCAGGCTAAGGAAAAAAAAGTAGAAAGAGGATCTCTATCTGGGTGACAGCAGAGCATATTAGAAAACATCTGAGCCAACTCTCGAACCACGGCAGAAAATAAGGACGGACAAGGAGGTTTGACACAGTTCATTGGAAAGCTTAAACATGGTGTTAGCTCTGCCCAAGCGTTAACTAATGCTCAGTACTGGGTTAACTCTTCAGCTTCACCAAATGTAACACTGAACCTCTGAGGAATCTTAAGGAAGGAACTTTCCCCGTGGTTTACTACCAGCCTGGGAAGAGAGAATGGGAAATTCTCCTATTCCAATAGCAAATCTGATCAGCTTCCTTGTCCACAATGTTAACTTCCAATCAAGGTATAGAAACCTGGCTTCATTAATTTTAATGTATCGTTGGAACAGGCTGAACAAGAACTCTTGCTAACATGGGCTTGCCCAAGCAAGATGCCATACATCCTTCTGAGCAGGAAAGAAATCCTTGGAAAAAAATTTTAAATGTATGACATGTCAAGGCCAAATTAGAATTAAAAAAAAAATCTCTTTGGAATCTCTGGTTTTCTCAAGTCACAATTTACAATCTACATTTCAAGGTCAATTGAACCACTTGATGGCCAATTTGGGGACAAGGAAAGAGCTACATGAGAAATTATAAATGGGCACGAGGGTTTCCGACACCAACCAGACTCTCGCAGCCACACTTGACTGGGTCTCTAATGATCTCAGGTCATTCCAAAAAGCTCAGGTCAAAGGGCTCTGTGAGCACAGGGACTGTTGATTTAACACCAGCCTGTTGACATCCATTCTGCTCACTCTGTGGGCGGAATTTAAATGTGGAAGTATGGCACTAATGAGCTGGCAAGGGGGAAAAATAAATAGGGATTTAAAGTGTTTGTGGAAACCTGACCCTTCTCTGAGAGTCAGCGGTTCTCTTTGCAATTCTAAGACATCCATCCTGTTTTAGAGACAACACTCTCAGTCCTGTAATGGGGACTGAAGGGAGTTAGGACTTGAAGTAAACATCTGCAGGATGGGAAAGATGGCTTAAAGGTAACGTTATGAGAGGGATAGCCATCCATGAAGATTTGGGTGGTCATTTTGGGAAGGATATTAGGGAAAGATGCTTGAGGAATCCCGAAGACAGGATTGGTTGGTGTTTATGTTCAAACATAATGATTCTCACAGATAATGGTTAAGGGAAGCCACATCATTTTTTAGTATAGAAAACAAAATCTGGCTGGGGGCAATGGCTTACACCTGTAATCCCAGCACTTTGGGAGGCTGAGGTAGGTGGATCATGAGGTCAGGAGTTCAAGACCAGCCTGGCCAAGATGGTGAAACCCCGTCTCTACTTAAAAAATACAAAAATTAGCTGGGCATGGTGGCACACGCCTGTAATCCCAGCTACTCGGGAGGCTGAGGCAGAGAATTGCTTAAACCCAGGAGGTGGAGGTTGCAGTGAGCCGATATCACGCCACTGCACTCCAGCCTGGGGATAGAGCGAGACTCGGTCTCAAAAAAAAAAAAAAAAAAAAAGAAAAAGAAAAGAAAAAGAAAAGAAAAGAAAAGAAAACAAAATCAGGCCGGGCACGCTGGCTTATGCCTGTAGTTCCAGCACTTTGGGAGACTGAGGGGGTGGATCACTTGAGCCCAGGAGTTCAAGACCAACCTGGGCAACATAGAAAGAACCTATTGCTACAAAATAAATAAATAAATAAATAAATAAATAAATAAATAAATAAATAAATAAAAATTAGCTGGGCATGGTGGCATGCACCTGTAGTCTCAGCTACTCAGAAGTCTGGAGGTGGGAGGATCACTTGAGCCCAGAGAATTCAGGCTGCAGTGAGCTGTGATTGCACCACTGCACTCCAGCCTGGGCACCAGAGTGAGACCCTGTCTCAAAAAACAAAACAAAACAAAATCTACCTGCAAAGCTAGATTAAGTGCCAACACAGATATGCAAATTCCAATGCATTTGGCTAAACCCAGGGGTGCTGAATCAGAAGTCATTGAGTGTTGTCTTTGCAGAATTGGTCTTAAGATCATGACCTGTTGTATCAGTTGTTCCTAAACTGGAGTATGACTGGAATAGATAAGGAGGCATCAAAATCATCAGGGAGGCCAGGTGCAGTGGCTCATGCCTGTAATCCCAGAACTCTGGGAGGCCGAGGCGGGTGGATCACGTAAGGTCAGGAATTCGAGACCAGCCTGGCCAACATGTTGAAACCTTATCTCTACTAAAAATACAAAAATTAGCCGGCTGAGGTGGCAGGCACCTGTAATCCCAGCTACTCAGGAGGCTGAGGCAGGAGAATAGCTTGGATCCAGGAGGCAGAAGTTGCAGTGAGCCAAGATCGGGCCACTGCACTCCAGCCTGGGTGACAGAGTGAGACTCCATCTTTAAAAAAAACAAAAAACAAACAAACAAACAAACAAAAAAATCAGGACATTTATCAGAAGTGGAAATCTTTAAACTCTGTTTCCAAAGATTTGAGTCTGGTGGTTCTTTGGAAGTTTGATCTTCTCACTGATCAGTTGGAGAAAACTGAGTTGTAGAATACATATTCTTTCCTGATAAATCTTACTAAATTACCCTTGACAAAAACAGGATATAAATGCATGAAAAATTATCACGTGGATGAGCTTGATTGGAAAATCTTTGGCAGCCTATGCAACACGTGCTAACTCACTTTTTGGGGGAGTCCATTTGGAGGACTTCCTTCCTCTTCAATCTTCTGGTTTTCTGGCTGAAACACCCAGTTCCCTGAACGTCATAGAGCTGCCTCTGAACCCACAGCTGAACACGTGCTTTTGCAGTAAAACCCTACAGCTCAGCCCTGCACTTCATCAAGGTGTGCACTCAGCCACAATGCATGCACATGCCCCTAATACATTGTGACACCCTATTACTACAGGGCCTTTATGAGCTTCAAGGGAAATTACATTTTAAATTATAGCATACAAGTATAATGGAGAATCTAATTGTGGCAATGACAGTTTATTTATCAATCATTTATCATTTTGATTTATAAGGTGCCCAGCTTGATTTAAAAGGAGCTAATGTTTAAAAATCTCTAGGCACCCATTCAACCAAATACACACTGAAAGCAACAAAGTGAATAACTCCTGCTTTTCTGCAGCCTTTTGTTCTTTTCCATACCCAAGGCTGAAGCTAGAAGTACAACCAGGTTGATCCCAGGAACCTCCAAGCAGCATCTCAGAACTTCTTGATATCAAATCTCATTTATTGTCGAATTTGGCAGCTATAAACTATCAATGTTAACAGAGAGCCCAGGTTCAGCTGTATTCATATTCTCTTTTTTTTTTTTTTTTTTTTTGAGACAGAGTCTTGCTCTGTCCGCCCAGGCTGCTATGCAGTGGTGCGATCTCGGCTCACTGCAAGTTCTACCTTCCAGGTTCATGCCATTCTCCTGCCTCAGCTTCCTGAGTAGCTAGGACTACAGGCGTCCGCCGCCACGCGTGGCTAACTTTTTGTATTTTTTTTTTTAGCAGAGACGAGGTTTCACTGTGTTAGCCAGGATGGTCTCGATCTCCTGACCTCGTGATCCGCCCGCCTCCGCCTCCCAAAGTGCTGGAATTACAAGCGTGAGCCACTGCGCCCGGCCGCTGTATTAATATTCTTGTAACCCAAGTTCACAAAGCTACAGATTTTTTTTTTTCTTTGAGACAGAGTCTGACTCTGTCGCCCAGGCTGGAGTGCAGAGGTATGATCTCAGCTGACTGCAACCTCCACCTCCCGGGTTCAAGTGATTCTCCTGCTTCAACCTCCTGAGTAGCTAGGATTACAGGCACCTGCCACCACGCCCGGCTAGTTTTTATATTTTTAGTAGAGACAGGGTTTCACCATGTTGGTCAGGCTGGTCTCGAACTCATGACCTTAGGCCATCCACCCACCTCGGCCTCCCAAGGTGCTGGGATTACAAGCATGAGACACTGCACCCGGCCCTTTCTCAGTTCTTTAAGATTCACCCAACGGGGTCTATAGGTGCTAGTCATTAGCCCTTCAAATGCAACTCACTCCATTGTGTAAATTAACTTGACAATATACATATCCCTGCTCCCAAACCATTCCTCCTTGACAACTCTCTATGGGCTTTGTTCTAGGATTTCAGCACCTCTCTGGCACTCAATTTACTCTGATTTAAATCTGACGTCTCCTGCCATGCCTGGCCCTGACACTGGCTCACCCTTTTCTGGGCTTAGCCTTTATATCTCACCGACACAATCTGCCCAACACCTGACTTCACCTTGCCCTGGTTTTCGTTTTCCACCTTGATGTTTTCATTCCAGCTCTGGTAGCTCTGAAGAGCTCACCATGAAGCACGGCACCAGTTGAGCTATCAGAAGTCTTTTCTTTTTTTCTTTTTTTTTTTTGAGACACAGTCTCGCTGTGTCACCCAGGCTGGAGTGCAGTGGCATGATCTCGGCTCAATGTAACCTCCAACTCCTGTGTTCAAGCGATTCTCCTGTCTCAGCCTCCCAGGTAGCTGGGACTGCAGGCACCCGCCACCATGCCCAGCTATTTTCTTTTTTTACTTTTTTAGTAGAGACCGGGTTTCACTATGATGGCCGGGCTGGTCTTGAACTCCTGACCTCGTGATCCGCCCACCTCGGCCTGTCAGAGTGCTGGGATTACAGGTTTGAGCCACTGCACCCAGCCAGAAGTCTTGAGAGGTATGAAGTCCCAGACTTGCTATAGCAACTAATCAAAGTTGGAGTCTTCAAGGTGGGGCCATCCCTAGAGGTCAACTGCAGCAGTCATATAGAGTTTTTCAGAGTATGATTTCTGGTTCAACTCAGCACACCTCTTATAGTGAGCACGTCTTACATGCCAGGCACTAACCTAGGGCTCTGCTTTGAAGAGGTTCTCCCAGGCATTAATTTGTTTGTTTGTTTGTTTTGTTTTTTGAGGCAGAGTCTCACTCTGTTGTCCAGGCTGGAGTGCAGTGGTGCAATCTCGGCTCACTGCAACCCTTGCCTCCCAAGCTCAAGCAATTCTCCTGCCTCAGCCTTCCAAGTAGCTGGGATTACAGGCACTCGCCATACACCTGGCTAATTTTTGTATTTTTAGTAGAGATGGGGTTTCACTATGTTGGCCGGGCTGGTCTCGAACTCCTGACCTCAAGTGATCTGCCAGCCTCGGCCTCCCAAAGTGCTTAGATTACAGGCATGAGCCACCACCCCCAGCCCCTTAAGTTGTTTAATTCCCATCTTCCACCTTCAAAGGTGGCGTGTTTTTTTCCGCTATACCCTACACCCCTCCTACTCAGCACATTCCCCTTTATTTGCTATGTTCAACTACCTCGTTTGGAAAAGGTCTTAGGTCCACCAAGCTGCTACGGTGAGAGAAGAACAGAACCCTCCTTTTCCTTTCTCTGATATCTCTACTAAAGAATGTGATGTGCTTCCAAATATTAGAACACCTGGTTGTCAATAGAAAATCTAATTTCCAAATGCCTTAATAACTTAATAATCATCACTTCTTGAATTAGGCTAAAATGGTCTTGAAGGACTCATTGTCTTCCCCCAGTGAGGAAGACTAATCTCTGAAAATAACAGATGGCAAAATGATCTGCCTTCTTAAGCAGGTTGTGGGCCACTTGGGATTCACACCAAAATCTCCTCATTGTATTGTTTAATATTTAAAAAGGGTCAGGCTCGGTGGCTCACATCTGTAATCCCAGCACTTTGGGAGGCCGAGGAGGGCATATCACTTGAAGTCAGGAGTTTGAGACCATCCTGGCCAACATGGAGAAACCCCGTCTCTACTGAAAATACAAAATTAGCCAGGCATGGTGGCACATGCCTGTAATCCCAGCTACTCAGGAGGCTGAGGCAGGAGAATCTCTTGAACCCAGGAGGCAGAGACTGCAGTGAGCCAAGATTGCACCATTGCACTCCAGCCTGAGCAACAAGAGTAAAACTCTGTCTTATAAAAATAAAATAAAAATAAAAATAAAATATTAGCCAGGTATGGTGGCATGCACCTGTGGTCCCAGCTACTCGGGAGGCTGAGGCAGGAGAATCGCTTGAACCCAGGAGGCAGAGGTTGCAGTGAGCAGAGGTTGAGCCACTGTGCTCCAGCCTGGGCGACAGAGTGAGACTCCCTCCCCAAAAATAAAATAAAATAAAAAGTTCTTTGTGCCTCTGTTGACAACAGTTTGACACCTCCTGAAAAAGTTAAGCATAGAATTATCATAGGATCCAGGCTGGGGGTGGTGGCTCACGCCTGTAATCCCAGCACTTTGGGAGGTTGAGATGGGTGGATCATGAGGTCAGGAGATCAAGACCATCCTGGCTAATATGGTGAAACCCCGCCTCTACAAAAAATACAAAAAAAAATTAGCCGGGCATGGTGGCGGGTGCCTGTAGTCCCAGCTACTTGGGAGGCTGAGGCAGGAGAATGGTGTGAATCCGGGAGGCAGAGCTTGTAGTGAGCCGAGATCACGCCATTGCAACTCCAGCCTGGTGGACAGAGAAAGATTCCATCTCAAAAAAAAAAAAAAAAAAAAAAGAATTATCATAGGATCCAGCAATTTTACTCTTAGGTATACCCCAAAAGAATTAAAAACAGGTACTCAAATAAGTATGTAGCACACATATTCATAATAGCATTATTCACAATAGCCAAAAGGTGAAAACAGCCAAGAAGTCCGTCAACAGATGAATGGATAAACCAGTGGTGGTATATCCATGCAATGGAATATTACTCAGCCCTAAAGAGAAAGGAAGTACTGATACACACCACAACATGGATGAACCTTTAAACACTATGCTAAGTGAAAAAGGCCAGACACAAAAGGCTATAAATTGTTCATTTTAAAATGGTTGATTTTATGTTAAGTGAATTTCCACCTCTATAATTCACCTATTGCATAAGTTTTGAAAAAAATTATAGTATGGTACGTATTATGCAGATTTTTTCACTAGTCTTATTTTTGTCTTATTTAGTCTTTTGGCCCCATTTATAGTGAGAATAGATAAACCCATAGTGACAGAAGGCAGATTCATATTTGCCAAGGGATGGAGGGAAGGGGAAATTTGGAGAAATGGCTTAAGGGGTACAGGATTTTACTTTGGAGTGATGGAAATATTTTGGAACTAGATAGAGGCAGTGGTTGTACAATATTATGAATGCACTAAATGTCATTAAATTGTTCACCTTAAAATGGTTAATTTAATGTTATAGGAATTTCCATTGCTATTTTTTTTTTTCAAAACTTATGTGGCTGGGCAATGTGGCTCATGCCTGTAACCCCAGCCCTTTGGGAGGCAGATCACCTGAGGTCAGGAGCTTGAGACCAGCCTGACCAACATGGAGAAATTTATCTAATACATAAATTAGATGGGTGTGGTGGCACACACCTGTAATCCCAGCTACTCAGGAGGCTGAGGCAGGAGAATCGCTTGAACCCAGGAGGTGGAGGTTGCAGTGAGCCAAGATCGTGCCACTGCACACTCCAGCCTGGCTGACAGAGTGAGACTCCATCTCAAAAAAAAAAAAAAAATTAGCCAGGCATGGTGGTGGGCACCTGTAATCCTAGCTACTTGGGAGACTGAGGCAGGAGAATCCCTTGAACACTGGAGACGGAGGTTGCAGTGAGCCTAGATTGTGCCATTGCATTCCAGCTGGGGCAATGAGAGCGAAACTCCGTTTCCAAAACAAACTAACAAACAAACAAACTTATTCATTAGGTGAATTTATTTACCTTATGATAATGAGTTCCACTGCTAGTGTAGTGTACATTATGTAAATATTTTCACTAGTCTTATTTTTGTCTTTATGGCCTACATGAAAGAAAGGAGATTCTAACAGGTTTTTTTTTTTTGGAGGCAGAGTCTCACTCTGTTGCTCAGGCTGGAGTGCAGTGGTGCAATCTCGGCTCACTGCAACCTGCAGTCCTCATGCCTCAGCCTCCCGAGTAGCTGGGATTACAGGTGCACACCACCACACTCAGCTAATTTTTTTTGTATTTTTAGTAGAGATGGGGTTTCACCAAGTTACCCAGTTGATCTTGAACTCCTATGCTCAAGCCATCCTCCCATCTCGGCCTCCCAAAGTGCTGGGATTACAGGCGTAAGCCACCATACCCAGCCTCTAATAGGTTTATTAAAATTTATTATTTATTTATTTGAGATGGAGTCTCACTCTGTCGCCTAAGCTGGAGGGCAGTGGCGCGATCTCGGCTCACTGCAACCTCTGCCTCCAGCGTTCAAGCGATTCTCCTGCCTCAGCCTCCCGAGTAGCTGGGATTACAGGTGTGTGCCACCACACCCAGATAATATTTTTGTATTTTTAGTAGAGACGGGGGTTTCACTGTGTTAGCCAGGATGGTCTCCATCTCCTGATCTCGTGATCCACCTGCCTCGGCCTCCCAAAGTGCTGGGATTACAGGCGTGAGCCACTATGCCTGGCTGGTTATTTTTTAAAGGCATTAAAATCTGTCCAAACAGTTAAAGCCAGTCACTCCTGCAGGCCGGGCTCAGACATAGATGCTCAGATTCCGAGCCTTAGAACATGCCAGCACAACACAGATCTGGCCAGGTGAAGGTAGTCAAGATCAAGCTATCATCAGTCCTCGGACTTGGTAGCTTAATGGATGGGGAGAGCAGATGGGAATTCTAGAGTAAAGGGGAGAGGGCCTGGGTCAAAGGCTAATGTTCATGCCCTTCACAGAAAAAGCCACTGGTAGGCAATGAGTACAATCCCGAATCTCTAAAACTTACATTCTAGCCAGGGAGACAGACGCTACACCTAGGAAATACAGCTCAGTGAATAACAACATAAGAAAATATTTTTTTCTTCTTCTAGGGGGGGTCTCACTCTGTTACCCAGGCTAGAGTGTAATGGCACCATTCATAGCTCATTGCAGCCTCGACCTCCTGGTCTCAAGTTGATTATCCCTCCTAGTGCAGCAGAAGGCTATGAAAAAGGCTACTTAGCACTCATTTTAGAGTTCAAGAAGGAGAGCGTAACCATTCAATTCCTAAAAGCAAAGCCTCATACTAACCCATCTCACCCTCCAAGGTTAGGAGAGATTTCTGCCATCTGGATTTTCACTCAATTGAGTCTGAAATGGTTGTGTTTGTTAGTTTGTTTGTTTGCTTGTTTTGAGCTGGAGTCTCTCTCTGTCGCCCAGGCTGGAGTGCAGTGGCACCATCTCAGCTCACTGCAAGCTTCACCTCCCAGGTTCATGCCATTCTCCTGCCTCACCCTCCCGAGTAGCTGGGACTACAGGCGCCTGCCACCTCGCCCAGCTAATTTTTTGTATTTTTAGTAGAGATGGGGTTTCACCATGTTAGCCAGGATGGTCTCGATCTCCTGACCTCGTAATCCACCCGCCTCGGCCTCCCAAAGTGCTGAGATTACAGGTGTGAGCCACCGCGCCTGGCCGTTTGTTTGTTTTTGAGACAGTCTCATGCTGCCGCCCAGTCTGAAGTGCAATGGTGCAATCTCAGCTCACTGCAACCCCTGCCTCCTGGGTTCAAGTGATTCTCATGTCTCAGCCTCCTGAGTAGCTGGGATTACAGGCATGAGCCACAATGCGTGGCTAATTTTTGTGGGTTTTGTTTTGTTTTTTGAGACAAGGTTTTGCCATGTTGGCCAGGCTGATCTCGAACTTCTGGGCTCAAGTGATCCACCCACCTCCGCCTCCCGAAGTGCTGGAATTACAGGCATGAGCCACTGAGCCCAGCCAAGTCTGAAATCTTTAATTGGTTAAAAAAAATTAGCCAGGCATGGTGGCTCGTGCCTGTAGTCCCAGCTACTCGGGAGGCTGAGGTGGGAGGATTGCTTGAGTCCAGGAGGTTGAGCCTGCAGTGAGCTATATTTGTGCCATTGCATTCCAGCTTGGGTGACAGAATGAGACCCTGCCTCTAAATAAACCAATAAATAGAATAACTCTTCCCCTTTTAGATGAGCTGACACAGGATGATTTCAGCATCCTGCTAAGTCTAGGGATGGGAAGGGACACCTAGCACTGGGCCCCTACAATCCCAACCAGGCTTCTGAAATATCTCACCCTGTGACATAGGATGGACGGACCTTGAAGCTCTGCGGCAGTCTCCTTGTCACTGGGCCAGGACCCAGGAGAGGTTCCCAGGCCAAGCTCTGATCTGCAATCCGTTAGCAGAGACGATGCAATTATTGATAACTGAGGTGTGGAACCTCTCAGAGGAGATTTCAGGGTAGAGCTTGTTGGAAAGTCGCTGGGCTGCAAACTGGGTGGGCACTGGTGGCAATTTTGCCTAGTGCCCTCATTTTGCTATGCACCATGCTTTATATAGGTTGACTCTAAATGCACTATGCCAGCCACTGGCAGCCCTTCAAGCTGTTGCCATCACTGTTCAAAGGAAGATCCGATCCAGGGCCAGAAGAGAGTGACAAGAAGTTAGGGCAGTTGCTGTAGTTTCAGGTGGGTTTCCATGGACAATGTTCATTTCTGAACGGACCCCTTCTGGGAGCCAGCAGCCCTGCATCTCAGCATCTACCTCGACTGATCTTAAAGATGCAGTCTCTGAACCCCGTATCTGACAGTGACACAAATGCAAAATCGAGAAGCAGGTCTTCACCTCCCCTTCTATGCCCTCGTATTTTGCTGAGGCACTAACAGACACCTTGTCAGGGGACAGCTCCGGCAGCAGGGGCTGAATAATGGGAGAAACCAACAACGGCAATGCCACTTTTAACTGTGATGATGAGCATGTCACCGAACCTCCCAAAGTCAGTTTCCCCATCTGTAAACTGGGATGAGCCAAGCCTGCTCCACAAGTTGGTTGTAAAGTCTATAAAATCAAAGCCTGTAAAAGAGGCCACCCAGAAGAGGTCCTGCAGCTGGGATGTGCCTAATAAATGTCACTTACCTTTCCCTATTCTTTTTTTTTTTTTTTTTTTTTTTTGAAACAGAGTCTTGCTCTATTGCCCAGGCTGGAGTGCAGAGGCGTGATCTCGGCTCACTGCAACCTCCACCTCCCTGGGTTCTAGTGATTCTCCTGCCTCAGCCTCCAGAGTAGCTGGGATTACAGGCACGTACCACCACACCTGGCTAATTTTTGTATTTTTTAATAGAGACAATGTTTCGCTAAGTTTCAGACAGGCTGGTCTGAAACTCCTGACCTCAGGTAATCTGCCCGCCTTGGCCTCCCAAAGTGCTGGGATTACAGGTGCAAGCCACCGTGCCTGATCCCATAATTTTTTTTTTTTCTTCCTGGATGAGAGAAGCCAGAGAGCCAGAAAACAAGCTAGGGCCTGCAGAGAATTCTAAGGAGGGCTTCTCTTCAGGGAAGACGGAGGAACTGCAGACCAGGGCCTGACAGTTCAACAGCGGCCGAAGAGGCAGGCTTCATTAAAAGATAATTGACCAGGGAGAGCAGTCCGGTGCCTCAAGGTGAGGCACAGAGCACTTTTCCATATCAATAAGGTCAATTATCAGAGGATGTCGGTCTCCTTGGTGCGGCCATTAACCTATATTGCGCTTATTAACCTTTCTGATGAAGAATCTTTCAGAAATAATTACATTAAAGCACAAATCTCTGCAAGTTTAAAATATGTGAATGTTCCATTTCGGTATTCCCGTGTCACGAGATAATGAACGATAGCCAGCGACCACAATGAGGCTTTTCATCAGAGCCTTTTGCCTTGCTCTGCTGCAGGACCAGGGCCAGTCCTGGAGGCTCAAGGAGATCCCTATACAGAGGGCTTTAGGGCTGGAAAGGCAGAAGTGGGCTTGAAGATAAGGGGTCAGACTTCTTTGTAGAGGAAATAGCCACCCACTTGGTGTGCGTGACCCCTGACCAAAGATTGCACCACGTCCTGCCCCTGGGCCTGGAATTCTTTCTTTCTTTCTTTTTTGGCAGGGGGTGGGACGGAATCTCGCTCCGTCGCCCAGGCTAGAGTGCAATGGCACGATCTCGGCTCACTGCAATCTCTGCCTCCCGGGTTCCAGCGATTCTCCTGCCTCAGCCTCCTGAGTAGCTGGGATTACAGGCATGTGCCACCAGCCTGGCTAATTTTTGTGTTTTTAGTAGAGACAGGGTTTTACCATGTTGGTCAGCCTGGTCTCGAACTCCTGACCTCATGATCTGCCCCCCCCCCCCCGCCTTGGCCTCCTAAAGTGTTGAGATTACAAGCGTGAGCCACTGCACCTGGCCTCTTTCTTCCTTTATATTTATTTATTTATTTATTTATTTATTTAGAGACAGGCTGGAGTGCAGTGGTGCTATCTTAGCTCATTGCAGTCTCCAGCTCCTGGGCTCAAGCGACCCTCCCACCTCAGCCTCCCGAGTAGCTGGGACTCCAGGTGCGCAACACTACACCCAGCTCTTTTTTGTATTTTTTGTAGAGATGGGGTCTTGTTACATTGCCCAGGCTGGGATGGAACTCCTGGATTCAAGCTATCCTCCCACCTCAGCCTCCCAAAGTCCTGGAATTACAGACATGAGCCACAGTAACTGGGCTTGAAATTATATTTTATACTCTGGTCCTGCCATGAGATATCAGATGTCAAGAGAAAGTCCTGAAAGAGGGGATGAACCGGTTACTCAGACCGAGATCACGCCACTGCACTCCAGCCTGGGCGACAGAGTGAGACTCCTCCTCAAAAAAAAAAAAAAAAAAAAAAAGTGAGTTCAGCGGAAAAGAATGTTAGCTCTAGCCTGTGAGCATGACCTCCTCCAGGCCCCTCAGGGAGAAGTTTAGAACAAAGAACCAAGCTCAGAGTTGAGTCGTCAGCTCCCCTTTATCTGAGGTCTATGTGCCAGGGAATCCACTGGGTGGGGTCCAGGATTCTGAAAACCAACTCAGGAACATGTGCTAAGATGTCATGTTTAGCTTCTGTAGGGAACCAAGCATCTCATGACTCTAACTTTTTTGGCTATTTGTTTGTTTGTTTGTTTTTGAGACAGAGTCTCACTCTGTCGCCCAGGTTGTACTGCAGGGGCGCAATCTCGGCTCACTGCAACCTCTGCCCAGGTTCAAGCTATTCTCCTGCTTCAGCCTCCCATATAGCTGGCATTACAGGTGCCTACCACTATGCCCAGCTAATTTTTTTTTTTTTTTTTTTTGAGACAGAGTCTCACTCTTTTGCCCAGGCTGGAGTGCAGTGGCGCCATCTCTGCTCACTGCAACCTCCGCCTTCTGGGTTCAGGAGATTCTCCTGCCTCAGCCTCCTGAGTAGCTGGGATTACAGGCACCTGCCACTGCACCCGGCTAATTTTTGTATTTTTAGTAGAGATGGAGTTTCACCATATTGGCCAAGCTGGTCTTGAACTCCTGACCTTGTGATCGTCCCGCCTCAGCCTCCCAAAGTTCTGTGATTACAGGCATGAGCTGCCTCGCCTAGCAGTGTATTTTTTTAGTAGAGATGAGGGTTTCACCATGTTGGCCAGGCTGGCCTCGAACTCCTGGGCTCAAGCAACCTGCCCACCTCGGCCTGCCAAAGTGCCAGGATTCCAGGCATGAGTCACTGCACCTGGCCAGATCGTTTTAAGCTACTATTAGCTTCTTGCTCATCAAATTGCTCATTTACTTCTCAGGGCAAGCTGGGTGCCTGGAATTTCCCTTGAAGGAACTCAGGATTTTTATTTCCATGCTTGGGGGTCTCCAGCAGCTCCCTCAAAGGGGGTCCTTGCTCTGTCTCAAAGCCAAATACTCTCTCCACTTTTACAGGGCAAACAGCAAGCCAAAATGAAGAACCTGCCTATCAAAGTGGCAATCTAGCCTAGGTGGTGGGGACACAGGCTCCAGAGTTATCCAGCCGGAGCTTGCTTTTAACTCTACCATTCCCTAATTACAGAGTCTCAGAAAAAAAAAAGTTGCTTCATTTCTTCTGTGCCTTACTTTCTTCGTTGCTAATATAGGGCGGTTGTGAAGATTGAATGAGTTAACACAAGGGAGGCTTCGTTAGGTTTATGCCCGATACATAGCAAAGACTAAATGAGCATAGAAAGAACAGATGAAGAAAGATACAGACTGAGTCGGACGCGATGGCTCACGCCTGTAATCCCAGCACTTTGGGAGGCCAAGGCAGGCAGATCACTTGAGGCCAGGTGTTCGAGACCAGCCTGGCCAACATGGCTAAACCCCATCTCTACTAAAAATACAAAAATTAGCCAGGCATGGTGGTGCATGCCTGTAGTCCCAGCTACTTGAGGGGCTGAGACAGGACAGGACCAACTCTGTTTTTTTTTTTTTTTTTTGAGACGGAGTCTCACTCTGTCCCCCAGGCTGGAGTGCAGTGGTGCGATCTCAGCTCAGTGCAAGCTCCGCCTCCCTGGTTCATGCCATTCTCCTGCCTCAGCCTCCCGAGTAGCTGGGACTACAGGCGCCCGCCACCATGCCCGGCTAATTTTTTGTATGTTTAGTAGAGACAGGGTTTCACCATGTTAGCCAGGATGGTCTCGATCTCCTGACCTCGTGATCTGCCCGCCTCAGCCTCGCAAAGTGCTGGGATTACAGGCGTGAGCCACCGCGCCCGGCCAGGAGCAACTCTTGAACCCAAGAGGTAGAGGCTGCAGTGAGTCGAGTTCGTGCCACTGCACTGCAGCCTGGGTGACAGAATGAGACTCTGTCTCAAAAATAAAAAATAAAAATAAAAATAAAGAAAGAAAGATACACGCTGGACTAGAGAGAACACAAGCCCACCAGCCAGTGCTTTCTCAAATGCAGAAGGAGAACATGGATCTACTTTTCCCTGTATGTGTTAAAGTCCTAACACGTTAGGAACAAAGTGATCAAATGGAAAAACAACACATGCCTTGGGGAGTTGTAAGGATTAGATGTAGGCTGTGGTGACAAACACAGATGCCTTCAGGGGCCCGGCAGGCAACCATATAGAACCGCTATTCTCAAACTTGAATATGTACCAGCAGCCCTGGAGAACCTGTTAAAATATTTTGGCTGCTCCCAACTCCCACCACCCAGAGATTCTGATTCAGTAGCTGAGGCCTTGGAGTAAGCACGTCTAACAATTCCCAGGTGATTGCTGCATGCTGCTGGTCTTCTGACCACACTTCAAAAACCACTGGCCTAGCCCAGGCATGGTGGCTTATGTCTGTAATCCCAGCGCTTCGGGAAGCTGAGACAGGAGGATCCCTTGAGCCCAGGAGTTTGGGAGCAGCCTGGATGACACAGCAAGACTCTGTCTCTACAAAAAAACTAAAATTAGCCAGACGTGGTGGCGCACACCTGTACCAGCCCCAGCTACCGAGGAGGCTAAGGCAGAAGGATTGCTCGAGCCCAGGAGTTCAAGGCTGCAGTGAGCTACGATGGTTGCACTGCACTCCAGCCTGGGCAACAGAGCGAGAGCCTGTCTCAAAAACAAAGCCAAACACAACAAAAAAATACTGGCCTAGCTGGGAGAGGTAGAATTGGTAGCAAATTGGATATCACCACACGGGAACATGGCCTCTGAGCCATCAAATCTTCAGATGTTTAAAAGAAAAAGCCTTTTTTTTTCTTAACTTTTATTTTAGGTTCCGGAGTACATGCGAAGGTTTATAGGTAAACTCATGTCACAGGGTTTATTGTACAGATTATTTCACCACCCAGGTATTAAGCCCAGTACCCAATAGTTATTTTTCTGCTCCTCTCCCTCCTCTACCCTCTATCCACCCTCAGGTAGACCCCAGTATCTGTTGTTTCTTTCTTGGGTTCGTATGTTCTCATCATTTAGCTCCCACTTATAAGTGAGAACATGCGGTATTTCAGTTTCTGTTCCTGCATTAGTTTGCTAAGGATAATAGCCTCCAGCTCCATCCATGTTCCCACAAAATACATTATTTCATTCTTTTTTATGGCTGCATAATATTCCATGGTGTATATGTACCACATTTCCTTTGTCCAATCTATCGTTGGTGGGTGGTTAGGTTGATTCCATGTCTTTGCTATTGTGAGTAGTGCTGCAGTGAACATGCACACGCATGTGTCTTTATGGAAGAATGATTTATACACCTCTGGGTATATACCCAGTCATGGGGAGAGAGGTCTTAAATTTGGAACTCGATGTGAAACACCTTGATGTCTAAAACGCTGTGCAGCCCAAACCGAACCTGGCTGCCCTTGTGTGTCTTCTGGTACAGCAACATGGTCTGAGCAGCCTCCTAAAAGTCACCAGGCCAGGGCAGACGATGACACAGCAATGGCCATGACTGCAAGGTAGGAACAGGGTGAGAACCAGGAGAAAGGGAGGGTAAGTGGGGAGGCTGACCATTTTTGGGATGCATGTGCTTTGCTGCTGTTGTAATGTTAGAAAAGTAGAACAGCTTGTGTTTTTGACTGAATTTAGAAGCTACTCTCTTAAAATCAGTATGTAAATGTGATGGGGGGGTGGTTTCCTTAAAGCTGCAGGTAACATTTTAATAAAAAGAAAAAGAGGAAAGGTGGGGAGCCAGAGATCATTCAGAGAGAAAAAGGGATTGGGGGAAGTGGGTTGGCATCTCCAACCATAACACACCTGTTAGCTTTCAAATGTGAATATCTGGGACACCCATGTTAAGAAGCCAAGTTGCACTAAAATAAAATAAAATTTAATTTCTTTTCTTCTGTTTTTTTTTCTCTTTCTTAAAAAGACTTTCTGAAAACCAGCGAATATGAGAGTCTCAAAAACACTCCCTGGAAATCCTGAAGCTGTTTTTCATCTGTACGTGTTTCCATGGATAACATTTGCAGATGAAATTCTCTAATTATTTGTAATATTAATTAAATAGGGAGTACACATTTGATTTCCACTGGAATCTTTTTATCAAGCCGACATAACAAGGCTTTTAAAATGATGATCTAATTGTCCCGTGTTTTCATGAGAATTATTATCCTTATGAAAATCAAGGTCATTGTGGTTTTCATACCAGACATAAAAATTAATATTTTTTCAAAATGAATGTTCAGAAAGGAGAATTTGTTCACATTACTAATAAATTTATTCAGATAGGTAAAGATCTCTATTATGTGGTTTTTTTTAATTTTCATAATTATTTATTTATTTATTTATTTTTAGACAGAGTCTCACTCTGTCTCTCAGGCTAGAGTGCAGTGGCACGATCTCAGCTCCCTGCAACCTCCACCTCCTGGGTTCAAGTGATTCTCATGCCTCAACCTCCCAAGAAGCTGGGATTACAGGCGTGCACCACCACACTGAGTTAATTTTTGTATTTTTAGTAGAGACGGGTTTTCACCATGTTGGCTAGGCTGGTCTCTAACTTCTGACCTGAGGTAATCCTCCCACCTTGGCCTCCCAAAGTGCTAGGATTACAGGCATGAGTCACTGCGCCCAGCCAAATTTGCATAATTTTGGTCATTAAGACTAGAATCCATGATTTCTACTTACCTTTCTAGTTGAACAATTTGACTGAAATTAATCCTAAACCAAATAAATTCATAGTCCAAACTACGTATTTTTAAATGGGAGGAGAGGGTCCGGGCACAGTGGCTCATGGCGGTAATCCGAGCACTTTGGGAGACCGAGGTGGGCGGATCACTTGAGGCTAGGAGTTCAAGACCAGCCTGGCCAACATGATTAAACCCCATGTCTACTAAAAATACAAAAACTAGCCATACGTGGTGGTGCATGCCTGTAATCCCAGGTACTCGGGAGGTTGAGGTAAAAGAATCGCTTGAACCCAGCAGGCAAAAGTCGCAGTGAGCCAAGATCACGCCACTGCACTCTTGCCTGGGTGACAAAGTGAGACGCTGTCTCAAAAAAAAAAAATTAAGGGGGGTTGTTTTAGAGCAAGGATTTCACATTTGTTTGCTTTATGGTTTTTGTTTATTTGTTTGTTTGAGACGGAGTCTCACTCTGTCGCCCAGGCTGGAGTGCAGTGGCACGATCTCGGCTCACTGCAACCTCTGCCTTCCGGGTTCACGCCATTCTCCTGTCTCAGTCTCCCCAGTAGCTGGGACTACAGGCGCCCACCAGCACGCCTGGCTAATTTTTTGTATTTTTAGTAGAGACGGGGTGTCTCCGTGTTAGCCAGGATGGTCTCGATCTCTTGACCTCGTGATCCACTCGCCTCGGCCCCCCAAAGTGCTGGGATTACAGGTGCTTTATGCTTTTTGTTATCAGCTTGGTTTGAAGATGGAGACATACATCTTACAACTTTCCCTTGGGGCCTCAATTTCTTTCAGAAGTGGGACTGAAAGCAGACACAAAGAACAATGTCCCGAACCCTAACCAGGGAGTTCTTTGTAAAACAAGCCAAAGGTTCTAAATATCTAGTACCCATTAGCTTGAGGAGATTGCAAATGATCTGTCCTCCAGCTATTAGGGAAACATTGCATTGTGAAATAAACAATTATACTCACTACCTCTTGGCAGAAACAAGAGTTTGTCCAAACTCAACCAGTTCGTCATCACGAACACACTTGGGTTGTGTGTGTTGTGCTAAGAGATGAGACATCCAAGGGCAGGTTCCAAGAATCCAAGACTGTCTTTTTTTTCTTTCTTTCCTGTTTTATTTATTTATTTATTTATTTATTTATTGAGATGGAATCTCACTCTTTCGCCAGGCTGGAGTGCAGTGGCACGATCTCAGCTCACTGCAACGTCTGCCTCCCTGGTTCAAGCAATTCTCCTGTCTCTGTCTCCCAAGTAGCTGTGATTACAGGTGTGTGCCACCATGCCCAGCTAATTTTTGTGTTTTTAGTAGAGATGGGGTTATGCCATGTTGGCTAGGCAGGTCTCGAACTCCTGACCTCAGGTGATCCACTCGCCTCAGCCTCCCAAAGTGCTGGGGTTGCAGGCATGAACTACTGCTCCCAGCGAGTCCCTGACTCTCAAATTGGCCTTAAAACTTAAGGCCTGCCTTTGAACCCTGCCCCTGCTCTTGTCTCACTGTCTTTTTAATCATGGGCATCTACTGCTATGACCATATACTAATTTTGAGCCCCTTCCCACCTATTCAACTGATACATGTGAGGTTGTATTTTAATCTCTGATTCACTTAATTACCTATGCTGTGCTCAAGAGCCAAGCCCACAATTACTGTTTCCATGGGAATAAGATTCACGGTGTCTTTTCCCTCCCCCTCCATGTTTATTTTAATGCCACCTTCATCAGCTCTCCTGGGCATTCCCATCTTTATGGAATGCTCTCCCTGCCAAACCAAGAGGCCCTCAGAATGGGCCATAAGCCCAAATCGTTGCCATGGCCACCATATGCCTAGGTAGTACCCATGGCCTCTTTTTTCCTCAGGGCTCAATTATCTGCGAAAGAACCCTTGAAAATACCACCTCCTGGCCCTCAGCTTTCCACCTGAGAAGGACATCATGGTTGGTTGATTTTTTTGTTTGTTTTGAGACAAGGTCTTGTTCTGTCGTCCAGGCTGGAGTGCAGTGTGGTGACCTCTCTGCTCACTGCAACCTCCGTCTCTTGGGCTCAAGTGATCCTCCTGCCTCCCAAGTAACTGGGACTACAGGTGTGCACCACCACACCTGGCTAATTTTTGTATTTTTAGTAGAGACAGGGTTTTGCATTGTTGCTCAGGCTGGTCTTGAACTCCTGAGCTGAAGCGATCCGCCTGCCTCAGCCTCCAAAAGTACTGGAATCACAGGCTTGAGCCACCATGCCCTGCCAGACATCATGGTTCCTAACAATGCTTCTGCCCTCTTCCAACACAGATTTTAACAACCAGTGCTCATAGTGCAAGATAGTAGATGTCATTGAGTGGCAGAAATAATCAAGATCCAAGAATGTCAGTGGGTGAAGCCATCTTGGTTAACTCCAACATTCAGCAAAAGCTTAGAGATGGAGAAGTAACTGATACTGAGCCTCAAAGAGTACAATTTAGTGGAACACGAAGGTGGGAAATGTCCAGGTTCCCTATTTTTACAGACAAGGAGACTAAAGTCTAAAGAGGTACAGGCCAGGCGTGGTGGCTCACGCCTGCAATCCCAGCGCTTTGGGAGGCCGAGCAGGTGGATCACCTGAGGTCAGGAGTTCAAGACCAGCCTGGCCAACAAGGTGAAACCCCATCTCTACAAAAATACAGAAATCTGCTGGACATGATGGTGGGTGTCTGTAATTCCAGCTACTCAGGAGGCTAAGGCAGGAGAATTGCTTGAACTCAGGAGGCAGAGGTTGCAGTGAGTCGAGGTCATACCATTACACTCCAGCCTGGGCAACAGAGCAAGATTCCATCTCAAAAATAAGTAAATAAATAAATAGGTACAAAACAGGCATGGCGCTCCTCCTACTTGCACCAATTACAATCATGGAAGGGCAACTGTAGCCTCCCTCTCTGTACTTACTCATCAGCAAAATGAGGAAAGCAACAATTGCCCCGTAGGGTCATTGTGCACAGAAGACTCCTTCTCTACCCTAGTGAAGGATATCTCAAGAGCTCTCTGCGTGAAGGAGATGCTTGCAAAGACAGTTCCCTTCCCACCTGCTCACTTTTAACGAGGCATAACAAGCAGCAGAAAGACCATCTCTGAGAAGTCAGTCGACTTCTAAGACTAAATCACGGATCTATCACTTACCTATGACTTACCAAGACATTTCACCTTTCTGAGCGGCAACTCCCTTGCCTAGCAATGAGAAAAGCAGGGTTCATGTCACTTAGTTGACACACAGCCCCAGCACAGCACAGGCACCTGACAAATGTTTTATTCCTTTTTTGCTTGAGTTCTCACCCTGACTCTGTTATGTATCTCTGTGTAACCTTGGAAGAATTATATAACCTTTCTAGGGCTGAATTTCTCTACCCGTAAAACTAGGGGATTTAACAAGATCCTTTTTGAATTTCCTTCCAACTCTAACATTCCATGACTTTGAGCCACCCAAGGGATATGGTAATGGGTTACATTACACAAAAGACTTGGATGTAATATTATAAGCTGTAACACAGGCTTCCAGCAAACTCTCCCACTCTCCCCAGCAGAATTCCCCATTGTTCTGAGTGTAATGAATAATCCAATACAACACATGCTCTATCTGTGCCCTGCTCGTGTCCATGGGATCTCACACTTGGGGCCAGCCAGAGGCAACACTGTAAAGCTAGAGAAGCATGCTGTCAACAACCCTCTTCTCCTAGCAATGGCCCCTGTCCACTTACCTTGGCGTCACCTACCAGGGTCAATACTGCATACTCTAATTACTTTCAGCTCCTTTCATTCCATTTCTTTGAGACCCAATGTGCCTTCTGTCAATCTTATGAAATGATTCATTTAAGCACATATGACTTGCTTTAAGTATAGAAAGGTGTGGCAAGACGCGGTGGCTCATGCCTGTAATTTCAACACTTTGGGAGGCCGAGGTGGGTGGATCATTTGAGGTCAGGAGTTCGAGACCAGCCTGGCCAATATGGTGAAACCCTGTCTTTACTAAAAATACACAAATTAGCTGGGTGTGGTGGTACACACCTGTAATTCCAGCTACTCAGGAGGCTGAGGCAGGAGAATTGCTTGAACCCGGGAGGCAGAGGTTGCAATGAGCCGAGATCATGCCACTGCAGTCCAGCCTGGGCAACAGAGCGAGACTCTATCAAAAAAAAAAAAAAAAAAAAAAGATACAAAGGTGAACCCAAAACATAGAGCCTCCCTTTGAGGAGCCTTTAATCTGAAAGGTAGAGAGACCCTAACATACGATGATAAACTGGACAATGTTTAGTGCTAAAATAGAAATCAATTAACATTCTCTTAGGGGAAAAAGGAGAAAGTTGCTCCCTGAAGCAAAAAAGGAAGGCTTTGCAGAAAGGTAGCAATTGGAGCTGTACAACAGGTATAGGTCAGATCTGATAGGCAAGGATGGAGAAAAAGAGCATCGTGGACAAAGGGAAAATATAAACAAAAATATTGGGTGATAACATGTACAGTGAATTTTGGTAACAGATAATAATCTGATTTGGCTAGGTGGCCTTAAAAGGAACAATGAGATGAAATTAGCAAGTTTGGTGGAAACTCTATCATGAAATGCCTGGAAGATTTAGTTAAGGATTTTTTTCCATAGACAATAAGGAGTCATTGAAGGTCATGGAGCATAGAAGGTGACAGATCAGGCAATCTCTATAAGAAGCGTAATCAGGCCGGGCGCAGTGGCTCATGCCTGTAATCCCAGCACTTTGGGAGGCCGAGGCAGGAGGATCACCTGAGGTCAGGAGTTCAAGACCAGCCTGGCCAATGTGGCAAAACCCCATCTCTACTAAAAATACAAAAAAAATTATCTGGGCATGGTGGTGGACACCTGTAATCCCAGCTACTCAGGAGGCTGAGGCGGGAAAATCAAATGGACCCAGGGAAGTAGAGGTTGCAGTGAGCCGAGATCATGCCACTGCACTCCAGCCTAAGCAACAGAGTGAGACTCTCAGAAAAAAAAAAAAAAAAAAAAAAAAGAAGAAGAAGAAGAAGAAGAAGAAGGAGCATAATCAAAGAGCTGTGTTTGGGAGGATTGAAACAGAGACAAGGACAGTAGGTAGCCGGGTGGAAGATCCTTCTAAGTGATCTGGTGAATGATGATGGGATGTGGGACTCAGGTAGCAACCAAGAAATGGAAACTGAAACTCAAGGGGGAGATCCATCAACAGAACTGGACTATGATTACAGAGCAGGGAAAGAAGTGCAAAAGAAAACTCCACAAAAGATCAAAACTTTGATGGCACCAAACATAGAGAGGAAGTTAGGAAGAAGACAAGACTAGGCTGGGGTGGGAAGACCAGCAATTTGGTTTGCCAGACGATGAGTTTTGGATGCCTTTGAGGTGACCCCAAGACAGACGACTAGGCCAGATTTCAGGACAGAAATGTGGCTAAGGGCCCAGACTAGACAGTGAGTTGAACCCGATTAAGTGGCATTAGAAACCAGGGAACTGAATAAGTGTGTAAGAAAATAAGTGTTGAGAGGATGACTGCATTGGCTCATGCCTGTAATCCCAGCACTTTGGGAGGTCTAGGTGGGCGGATCACGAAGTCAGGAGTTCGAGACCAGCCTGGCCAGCATGGTGAAACCCCGTCTCTACTGAAAATACAAAAATTAGCCAGGTGTGGTGGTGCAAGCCTGTAATCCCAGCTACTCAGGAGGCTGAAGCAGAAGAATCACTTGAACCCAGGAGGCAGAGGTTGCAGTGAGCTGAGATCATGCCATTGCACTCCAGCCTGGGCGACAGAGCGAGACTCTGCCTCAAAAAAACAAAAAACAAAAAACAACACACAAAAAAAGAAAATGAATGTTGAGAGAGAAGGGGTGGATGCCAAGGACGAAACCTTGGGGAGAGTGACATGGATGGGGCTGAAGTAGGAAAACGAATCTGAGGAGGGTGGAGCCCATAGCTGGAACAGTCAACATCATGGAAGCAGTGGAAGTGGAGATTCCAGGAGAGGTCATGACTGGGGGCTAGCAGGAAGGAGAGGACTGCTACCAGCTTAGTCTTTCATTTTAATCCAGAACTAGTGCCTTATCCTGAAGCTCCTGGGCCAGTCTGGTAGGGGATGGTGGGGAGTCATTTCAGGATGGAGAGCCCTGTCTATCCCTCCCCTTTTAAGAGGCTCAGCCCTGCTCTAGCACAAGTGGGAGTCTCAGATTTTCCCAGCAGCTTTGTCAGCCTCTCATAGGACGGTTTTCATGGGTGCAAAGAGATGGTAAAATCTGAGATTTTTGTTTTCTAACAGAATCCCTCTTTGGAGGACATAGCTTTGTCTATAGAAAGACATAGAGTCGGCAGGGCAAGGTGGCTCATGCCTGTAATCTCAGCACTTTGGGGGTGCCGAGGCAGGTGGATCACCTGTGGTCAGGAGTTTAGGACCAGCTTGGCCAACATGGTGAAATCCCATCTCTACTAAAAATACAAAAATTAGCCTGGTGTGGTGGCACGTAACTGTCACCCCAGCTACTCAGGAGGCTGAGGCATAAGAATTGCTTGAACCTGGGTGGCGGAGTTTGCAGTGAGCCATAATCGCACCACTGCACTCCAGCCTGGGCTACAGAGTGAGACTTGGTCTCAAAAAAAAAAAAAAAAAGATAGAAAGAAGACATAGAGTCTAGAGGGAGTAGGTGAGGTGTACAGAGAACATGCATGAACAGATACCGAGATATCAGAGGGGGAATAGAAGGTGCTCTGCACCACAGAGGGAGACAGAGGAATTTCTGGAGCCAAGTTAGAACTGAGAGACTGAAGGATAGAGATGGGCATGGGAATGAGGAAAGGAAATCTACAAGCTGGAATACGGCTGAACCTGGGGGTGAGCAGTGGGGCAAAGAATTAAAAATTGATGTTACCGGCCAGGCATGGTGGCTCATGACTGTAATCCCAGCACTTTGGGAGGGCAAGGGGGGCAGATCACGAGGTCAGGAGTTTGAGACCAGCCTGACCAACATGGTGAAACCCCATCTCTACTAAAAATACAAAAATTAGCTGGGCATGGCAGCACAAGCCTGTAATCCAGCTACTCCAGAGGCTGAGACAGGAGAATCACTTGAACCAGGGAGACGGAGATTATAGTGAGCCGAGATCGTGCCATTGCACTCCAGCCTGGGCAACAAGAGCAAAACTCCATCTCGAAAAAAAAAAGAAGAATTAATGTTACTTGGAAGAAACTTAAATGCATATTACTCAATGAAAGAAGCCACCCAGGAAATGATATCTACTGTATGCTTCCAACTATGTGACATTCTGGAAAAGGCAAACCTATAGAGACAGTAAAAATATCAGTGGTTGCCTGGGAATAGTGGGGAGAGGAGAATGAATAGGTGGAACACAGAGGAATTTTAGGGCAGTGAAAATACTCTGTATGATACTGTAATGGTGGATACATGTCATTATGCATTTGTCAAGACCCATGGAATGTACACCACCAGGAGTGAACCCTAATGCAAACTACGGACTCTAGGCAGTAATGATGTGTCAAAGTAGGTTTGTCAACTGCAATAAATATACCACTCCAGACCAAGATGTTTACAGCATGGGAGGCTTTGGGGTTCGGGTAGGCAAATGCAGAGGGTATATGACAACACAATGCTTTCTGCTCAATATTGCTGTACACCCAAAATTGCTCAAAAAAACAAAGTCTATTTAAAGGAGCAAAAGAAGAATTGATATTGATCTTTCTTGCTTTAAATACTTGTTTACATTGTTTCCCTGTAAACCTCTCTTCTCTCTTCCCTTTTGACTTCAGTACACTTTGATAAACTCTTAGCAAAAACTGTTGGGGGAATCTGTTTCCCCTAAGAGTTTATCAGAGTGTACTGAAGTCAAAACGTCTTTGGCATACATGGAGTGTGTGTGTGTGTGTGTGTGTGTGAGAGAGAGAGAGAGAGAGACAGAGAGAGAGAGAGAGAGAGAGAGAGAGAAAGAGAGATAAATTAATAGAAAGGCTAAATCTTAAGTAGAAAGGTAATCCTCACAGGCCCAGATTGCAGAGACTGAAAGGACCAGGAGAGTCTGAGTCTTAGAGAAGATACAGAAATTGAGGGGAAGTTTTGGTTTGCTCCAGGCTGGAAGTGGGAGTGTGAGGCACCCTTCTCCAGACCTCAGGGATCAGAGAGGCCACACTGACAGCCCAGTGACATTGGAAGGCTTCAGATTGTCATGGTTAATCACAGCCATGCTTTGCAATCCCAGTCATTCTGGAGAACAAATCGGAGTCAGGAAAAGGGCACTGCATGAACTAGAAATGGACAGATAAGGTCTCCAGTCCGAGCTCCTCCATGAACACTGGCCGCTGAGACAAGCTCAGTCGGGGAGACCCTAACCCAGCGGCGCTAGAGGAATTAAAGACACACACACAGAAATATAGAGGTGTGGAGTGGGAAATCAGGGGTCTCACAGCCTTCAGAGCTGAGAGCCTCAAACAGAGATTTACCCACGCATTTATTGATAGCAAGCCAGTGATAAGCATTGTTTCTACAGATTACAGATTAACTAAAAGTATTCCTTGCGGGAAACAAAGGGATGGGCCCAAATAAAGGGATGGGTCTGGCTAGTTATCTGCAGCAAGAGCATGTCCTTAAGGCACAGCTCGCTCATGCTCTTGTTTGTGGTTTAAGACTGCCTTTAAGTGGTTTTCCACCCTGGGTGGGCCAGGTGTTCCTTGCCCTCATTCCAGTAAACCCACAACCTTCCAACGTGGGCATCATGACCATCACGAACATGTCACAGTGCTGCAGAGATTTTGTTTATGGCCAGTTTTGGGGCCAGTTTATGGCCAGATTTTGGGGGCCTATTCCCAACACTGGCTTTGACCTTGACCAAGTGCTTGGATGTCATGGTCCTTTCTGCTCCAAAAGTCTATGTTTCTAAACCAGGGATTCCACTTTTTTTTTTTTTTTTTTTTTTTGAGACGGCAATTTGCTCTGTTGCCCAGGCTGGAGTGCAATGGTGAGATCTCAGCTCACTGTAACCTCCCCCTCCCGAGTTCAAGCAATTCTTCTGCCTCAGCCTCCCTAGTAGCTGGGACTACAGGCACATGCCACTACGCCTGGTTGAGTTTTATATTTTTAGTACAGACGGGGTATCACCCTATTGGCCAGGCTGGTCTCGAACTCCTGACCTCGTGATCCGCCCACCTCGGCCTCCCAAAGTGCTGGGATTACAGGCGTGAGCCACTGCGCCCGGCTCCACCTTTTTTTTTTTTTATTTGACACTTGCAAAAGAAAAGCATCGTTTGCAGTCGGCCGGTTTCCCAACCACACGTATTATTGAAACATAGCAGGTGTAGAGCATCCTGCGGAAGCACAGGGCTTCCTTTATTTCAGAGGTTACCCAGTAGCAAATGCCAGCCCCACCTCCCCTGAGGGCTGATCAAGCTTCCATACTTTCTTTACCTTGGGCTGACTGCAGCAAGCAATTACCTGCGCAGAGCAGTCAGGGAAGAACACGAAGCAGCTGTCTGCTGGGCTCAGAACAGCGGCAACCACATAAGCATTGTGCATGGTGAAATAATCTTCACTGACTTTCATTAATCTCTTCAGGGCCCTCAGAGGTCAGAGATGTTTAAACAGCGGGGGAGGTTGAACTTGCTCACTAGGCCGGCTCAGCTAATCTACTCCCCAAGGACTTCTGGCTTCCTCAGTCATGGCCAAACCACCAGGTGAGCAAGAGGTGAATGGCAAGGTGTGCAAATATTTGGCTTCATCCATGATCAAATAAATCATTTTTCCTTTCCCTGAGCTCTAGGAAAACCCAGGAAAGCTCCCGGACCTGCCCAGGAGCAGAGCCCAGAAGCAGAGATTTATGCACAAAAGGCACACCCTGCTTAAAGGAAATGCAAGCCTGTAAAGAAAATCTAAAGAAAGTCCATTTTTACACACACACAAATTATGGCAGGGATTTCAAAACTTCACTTTTCCAGCAACATACCTTCTCAAAGCATGTGAACCTGTACATAGGAGTAGGTAATATTATGGACGGGAATAAAATATCTTTGCATGATGAGTTAAAATGAGGTTCAGTTTTCAAAACCTCTTTCCCACAATTATCGTGGATTTTGTTCGTTTGTCTGAGACGGAGTCTCACTCTGTCACCCAGGCTGGAGTGCAGTGGCGGGATCTCAGCTCACTGCAACCTCTGCCTCTGGGTTCAAGCAATTCTCCTACCTCTGCCTCCTAAGTAGCTGGGATTACAGGCGCACACCACCACTCACGGCTAATTTTTGTATTTTTAGTAGGGGTTTCCTCATGTTGGCCAGTCTGGTCTCAAACTTCTGACCTCAAATGAGCCACCTGTCTCGGCCTCCTAAAGTGTTGGGATTATAAGAGTGAGCCACCGCACTCGATCAGGATTTTATTTTAAGTTTACAATGTTTTCCAGAAATTCCTGAGTCCTGAACCTAGTGGTAGTTGGGACAGTATTTAGCTGTCCCTTCCACAAAAGGAAACTGACACTGGCTTTCCTGTGACACCTGTGGCAGTCACGGGAGCCCTTCTGTGCTTCCTAAGCAGCATCCCACGCCCTGCACCCTATTCTGAGTTCTTGCAAATGATGCCAGATAAGCTTGATAACAAGGCGAAAATGTGTGGTCAAATTGTTTGGTGGGCTTTATATGTATCAATTTTTCTTTTCTTTTCTTTTTTTCTTTCTTTCTTTCTTTCTTTTTTTTTTTTTTTTTTTTTGAGACAGAGTTTTGCTCTTGTTGCCCAGGCTGGAGTGCAATGGTGCGATCTTGGCTCACTGCAACTTCCGCCTCCCGGGTTCAAGCGATTCTCCTGCCTCAGCCTCCCTAGTAGCTGGGATTACAGGCGCCAGCCACCACGCCTAGCTAATTTTTTGTATTTTTAGTAGAATCGGGGTTTCATGATGTTGGCCAGGCTGGTCTCGAACTCCTGATCTCAGGTGATCTGACCGCCTTGGCCTCCCAAAGTGCTGGGATTACAGGCGTGGGCCACTGCGCCCGGCCTAGAAGTTTTGTAGGTAGTAATTCTGCTAAACATATTCTAATTTCCATTAGGATTTTTTCTTTGTTCTTTCAAATATATGGAATTTCCTAAATTTATATTTTGTTATTGAAATCAGGTGATCTGCCCGCCTCGGCATCTCAAAGTGCTGGGATTACAGGCTTGAGCCACTGCTCCTGGCCAACAATTTTGAACTTTAAATAATAATGTAGTCTCAAAAATGACTGAATTACAAGGAGAATTGGACAAACCCATAATGATTATGAGAGATTTTACGTCACTATCAGTAACACTGCTTTTGTCCAGCAGACAAAAATTTATAAGGACATAGATTATTTAAATATATTCTGAAATTCCAAAAGACAAGGTATACTCTGTACCTCATAATTAGTGAAAATATATATATATATATATATATACACACACACACACACACACATATATATGTATGTATTCCAAGCAACATTTGCAGAAACTGACCAGCTACTAGGCTGTAAATTTCAAAAAAATGTCAAAGGGCACAGGGCTCACACCTGTAATCCCAGCAATTTGGGAGGCCAAGGTGGATGGATCACCTGAGGTCAAGAGTTTGAGAGCAGCCTGGCCAATGTGGAGAAACCCCGTTTCTACTAAAAATACAAAAATTAGTTGGGTGTGGTGGTGCATGCCTGTAATCCCAGCTACGTGGGAGGCTGAAGTAGGGGAATCGCTTGAACCCGGGAGGCGGAGGTTGCAGTGAGCTGAGATCATGCCACTCTACCCCACCCTGGGAGACAGAGCAAGACTCCATCTCAAAAAGAAGAAAGAAAGAAAGAGAGGGAGAGAGAGAAAGAAAGATAGAAAGAAAGAAAGAAAGAAAGATAGAGAAAGAGAGATGAAAGAAAGAAAAAGAGACAAAAGAGAGAGAAAGACAGAGAAAGAAAGAAGGAAAGAAAGAAGAAAGAAAGAGAGAAAAAGAGAAAGAAAGGAAGAAAGAGAAAGAAAGAAAGAAAGAAAGAAAGAAAGAAAGAAAGAAAGAGAAAGAAAGAAAGAAAAAGAAAAAGAAAGAAAGAGAAAGAAAGAAAGAAGGAAGGAAGGAAGGAAGGGGAAGGGAAGGGAAGGAAGGAAGGAAGGAGGAAGGGAAAAAGGAGGGAGGGAGGGAGGGAAAGAAGCCTGAGACAGAGGAAATGCAATTTACACCTTCATCTCCTTCATCTCTGCCTCTCAGTGTAACCGCCTGCACACCTCCAAGACCTTTTTCCAGAAAGAATTGCTCATCTGTCATTCTGGAAATCTGGGCAAACACAGAGCCAGCAGCAGACAGGAGGGGCCCAAGTGGCTGGGTTTTCCAGCTGTGATCTTTCCCAAGGCAAACCAATCTGCATCACCAACACCCACTCAACAATCCTACTTTCCAATACTTCTCCGTTAGAAGGGACTCTGGGTATGGTAACTTGCATCAGTAGATATTAAACCACACTACACTATGCTACATTAGGGGCAATTCACAAGCTGCTGGACATCCAGAGATGGTTCAACATGATGCCTGCCCTCAAGAAATCCCAGTAGAGAATTAGAGGTGCTGTGGTCAGTGTATTAGAATAATAACAAGGGGAATAACAGCAGCTAAACTTAGAAGGCTTACCAAGGATCAGATGCCATAACAAATTACAATTTCCAAACGTTACAATTTCCAAACTGCTTTACACGTATTACCTAATTCATTCTTCATAATAACCCTATGCAGAAGGTACCACAATGCCTGTATTTTACAGTTTTTCTATATTTTATATTGACACAAAAAGGTTCACTCATTTCCCAAGGTCACAATAAATGGCTGTATTGGAGTTGCTTCCTCACTGTCCCCAGTGCTCAACCACCAATTCGTAAATGTACCCTGGAATCCATCCACTTCTTTCCATTCCTTCTGCCTCTATCCCAGTTCATAACACCATCAAAACCCAGGCTGTCTAATTCCCAAAGCCAGCTCTGTAAATGTGACTGACTTCTGCCTCATGGTCCAATATGGATAGTTGGGGTTCCACCCATCACATCTGCATCCTAGGCAGCAGGAAGGAGAACATGGCAGAGAATAAAGACTCAGGCTGTCTAATTCCAAAAGCCAGCTCTATAACTCTGTGCACTGAGTTCTGGACGCTCAAAGCATCCCAAATGTGTCTGTGAAAGTACCTTGGGATCAGTTTGCAAGCCTCTCACAGAGTCTACAGTAGGAAAAGTAGCAAAAGGCTTCCTGGGAGGCACATCAATCTATCAGAGTGTTAAAGACCTGAGTTTTGGCCGAGCACAGTGGCTCATGCCTGTAATCCCAGCACTTTGGGAGGCCAAGGCAGGTGGGTCACCTGAGGTCAGGACTTCGACACCAGCCTGGCCAACATGGTGAAACTCCGTCTCTACTACAAATACAAACATTAGTCGGGTGTGGTGGCAGGTGCCTGTAGTCCCAGCTACTCAGGTTGAAACAAAATTGCTTGAAGCCAGGAGGTGGAGGTTGCAGTGAGCCAAGATCTGCACTCCAGCCTGGGCGACAGAGCAAGACTTTGTCTCAAAAAAACCAAAAAACCAAAAAAAACCTGAGTTTTCATTCTGGAGGTGCCACTTACTATATAACCTATGCCTCAAGTCCCCAAATATGTAAAGTAAGAGCAGACACAGTTCTCATATCCTGGAGTCCTGGAGAAGAATGAAATGAGATCATCCATATAAATAGCTAAGCACTCTGCCATGCATATAGTACACACTCAGTAAATGCTTAGCTTAGGAAAAAATAGAAAGTGACTTTTACAGGAAGACCTGCAGAATAAATAGTAGGCATGAGTTAGGCAAAGAGAAGAAAGAAAAAACAAGTGATGATGTCCAGAGACAAGAGGAAGCAAAGGTTTAAAAGAGGCAGGTGAAGAGATGACAGGAGAGAGACAGCGAAGGCTATTTGGGTGGACAGGACATCTTCAGGGGCATAGCAGGGGAAGCCAATGAGAAAGGATCCTGTTTTAAGCACAAATTGAAGATATTGTCCTCTGTTTAAGCAGGAAACATTCAGGATCAGTTTCTTTTTTTCCCACACCCCCTCCCAGGAATCCAAAGCCAGAGCTGATGGTGGTGAGATTAGGATAGAGGCAGAAGTGACAGAAAGAAGTAAATCGATTCCAGGATGCATCCAGGACTAGGACTTGGTGATTGAGTGCTGAGAAGAGGGAGGAAGAATCTCCATGACAACCAGGCTTCAGTTTGGGCAAAAGGTAAATGGAGGTGCCAGTCCCTGAAATAGGGGGCTCAGGGAAGAAGCATGGTGAGGGAGTTTCTGGGGTACCTATGAGACATTCCAAACCATCCTCTAGGCACTGAGAGACACCAGGCTATATCTCAGCAGAGGAGTCTGGACTGGCAGTTTGGAAATTGTAATAGATTTATGGGAATTGCCTGTCCCTACATCTTTTCTTTCTTCCATCTCAGAAACAGAACCCCAACTTTTTCAGGGCAGCCTTAAACATGACTATACAACTACATTTCCCAGCCTAAGATTTGGTGAGATAGAACAAAAATGTAGTGAGGGAACTCTACGAAGGCTTCTTAAAAGGGAATTATTTGCCTTGTTCTCATTTCTGCTGCCCAGGATGCAGATGTGATGGCTGGAACCCCAGCTACTCATATTGGGCCACGAGGTAGAAGTCGGGCTCTGAGTCCATTGGGGCAGAAGAATGGGTACTTGAGTCCCCAGGGGGGCATTGTGGAGTCAACAGCAGCCCTTAATCACCCACCTCTAGAACTCAGTGACATGAGAGAGAACAACACTCCTTCCTTTTAGCCACTAGAAGTTGATAGTTTTCTATGTTGTCTAATCTAATCCTTCCACTACAGATATCATCCACCTATCAAAGTGATGGGAAACTTGAGATTGAGGATTGGAGAGGAGCTGGGAAGAGAAGAAGGGACTGTATTGTCTGTATTTAAGAAATGACAAAAAGTTAACTGTAAAAGAGAAGAGATGGCACAAAGAGGAGATTTTTGAGAATTAAGAGGGCTGATGTCCAAGGAGAGGTAGAACAGGATGTAGGGAGGGGTAGCCTGGACAAATTCTCTGAGCCAGAGAGTTTGCTGTGACTTCCTGTGCAGAGGGAATGAGCAAAGAAGGAGGCTTGATAGAGACCCCAGAAATAAGGGGTTCAGGTCCCCATGTGCCAAATACTTCAATGTTAGGCAGTCCTGATCATTAGAAACCTTTTTCTTCTTCTTCCTCTTCTTTTTTTTTTTTTTTGAGATGAAGTCTTACTCGGTCCCCCAGGCTGGAGTGCAGTGGTGCAATCTCGGCCCACTGCAACCTCACCTCCTAGGTTCAAGCGATTCTCCTGCCTCAGTCTCCTGAGTAGCTGGGATTACAGGTGCACACCACCACACCTGGCTTTTTGTCTTTTTAGTAACGATGGGATTTCACCATGTTGGCCAGGCTGGTCTCAAACTCCTGACCTCAAGTGATCCACCCGCCTCAGCCTCCCACAGTGCTGGGATGACAGGCATGAGCCACCGTGCCCAGTCCCCTTTTCTTCTATGAAGATGAAATACACCTTCCTTTGATTTCTACTCACAGCCTCCTGAGGATGCACTGAATAAAATCTGCACCGTCATCTCCAGGACAGCCCTTCTAAACTTAGAAGAAAACATTCTTGTTCTGCTTCCCTCCCAGAGGAAGACTCATTAATTAACTCTCAAATACTCATCATACTACTGGAATTCCTGAGCCTTCACAATGCTGGTTACCCCTTTTCTAATTGGACTTCATCTTGTTTACATCCTCCTTTAGCAAAATCTAAAGCAGGTTGGTCAGCCCCACAGACCAGCAGTCCCCAAACCATCTTCCCACCAGTGACTGGTTTCATGGAAGATAATTTTTCCGAGGACCGGGGTTGGGGTGGAGATGGTTTTGGAATGAGTCAAGTGCTTTCCATTTATTGTGCACTTTATTTCTATTATTATTACATTGTAATATACAGTGAAATAATTCTACAATTCACCATCATGTAGAAACAGTGGGAACCCTGAGCTTGTTTTCCTGCAACTAGAAGGTCCCATCTGGGAGCGATGGGAGATAGTGACAGATCATCAGGCAGATCACTTAGTAGAGACAGGTTTCACCATGTCGGCCAGGCTGGTCTTGAGCTCTTTACCTCAGGTGATCCACCCGCGTTGACCTCCCAAAGTGTTGGGATTACAAGCATGAGCCTGGTCATGGAATAGAAGTTCTATTCTTAGTTCTTTGAGAGCTAATTCTCTTATGAGAGCTGATTCTCATAAGGAGCGTGCCACCTAGATCCCTCTCATGCACATTTCATAATAGGGTTCATGCTCCTATGAGAAACTAATGCCGTAGTTTATCTGACAGGAGACAGAGCTCAGGCAGTAATGCAAGCCATAGGGAGTGGCTGTAAATCCGGATGAAGCTTTGCTGTCTTACCTGCTGCTCACCTCCTGCTGTGTGTCCCGGTTCCTAAGAGGCCAAGGACAACCATGACTCTGGGGTTTAGGGACCCCTGTGGTAGACCACCACCTCCCCAGACTGGCACCCTGCCCCTCTTAATGCAGTCAGAGTGACGCGGGTTTCTTCAGGAGCTGATCACCCTGTGGCCAATATTGAGTTTGAGGCTTTGTGAAGTCAGCTCATCCGTCAAGGACAAACATGTTGGCATCTTTTTAAATGACATCCAACCTCTCTGCAGAAGTGGGCAGAGTGATTAGATCCTAAAAGGCAGTTCAGAGATGTTCCCTGACAGTGTTATGTTAGAAATCAATTTTAATCTCTCTCCTATTATTTCAGGGGGAAGCAGCACCGAGAATAAATACACCAGCATTATTAGCAAAGCAAATGGCACATATACCCGCAACCCTGCAAGCGGTCTCAGTTGCCTGGTTTCTCTTGGTGAGAAAGGTAATGTGTGTTAAAGGGTACACACAAATGTCGCAGGGACAGTAGAACATTGGGTACCCTCAAAATATCCCCTTCAAGGCTGGGCACAGTAGCTCACGCCTGTAATCCTAGCACTTTGGGTGGCCGAGGAGGGTGAATTGCCTGAGCTCAGGAGTTCCAGACCAGTTTGTATTTATTAGACAGGGTGAAACCCTGTCTCTACTAAAATACAAAAAAAAAAATTAGCCAAGAATGGGGGAATGGGGGCGTGTGCCTGTAGTCCCAGCTACTCAGCAGGCTGAGGCAGGAGAATAACTTGAACCTGGGAAGCAAAGGTTGCAGTGAGCCAAGATTGTGCCACTGCACTCCAGCCTGGGTGACAAAGCGAGACTCCATCTCCAGAAAAAAAAAAAAAAATTAGCCAAGAATGGGGGCATGCGCCTGTCGTCCCAGCTACTCAGCAGGCTGAGGCAGGAGAATCACTTGAACCTGGGAAGCAAAGGTTGCAGTGAGCCAAGATTGCGCCACTGCACTCCAGCCTGGGTGACACAGCAAGACTCCATCTCCAGAAAAAAAAAAAAAAAAAACCTTCAAAACCACATTAACATGGAACTAGAAGACACTCTGCAGGTTTGTCTAGAGAGGCCTTACAGAGGAGTGAAATCTATGGCTTTCAAAATGATAAGATGTGGATTCACTTCCTGACGCTGCTACCATGGAAGCCGAGTTGTGAACAATCAAGTCTAATCTCTTGGCCACAGTCAGACTCTTTATTTTATTTGCAAGTAATAAATTATGATCTGCAAGCAGATCATAATCTCCACTTCTTAGGGCCTCGTGAGAGCTGGGGTTGATCAAAGTCCCAGTCCAATGATAACCACTTGACAGACAGCAGCATTCATGTTATCTAAGCTGATTTTCCACCCGGGGCAGGGCTTGTCTCTGTGACGTTCCTTCCAAGCAGACCCTGATGTCTACCCCAGTGCCCTGGAGAGCACCAATGTACAGAAATGCGTGCTCAGTAGCAGGATGGATAGATGGATGGGCACCCTTGAAGCTGTCTGCGTGGCAGGAAGGACACAGGCGTGGGAAACTCTCTGACTTCTCTCCCTGTATCCTCCCTGTCTATAAATGGGCGCCATCATTAGCGTAATCAGATACTGGAACATTTTATTGAAAGTGCTATGGTTGATAAGGTAGATCCATAAAGCAACTTTTTCACTACACTCCCCTGCAACCTCCCCTTCTCATGTCAGGGTTATTCATTCCTGTGGCTGGATGACATTTTAGGAGGTTCCAAAGCTTTTCTGGACTGTCCAACCTTAGTCATAAGAACAGTATCGTTTCAGAGTAATAACTCTCCACATTTCATTCACCCTCAGTGTCTCCTCTCCTCCAGGGAAAGGGCAGGGGCCTGTTGCAAACTCAGACATCTGTGGCAGAAGAGTGGCCAGGGCAGAGGAAGAGGCTTCCAGCTCTCTCATAAATTATCCTCCTTCCTCCCTGTCCAGCGTTGGCTGACCAGAGTGATCGCACAAACCAGTTTGCCTAGGAAAGTCCCAGTATGTACAGGTTGCCCAGATATGAATACTTAGAGTGTGTCCTTTTCACTCACACAATGCCCCCATTTGGACAATGTATTATTCGGCAACACTTTTCTCTTCTTTTTGGAGTCAGAGTCTAGCTCTGTCCCCCAGGCTGGACTGCAGTGTCATGATCATAGCTCACTGCAGCCTCAAACTCCTGGGCTCAAGCCATCCTCCCACCTCAGCCTCCCAAGTAGCTGGGACCACAGGCATGCATCAACACACCTGGCTAAGTTTTTTAAACTTTTGTGGACATGGGGTCTCACTCTATTTCTCAGTCACCGTAGCCTCACACTCCCAGGCTCAAGTGATCCTCCCACCTCAGTCTCCTGAGTAGCTGCAACTACAGGTGCATGCTACCATGTCCATCTAATTTTTTTTTTGAAATGGAGTCTTGCTCTGTCACCCAAGCAAGAGTGCAGTGGCACGATTTCAGCTCACTACAACCTCTACCTCCAGACTTCAAGCGATTCTCCTGCCTCAGCCTCCCGAGTAGCTGGCATTACAGGCATGTACCACCATGCCTGGCCTGTTTTTTTATTTTTAGTAAAGACAGGGTTTCACCATCTTGGCCAGGCTGGTCTTGAACTCCTGACCTCATGATCCACCCACCTCAGGCTCCCAAAGTGCTGGGATTACAGGTGTGAGCCACCATGCCCAGCCCTAATTTTTAAATTTTTTGTAGAGTTGGGTTGTGCTATGCTGCCCAGGCTGGTCTTGAACTCCTGGGTTCAAGCAATCCTCCTGCCTCAGCCTCCCAAAATGCAGGGATTAGTGGCATGAATGACTGCACCTGGCAGCCTACTTCTGACCCCTCAGATGTCCAGCCCAGGAAGAGGAGAGATTGGAACCACTTGAGTGGGTGAGTCCAGTTGTGACATGATGTTGGCTTTCTGGAGGTGGAGGGTCCAGAGGTGACTCTTATCTTGTAGGATACCTTAGTGGCTTTTTTCAGAGCTGCTCCCCGATGAGGACCTCAGTTCCCTCCATGAAAAAAGAGGTCTTTCCTTATGGAAGCTTCCAGGTTCTCCAATTCCTCAACTTCCAGATGCCACCTCTCACAAATTCTTATTACTAGGATTCCTTCGCTCCTCCAGGCAGGCCTCCTGAGCAGGATCCCTTTCAACCAGGTCCAAGCCACACACCCATCAAGTTCTCTCATGTCTTTAAAATACACCCATCTTTACCCCGACTTCCAGAGGGTATGCAACATAGGCAGCACCAACCACAGCATGGCACCTTCAGGCTCTCAGGGTAGAAAACACATACCAGTTTGTGTGTTTCCTGATGTCACTGAACATTGGTCACCTTCTCCAAGAACAAAGATCCTCTCACATGGCTGTCATGAGTCATAATGGTTTGGATTTTTTCCGCCTCCAAATCTCATGTGGAAATTGATTCTGAATGTTGGAGATGGGGCCTTGTGGTTAGTGTTTTGTCATGGGGGTGGATCCCTCATGTATGGCTGGGTGCCATTATTGCGGGATTTTTAAGGAATCAGGGGTTTAGGAGGATATTTATGAATTATTTAGGTGCACCAGCCCAGCCGGATTAACATTCAAAGGATTGAGCCCTGAACAAAAAGTTAAGTTACCTTTTAAGCATTTTGTGGGGCTGTGGTGGGGAGATCTGTGCAGGGGGAAGCATACTACAGAAGCGAAAAAAAAAGACAGTTATTCAACTGAGACATGCATTACACCATTTCTTACTTGTCAAGGAAAAACATGTTTTGCAACTTGAGTTTATCTGTCTAGTGACCTTGCAGCTGCACAGCTAGGGAAACAGGGTATTCACAAAACCTGGGAAGGGAGGAGAGATAAGGCTCACCAGCCACTAGCCACAGAAAAATAGGCAGTGAATTTTAAAGGACTCCAGCTCTTTCTCAGGGGAAGTTGAGTTTTCTTACATATAACTGAATTTCTGCTTACACACTCTAATTTCTTTTAATTCCTGTTCCACCATCCTTGTGGTAATAAGTGAGTTCTCGCTCTAGTTGTTCACACAAGATCTGGTTGTTAAAAAGAGTCTGGCAACTTCTCTCTCTTTTGCTCCCACTCCCACCATGTGATATGCCTGCTCCCTCTTTGCCATGATTGGAAGCCTCCCAAGGCCTCACCAGAAGCAGATGCTGACTTCATGGTTCTTATTCAGCCTGCAGAACTGTGAGCCAAATAAACCTCTTTTCTTTACAAATTACCCAGCCTCAGGCATTCCTGTATAGCAGTGTAAAATGGACTAGCACAATGAAGAAGAAATGGAAAATACCATGGCATTCCAACAGGTTTCTCCCAAGGGCTCCTGCTTCTGCTTCAATGCGCTTACTGCATACTCTCCAGAGGGATTACTGGACCTTCCCTCTTCAAAACCCTTCAGTATCTTTCGCCTGGGTGGCCTAGCCCCTCACTTCAGGATGTGAAGGCATTTCATAAACTTTAAAGGACAGTGCATAATTGTCACAGCAGCTAACAGTTCCTGAGCTGTAACCAAGTTCCAGGAGCTTTGTATTCATTACTCACTAAATCCCTGAAAAAAATCCCATAAGCTGGGACCATCCTTATAATGTTCATTCTAAATGTCAACTATTTTTTTAATGGGGGAAAAATTAATTTATTTTTTGGGACAGCGTCTCACTCTGTTACCTAGGCTGGAGTACAGTAGTGTGATCATAGCTCACTGCAGACTCAACCTCCCTGGGCTAAAGTGATCCTCCCACCTCAGCCCCCTGAGTAGCTGGGACGACAGGCATGCACCACCATGCCCAGCTGATTTTTTATTTTTTGTAGAGATGGGGTCTTGCTATGTGGCCCAGGCTGGTCTTGAACTCCTGGGCTCAAGTGATCCACCCCTACCTCCTTAGCTTCCCAAATTGTTTTTTAATTATTTGTATAAATTAAAGGGGTACATGTGCAGTTTTGTTACATTAATATATTAAGCAGTGGTGAAGCCTGGACTTTTAGTGTAACCACCACCCGAATAATGTACATTGTACCCATTTAGTAATTTCTCATCCCCCATCCCCTACTAGTCTCCCACCCTTCCAAATCTCCAACATCTACTATTCCATACTCTATGTCCTCGTATACACGTGATTTAGCTCCTACTTATCAGTGAGAACATGCAGTATTTGACTTTCTCATTCTCAGTTGTTTCACTTAAGATAATGACCTCCAGTTCCATTCACGTTGCTTCAAGAGATAAGATTTCATTCTCTGTATGGCTGAATAGTATTCTATTGTGTATATATATACACACACATATGTGTGTATATATATGTACATATATATACACACATATGTGTATATGTACATATATATACACACATATGTGTATGTACATATATATACACACAGACAGACAGACACACAGACACACACACACACACACATATATATATGCCACATTTTCTTTATCCAATCATTCTTTGATGGACACATAGGTCCTGTATCTTTGCTATTGTGAGTAGTGCTGTGATGAACACACACATGCAGGTGTCTTTTTTATATAACAACTTCTTATCCTTTAGGTAGATACCCAGTAGTGGAGTAGTGGGATTGGCTGGGTGAAATGGTAGTTCCTTTTTTTTTTTTTTTTTTGGTGGGGGGACAGAGTCTCACTCTGTCACCCAGGCTGGAGTACAGTGGCTTGATCTCAGCTCACTGCAACCTCCACCTCTCGAGTTCAAACAATTCTCCTGCCTCAGCCTCTTGAGTAGCTGGGATTACAGGTGCCCACCATCACATGACCTCCCAAAGTGTTGGGATTACAGGCATGAGCCACCGTGCCTGGCTATGGAATGGTAGTTTTATTCTTAATTCTTTGAGAAACCTCCATAACGTTTTCAATAAAGGTTGCACTAATTTATTTACTTTTTAAAGTGTTTTTATTTTTATAGGTTATTGTGGAAAAGGTGGTGTTTGGTTACATGAGTAAGTTCTTTCTTTTTTTTTTTTTTTTTTTTTTTGAGACAGAGTTTCACTCTTGTTGCCCAGGCTGGAGTGCAATGGTGAGCTCTTGGCTCACTGCAACTTCCGCCTCCCGGGTTCGAGTGATTCTCCTGCCTCAGCCTCCCGAGTAGCTGGGGTACAGGCATGCGCCACCATGCCTGGCTAATTTTTTGTATTTTTAGTAGAGATGGGATTTCACCATGTTGACCAGGCTGGTCTCGAACTCCTGACCTCAGGTGATCCACCCCCTTCGGCCTCCCAAATTGCTGGGATTACAGGCGTGAGCCACCGCGCCTGGCCCTTGAGTAAGTTCTTTAGTGGTGACTTGTGAAATTTTGGTGCACCCATCACCCGAGCAGTATACACTGCACCCAATTTGTAGTCTTTTTTTCCTTGTCCCCTTCTCACCCTTCCCCTGAGTCCTCAGAGTCCATTGTGTCATTCTTATTCCTTTGCATCCTCATAGTTTAGCACCCACTTATGAATGAGAACGTACAATATTTGATTTTCCATTCCTGAGTTACTTCACTTACAATAATAGTCTCCAATCTCATCCAGTCACTGTGAATGCCATTAATTCATTCCTTTTTATGGCTGAGTGGTATTCCATTGTATATCTATACCACAGTTTCCTTATCCAGTCATTGATTGATGGGTATTTGGTTTGGTTCCACATTTTTGCAATCGGAAATTGTAAGCATGCATGAAGGTTGCACTGATTTAAATTACCACCAACAGTGTAGAAGACATTCCATAGTTGAAATGCTTATTGATCCAAAGTTATCCTTCTATGCCTTCTCCACATTTCTGATCCTGTCCTGGGTAACCACAAGAAAAAGTCAGACATTGAAGACCACGTGTAAATCTTATTGAAATAATTTCTTCTAAACATCCCCAATGTTTCATGTGAAAGCTTCATAATCTCTTCATCCTGTTCACCTTTCTCTCAAAAACCTGAAATTTGTCTCTGTTCTTTTGTGTCCAGAGCACAGGTATAGAATATTAGATAATGGATGATGTTGATAAAGACAATAGTGATAACTTATATCAATTGAATATTTACCATGTGGTAGGTGCTGTACTAAGAACTTGACATACATTATTTAATCCTCACAGCAATCCTATGAGGTATATTCTGATGTCAACCCCATTTGAATATTTAAAAAAAAGGCCAGGCACGGGGGCTTATACCTGTCATCCCAACACTTTGGAAGTATGAGGTGGGTCAATAACTTGACCTCAGGAGTTCAAGACCAGCCTGGACAACGAGGAGAAACCCTATCTCTAAAAAAATACAAAAATTAGCCAGGCATGGTAGTGCGTGCCTGTAGTCCCAGCTACTCAGGAGGCTGAGGTGAGGTGATTGACTGAACACAGGAAGTGGAGGTTGCAGTGAGCTAAGTTCATGCCATTGTACTCCAGCCTGGGTGATAGAGTGAGACTCTGTCTCAAAAAAAATTTTTTTTAATTTAATTTAAAAAACTGAAACTCAACCCTGTCTCTACTAAAAATACAAAAAATTAGCCAGGCGTGGTGGCGGGTGCCTATAGTCCCAGCTACTCGAGAGGCTGAGGCAGGAGAATGGCGTGAACCCGGGAGGCGGAGCTTGCAGTGAGCTGAGAGCGCACCACTGCACTCCATCCTGGGCGACAGAGGGAGACTCCAACTCAAAAAAAAGGAAAGAAACAACAACAACAAAAAAACAACTGAGGCTCAGAGAGGTTCATTAACTTACTCAAGATCACACAGCTTGTAACGGCAGAGTGGGGATGTGAACTCGGGTCTTCCAGATTTCAAAGTATGTGCTCTTAACAAGTATGCTGTGTCAATACAAATAAAACTGTCCCTAAAACTGTTTTGACTAAACTGATGGCTTAGACTCGACAGGGAGAACAGTAGCCTTGGACAGCAGCAGGAAGCTGCAGCCACAGTGACTGTGACCAGGAACAGAGGCCACGTCAGCTGGACTTAACAGCCAGAAGGGCTCAGCTGCACAGAGCAGAGCTTCCCGGCTCCGCAGCTCACCCGCATACACTGGCACGCCGGAAATCAAGCTGACAGAACTTAAAAGGCACAGATTTTGAAGTCAGTAGCATTTTGCTATGGGCAAGCCACTTACCGCTTTGAGCTCTGGACGCTTCGTTTACGAAATGCTGGGCAAACATGTCTCATCTCAGCACTGTTCCAAAAGGAGGTGGATTAAAAAAAAAAAAGGTAGTGAAGGCAAAAACCTACCACAGGAAGAATCTTAGAGTCTTCTATTCTTATAAGCATAGGAGACTCTGAACCTACAATTTCCAGGTTGCCCTAAACAGACTCCTATCTGAAGAAGCAGATTCTACATCTACGCAGATGAGCTCATTAGCTAAGCATTTGTTAGATGAAATAAATACATGAACAACAGAGCAATAAAGGACACCCAGGAAAACCCATTAATCCCTCAAAATGACTCCTCTTGGTTGGGAGCGGTGGCTTACCCCTGTAATCCTAGTACTTTGGGAGGCCGAGGTGGGTGGATCACTTGAGGTCAGGAGTTCGAGACCATCCTGGCCAACATGATGAAACCCCGCCTCTACTAAAAATACAAAAATTAGCCAGGCGTGGTGGCACACATCTGTAATCTCAGCTACTTGGGAGGCTGAGGCACAAGAATCACTTGAACCCAGGAGGCAGAAGTTGCAGTGAGAAGAGATTGTGCCCTGTACTCCAGTCTGGGTGACAGAGTGAGACTCCATCACAAACTGTACTCCAGTCTGGGTGACAGAGTGAGACTCCATCACAAAAAAAAAAAAAAAAAAAAACAAAAGACTCCTCTTCTTCCCTCTCAGCAAAAGTCGCCCCTGTGATAGCCATACTTCACAAAAATCTCTTTCAGAGGTTCCTGTCATTAACTCACACTGCTACATTTTTTTTTGAGACAGAGTCTCACTGTGTTGCCCAGGCTGGAGTGCAGTGGTGCAATTATAGCTCACTGCAGCTTCAAACTCCTGAGCTCAAGCGATCTTCCTGCCTCAGCCTCCTCAGTAGCTAATTTTATATTTTTATAGAGATGGAGTTCCCCTATGTTACCCAGGTGGGTCTTGAACCCCTGGGCTCAAGCAATCCTCCTGCCTTGGCCTCTCAAAGTGTTGGGATTACAGGCATGAGCCACTGGGCCCGGCTTCATATCGTCATTTCGTAAGGTTTCTTGCAATCTGCTTTCCTGGGCAGCCATTCAGCTCCACCAGGGGTCCGTCACCTCCTATAGGTTTCCACCCTCCCCATATCCTTAAATGAACATCCATTCATCCCGGTTAAGTCCAGAAGAGCGGCTTCCCCACTCTCTTCCCCGCCATATAAGCTCTGAAACCACCAACAAGGCAAATTGAGGATTCATGACAAAGATTCAGGCTTCTGGGAGTTTCCAAGGTATAAAATCATTTAGTTCCTATCAGTCATATGGTCCAGGCAGCCCAAGATAAAATTGGCAAGGTAACCAGCAATCCTCTTTGGTGGTGGATTTGATTTGTCCATGAAAGAGCCACAGCTGAGGAAGTTGTGTTAAGGAAGTGATTCCAATAAGGATTAGATAGGAGAGCAATACATGGACCCTCATCAGAGTAGCCGGACTTGTAGACAGCCCTATGTGTAGACAGCCCTCTTTGTAATGTGCCTGCTGCCTGCCTCATCATTAAAACAGATCAACAAAAAGCAAAAGGCTTTGCCAAGGCTATCCCTAAAAGATTTCCAGAGAGTTCTTTCATCAGCCTAATTGGTCATCTTCATTAAATGCTAAGACTTTTTAGGACCTGATGCATTTCCACCTGGAGTTAAGATACATTTATCAAGTCCTTCCCTGCAGGGAACTTGAAGGAGAAGAAGGAAATGAATGTAAAGACCCAGATACCAGCATCAGGAAAAGGGACTTCTTCAAGCTGAAAGGGGGTAATGCAGGGGCTCCTGGTAGAAATGAGAAAGTAAGAAACATTTTTTTTCCCACTCGATCCCCCTTCTGGCTCCCCATTCCTCTCGCTGAGAGGTACTTCTACCACTCAGTAAAACCTTGTACTAATTTTTTTTTTGAGATGGAGTCTTGCTCTGTTGCCCAGGCTGGAGTGCAGTGGTGCTGTCTCGGCTCACTGCAACCTCCGCCTCCTGGGTTCAAGCGATTCCCCTGCCTCAGCCTCCTGAGTAGCTGGGACTATAAGTGTGTGCCACCACGCCTGGCTAATTTTTTGTATTTTTAGTAGCGATGGGGTTTCACTGTGTTAGCCAGGAGGGTCTTGATCTCCTGACCTCATGATCTGCCTGACTTAGCCTCCCAAAGTGCTGGGATTACAGGCTTGAGCCACCACGCCTGGTTGCAGTAAGAGACATTTCTATCAGTCATGACCCCTAAACTTGAGTAGCCAAGCAAGCCCATCTGAAGCAGGGATCCCCAACCTTTTTGGTACCAGTGACTGGTTTCATGGAAGACAATTTTTCCACGGACCAAAGGGAAGTAGCAAGGGATGGTTTCAGGGTGATTCAAGCACATTACATTTATTGTGAACTTTATTTATATTATGAAGTACTTCACAAAAACCTCTTTCAGAGGTTCCCCTTATTAACTAATACTGCCGTTTTTTTATTGAGACAGTCTCACTGTGTTGTCCAGGCTGGAGTGCGGTGGTGCAATCACTCACCATATAATGAAATAATTATACAACTCACCATCATGTAGAATCAGTGGGACTCCTGAGCTTGTTTTCCTGCAACTAGATGGTCCCATCTGGGGGTGATGTGAGACAGTGACAGATCATCAGGCATTAGATTTTCATAAGGAGCCCACAACCTAGATCCCTCCCATGCACAGTTCACAATAGGGTTTATGCTCCTGTTAGAATCTAATGCCACTGCTGATCTGACAAGAGGTGGAGCTCAGGCGGGAATGCGAACGATGGGGAGTGGCTGTAAATACAGATGACGCTTTGCTGGTTTGCCCACTGCTCACCTCCTGCTGTGCTGCCTGCTTCCTAATGGGTCACAGACTGGTACCCCATCCCCTGATATAAAGAACTCAATCTCTTCTTCCCACTCCACTCAGCCTTGGCCAGGAGTATTTATTTTTGCATGTAACTAGTTGCAATCTGCCTGCCTGGTCAGAACCGCATTCCTAACTCCCAAACAGAAGAATAGATTTTTATTTAGCATGCGTCTTACTCTGTCACACCCTTAAAATGCATGAGAAGTGAAATAAAATGTTTGGAGTTTTTTTCTCACATAGTACAATGAGAAGTACAGCACAGAAACTTCTGCAGTTGAAGACATCCTGGACAATCAGTTACCTTCAAGGTGCTATGAAATTACAGCAACGGCAGAGCAGCAACAACCAAAAAAAAAAAAAATTCTCAAAATGCAAATAAGATATTTAGGGCCTGGCATGGTGACTCATGCCTATAATCCCAGCAGTTTGGGAGGTCGAGGTAGGCAGATCACCTGAGGTCAGGTGTTCTAGACCAGCCTGGTCAACATGGCGAAACCCTGTCTCTATTAAAAATACAAAAATTAGCCAGGTGTGGTGGTGCACACTTGTAATCCCAGCTACTCTGGAGGCTGAGGCAGGAGAATCGCTTGAACCCAGGAGGTAGAGGTTGCAGTGAGCCAAGATTGTGTCACTTCACCCCAGCCTGGGCGACACAGCAAGACTCTGTCTCAAAAAAATAAATAAATAAAATAAAAGAAGTTATTTAGGTTAATCTCCGACATGGGTTTAGTGTCTTTTACTTGTTCCCAAACCATTTCCTCTGTTACGTTATAGTATTTGCACTTCTCTGTTATATAGGAAGGGAAGTTGTCTTTCTACCAGGTTCTTCCTACCTAGTGTGAGAGGTACATGACTTGCTGAAAGTCTGGAAATCTTGTGAATCCTGAAAATTTGAGACAGGTATCAGTTCATTTAGAAAGTTTATTTTGCCAGGGTTGAGGACACGCACCCATGACACAGCCTCAGGAGGTCGTGATGACATGTGCCCAAGGTGTTCAGGGCACAGCTTGGTTTTATACATTTTAGGGAGTAAGGAGGCATCAATCAACATATGTAAAATGAACATTGGTTTGATCTGGAAAGGAGGGACAATTCAAAGTAAAAGTAGGGTAACTGGAAGCAGGGAAGGGGCTTCCAGGTCACAGGTAGGTGAGAGACAGACTGTTAAATTCTTTTTTCTTTGCTTTTCTTTTTTTTTTTTTATTATTGTTATGGAGCCTCGCTCTATCGCCCTGGCTGGAGTGCAGTGGTGCGATCTCAGCTCACTGCAACATCCACCTCCTGGATTCAAGCAATTCTCCTACCTCAGCCTCCCAAGTAGCTGGGATTACAGGCGCCCGCTACCATGCCCAGCTAATTTTTTGTACTTTTGATAGAGATATGGTTTCACCATGTTAGCCAGGCTGGTCTCGAACTCCTGATCTCAAGTGATCCGTCCGCCTCGGCCTCCCAAAGTCCTGGGATTACAGATGTGAGCCACCGCGCCTGGCCAGCAGGTTGGTATTCTTATCTGTCTATTAGGGAGACACCTTTCTCTCAGGGCCACATCCAGCTTAGCCTTCAGTGGAGTATATTTTTACAACCACAAGTGGATTTTAGCTCTCTAAGGGGTACAAACTACTAGAGCCCAACTCAGCAGCTCTGCAAATGTCTCCAAAGAGCCTCCAGTTGTCTAAGTTTATATTTAAAGCTGATTCTCTCAAAAAGCTTCATAAAAATTAACTAGATGGATGCTCTGAAAATCTTATTATCAGATGGAATTTTGTTTGGTTATTTAAGTCTTAAAGTTTCCATTACTGGGCGTTTTGGCCATCAGTGTCCATTTTTCTGCCAAAACAGTTTTGGATTATCTGCGTTTGGTCTGGGTCACTTTCCTGGAATTTGGAACGGAATATAGTGCCTCCTTGATGAGAACTGCAACTTCCCAGGGTGAAAGAGAAGAAGGAAGTTAACCACACTTTCCTCATGATCACTCTTCTCCATTAAGTCATTGTGTGTTGTGATAACGTAACAACATACATGTTCATGAACAGGTATTTTTTTTTTTTGAGATGGAGTTTTGCTCTTGTTGCCCAGGCTGGAGTGCAATGGTGTGATCTCGGCTCACTGCAACCTCTGCCTCCTGGGTTCAAGCAATTCTCCTGCCTCAGCCTCCCGAGTAGCTGGGATTACAGGCACCCACCACCACACCTGGCTAATTTTTTGTATTTTTAGTAGAGACGGGGTTTCACCATGTTGGCCAGGATGGTCTTGAACTCCTGACCTCAGGTGATCCGCCCATCTTGGCCTCCCAAAGTGCTGGGATTACAAGCGTGAGCCACTATGCCCAGCTAGTGTTTTATTTTCTTAAATGTCTCCATAGTCTTCTACTGCAACAGGTTGAGCATCCCTAATCTGAAAATTCAAAACCCAAAATGCTCCAAAGTCTGAAATTTTTGAGCATCAACATGATGCCACGAGTGGAAAATTCCACACCTGACCTCACAAGGCAGGTTGCGGTGTAAGTATAAGAAAATGATTGCATGTCAGTAGCATATAAAATCAGATGCATGCCAGATAACCACAGATCATCCACACAGGTGGCTGAGATAGTGGCACCTTTGCTTTCTGATGTTTTAATGTGCACAAACTTTGTTGCATTCACAAAATCATTTAATATCTTTATAAAATTACCTTTGGGCTGTGTGTCTAAGGTGCACAGGAAGCATACATGAATTTCATGTTTACACTTGGGTCCCACCCCCAGGATATCTCATTATGTATATGCAAATATTGCAAAATCTGAGAAAAAACATCCGAAATCCAAAACACTTTTTGTCCCAAGCATTTCGAATAAGACATGCTCAACCTGTAGTTGAAATGAGCTCATCTGTTGGTGTGTTTGCTGCTTATTTTCTGTGACCCTCCGGTAGGAGGTTCTTAAGTAAAAGGTACAATAAAGCAAGAACTTTGTCTGTCTTAGCATCATGCTTCCCGGGCCTCATAGTGTCACGGTGCAGTGGTTGAGAGATGGGCATTAGGGTTAAACTGCTTCAGTTAGGATTCTAGGTCTTTTTTTTTTTTTTTTTTTTTTTTTTTTGAGACCAAGTCTGGCTCTGTTGCCCAGGACGGAGTGTGCAATGGAGCGATCTCGGCTCACTGCAACCTCTGCTTTGTAGGTTCACTCGATTCTCCTGCCTCAGCCTCCCAAGTAGCTGGGATTGCAGGCTCCCGCCACCACACCCATCTAATTTTTTTTTGTATTTTTAGTAGAGACGGGGTTTCACCATGTTGTCCAGGCTGGTCTTGAACTCCTGACCTCAGGTGATCCACCCACCTTGGCCTCCCAAAGTGCTAGGATTACAGGCGTGAGCCACTGCGCCTGGCCTAGGTCTATCATTTAATGGCTCTGCCATTTGGGCAAGTTACTTAGCCTCTTTCTGACTCAGTTTTCCTACCTAAAATGGGGATAAAACTAGGAGCCTCATTAGGGATGCTTTGATGATTGAATGAGCTGATATGTGAAAAGCACGACATATAGTAACTGCTGTAATGCATTTGTGACTATTTTCTCAACTCAAAACCTCCCTGGCACATCACAGGCATTCAATAGATTTTGATCGAATGAATAAATTAATTAACAATTCCTAATCCAGCGCTCTTCTTGGTATAAATATTTACACTTTAAAAGAAAATGTTGGCTGGGTGCGGTGGCACACACTTCTAATCCCAGCACTTTGGGAGGCCAAGGCAAGCAGAACTTGGGAGTTCAAGACCAGCGTGGCGAACATGGTGAAACCCCATCTCTACTAAAAATAGAAAAAAAATAGTTGAGCATGGTGGTGGGAGCCTGTAATGCCAGCTACACAGGAGGCTGAGACAGAATTGCTTGAACCTGGGAGGCGGAGGTTGCAGTGAGCCAAGATCACACCACTGTACTCCAGCCTGGGCAACAGAGTGAGAGTCTGTCTCAAAAAGAAAACAGAAAGAAAGAAAGAAAGAAAAATGTCAAAATTAAATATAAAGGCATACAAACGCAAAAACAATTTATCTTTAATTGGGAGACAAGCTAAGTCTGTAGGATCAAAGGAGGCAGAATAAAAGAAAATTGTCTCTTTTGCAGAGGACGCAATTGGTAACCAATTTCACCAACGTTGATTCTATGGTGTTCACAGGAGAGGGCCCATGGCACACAGTTTCAAAGTCATGCAGGAGTCCTCAATCACCACGGAAAAGTGGGTTGGGCAGAGTCTAATGTGTACCTTGGATTCCAAAAACATGGATTTCAAAAGGTTTAGGGGGAAAAAAAGATATACAGGTTGAGGCTTTTGAATCCAAAAATCAAAAATGCTCCAAAGCCCAAAACTTTTTGAGCTCTCGCATGATGCTCAAAGGAAATGCTCATTGGAGCATTTTGGAGTTTGAATTTTCAGATTTGGGATGTTCAACTGGTATGCACACAAATATTCCAAAATCTGAAAAAAAAAATCAAAATCCAAAACACTTCTGGTCCCATGAATTTCAAATAAGGAATACTCAACCCTCAACCCATAATAGCAGCGTATCTTCGGATTGTATAACAAAATTAGTTGCAAGAGACTCAAGGGAATTTTTTTTTTTTTTGAGATGGAGTCTTGCTCTGTTGCCCAGGCTGAAGTGCAGTGGCACAATCTCGGCTCACTGCAACCTCCGTCTCCCAGGTTTAAGTGATTCTCCCACCTCACCCTCCCAAGTAGCTGGGATTACAGCTGTGCATCACCACGCCCAGCTAATTTTTGTATTTTTAGTCGAGATGGGGTTTCACCATGTTGGCCAGGCTGGTCTTAAACTCCTGACCTCAAGTGACCCGCCCACCTCAGCCTCCGAAAGTGCTGGGATTACAGGCATGAGCCACGGTGCCTAGCTTCAGGGGATCATTATTTTAAAAATATGATTTATCCACCTTTGAATGATGCCAGTGAAGAAGGAAAAGAAGATGTTAAGTAAAGGTGAGTTTGCATGGTGATATGAGGCTTCCAGATGAGCTCATATTTTAAAAGGGCACAGAAAGGGTCTATATCCAAGAGATAAGAACAACACAGAAATTGTAGGTCTCCTAATGGAGGCAGAAGACACTTAAAACTAATTCGGAGTGTCTTCCATCTCCCAAGAGTGCTGCTGCCACAAACCAAGCCCTTTCCAGGGATGTCTTCATCCCATTCTCACCAGAGCCTCATGAGAGGGGCAGTGATGTGTTATTCGCCCATTTTACAGATGAAACAACCTGGGCCTCAGAGAAACAAAGTCCATTTTCACAACTGTTCATTTAACAATGAGAACGATTATCAGACAAAGACAAGAGAAGAATCAAAGCACAGGAGATGTGAAATTGGAGGTGCAAACCCCCAAAACATCTTCAACAAATATTCGAGCCTGCCTGTGAGGAACTTAAAGTCTCCTTGTAGGGACAGTTGTGTCATTAAGCAGAGATAGAAGTGGCAGGGTCCACAGAGAAGGGGGCACCTCCAGAATGGGCGGTGTCAGAGAAGGCTTTCCATCCTAGCTGAAAGCAATCAGATTTAGCAGGTAAATAGGGGTTTGGGGAGAGTGTTCGTGCCAGATTAAACAGCATGTGGCCTAGGAGATTGGAGACCAGGGGATATCAGTTAGCATGGCAGAGTTTGCAGAGTGACTCAGTTCAGAAGATGTGTAATTATGTATTAAATGCCTGTCTTTCTCATTAGGCAGCAAATGCTATAGGGGCAGGAACCATGGCCCTCTGGTTCACTTATGAATCCCCAGTCCCCGGCAATTACCTACTGCTGAATAACAACATCAATAATAGTAATAGCTAACATTGATCGATCACTGAGTACTGGCTGTTTCATAATATTGCTGCTAGAAAGTGCTCAATACGCTTGCAGTGAGCCGAGATTGCGCCACTGCACTCCAGCCTGGGTGACAGAACGAGACTCTGTCTCAAAAAAAAGAAAAAAAAAAAGAAAGAAAATGCTCAATACATATTTATGAGATGAATATTTGATGCATATATTTATTCATTTGTATTAGAATTGATTTCTATTTATTCACTCATTCCAAAGATTGAATAGCAACAGTGGTGAGGCAATGTTGGGGTGTACTGAGGTTCACCCGGGAGGTCAGGGACAGCAGAGGAAATTGGGCTCTAGCTAGAGGCGATAGGGGAGGGGCACTGCGGGGCTTCAGTAAGAGATTTGATATACTTTGGTGTTCATTTTAAAAGTTCACTCTGAGCCAGGCGTGGTGGCTCACGCCTGTAATCCCAGCAATTTGGGAGGCAGAGGCAGGTGGATCACTTAAGGTCAGGGGTTCAAGGCCAGTCTGGCCAACATGGCGAAACCCTGTCTCTACTAAAAATACAAAAATTAGCCAGGCGTGGTAGTGCCTGTCTGTAATCCCAGCTACTCAGGAGGCTGAGGCAGGAGAATCGCTTAAACCCAGGAGACGGAGGTTACAGTGAGCCGAGATGGCGCCACTGCACTCTAGCCTGGGCTACAGAGTAAGACTTCATCTCAAAACAACAACAACAACAAAAAAAATTCACTCTGGCTGCTAGACAATGGATTGGAGCAGGATGAGAGAGGATCCTGGGACACCAAGACACCAGGACACCTTGGAAGATCACAAAAAATGGTGGAGATACAGAAATAAGCAAATACTAACCCAGCTCACTATTTTTTAAGAAGACGGTGGTGAATGTCACAAGCCCTAGATCAAAATAGGATTAGTGTCCGCCGAATCAAAACAGCTGACATTGATTGAAAGCTTGCATTATTTCCAGGGCTTTACACAAATCACCTGATTCAATCCTCAAAACAAACCTACAGATAGATACAATTATTGTACCACAGTCACTCAGCTAATTATTATACTACAGTCACCCAGCTAATACCCACATTTTAACTCAAGCTATCTGCTTACACTGGCCACCAGTTACCGCTTCTCCTTCTTGAACAAAGCTCATTATTTTATAAATCTGCAGCAGTCTATGAACAAGGTTCAAAGACAAGGAGAAATTGCATCTGGAGGATGAAAAGGACTAAAACGAGCGGACGGGGCTGGCTCCACATCCCTGCAACCTATGCAGTCGCTTGGGGCCCTGAGCCGGGAAGGGCCTGGAATTTGATTAGTCGGTTTAATGCTCTGCCATTGGTGTCCGGAGATTCTTAATAATTTTTGAACACAGGATCCTGATTTTTATTTTGCACCAGGTTCCGCGCATTATGTAGCCAGAAGAAGCTGCATGTAGCAAATTCTGATCCGCACAGAGAACATTTTATTCTTTGACATGGAGCTGAATTTCCTTCTGACGCAACGTTCCCCTTCAGTGCATATATTCGTAGAAAGACCGGACAACCACACAGGGAGACGGTGTAGAAATAATTTACTCTTCAAGCAGAGGGTTAGACCAGGCCATCTCCTAAAACCATCTACATCATGCAGAGGAATGATAGCGCCGCAGATTATAGCAAATTGCCTCCAGTGACAGTTTCTTTATGGATATGGATTTTAACCAGGGGTGCAGATGAGAACCGCTTGGTTTAGAGAGGATGTTTTTCAAGATAAATATACCCAGGCCCTACTCAAAACATATTGAATCAAAAGCTTCAAGGGCATGATGGGGGTATGGGCCTTTGGAAACTCTCACTTGTTTTTTTTAAAGGTGTCCCTGATTAAGGATGACTCCTAAAACAGAGGCTGTCCCTGGTTTCTAACCATCAGACATTTTTTTCTTTTTTCTTTTTCTTTTTTTTCTTTTTAAGGGACAGGGTCCCACTCTGTCACCCAGGCTGGAGTACAGTGGCACAATCTAGGCTCACTGCAGCCTCCAACTCCTGGGCTCGAGTGATCCTCCTGACTCAGCCTCCTGGGTAGCTGGGATGGCAGGAGCATGCCACCACACCCAGCTAATTTTTAAATTTTTTATAGAGACAGAGTCTCACTACACTGCCCAGGCTGGTCTTGAACCCCTTGCCTCCAGTAATTCTCCTGCCTTGGCCTACCAAAGTGCTGGAACTGTAGGCATGAGACAGGGTCTGGCTCTGTTGTGCAGACTGAAGTGCAGTGGCACAATCTCAGCTCACTACAGCCTCTGTCTCCTGGGCTCAAGCCATCCTCCCACCTGTGCCTCTCAAGTCGCTGGAACTGCAGGCACATGCTACCACACCAGGCTAATTTTTGTATTTTTTGTAGACATGGGGTTTTGCCATGTTGTCCAGGCTGATCTCAAACTCATGAGTTCAAGTGATCTGGGCACCTTGGCCTCCCAAAGTGCTGGAATTACAGGCATGAGCTACTGCACCTGGCCCAGACATTTCTTAAAAGGAACACATTTGCTAAATATAAAGCCTGTTCTGTACTGGAACAAAAGCTAAGTTGCAGCTAGCTGATCCTTTTTTTTTTTTTTTGAAATGAAGTCTCACTGTATCACCCAGGCTGGAGTGCAATGGCGCGATCTTGGCTCACGGCAACCTCCGCCTCCTGGCTTCCAGCGATTCTCCTCCCTCAGCCTCCTGAGTAGCTGGGATTACAGGCATGTGCCACCATGCCCTGCTAATTTTTGTATTTTTAGTAGAGACGGGGTTTTGCCGTGTTAGCCAGGCTGGTCTCGATCGCCTGACCTCAAGCGATCAGGCTACCTCCACCTTCCAAAGTGTTGGGATTACAGGCGTGAGCCCCCACGCCTGGGCCCAGACATTTCTTAAAAGGAACACAGAACTTTGCTAAATGTAAAGGCTGTTCTGGAACAAAAGCTAAGTTGCAGCTGATCCATTTTTAGATCTTTCATCCCGCCATAAAGTTTCAACTATGCTTACTCTGCCCTACCTCTAACATGTCAAATATCCAAAAACCCATACTACTCAACAAAACATAAAATGATTCAGAAACTTCAAAGGAAGACAGACCCAAAGACAGATTGTATTTGACCAACACCTCCCTTGCCAGAGAAAGGTCAGATGAACCTCCTGTCTTAGAATTCTGTAGACCTTTCTCTTTTTTTTTCAATTTTATTGATTATAATAACATTCGCCTGCAAAGGATTAACAGAATCATGTTGCACAGATTAACAGAATCCTGTAAGGCCTCTAGAGACATCGTAAATCTACAGAGAACTGAGTAAAGTAAAACTACAAAGTACGTGGGGGGTCAAGGTTAGCTAGCTTAGTGACCCCAAACTGCATCATCTCAACGAACTCCCTGTGTCCCCACGCTGCCCCATATAAGCAGCCACCTGAGTTCCAAAGTCCTGTCTTCCAGAAAAATGCAAACAATGTTTGAACATGAAGGGCCACCTGCTGTGTTTTTTAAAATGTGACTTAAAACAATACCGTTCCAAATTGCACGAATCATCTCTAAATTTAGAAGTAGGCTCCTAATACTCACTGCCTGCTCTGAGTTGTATATAATGTTTTCCAGCACTCATGGCAGAATCGTTGCCAAGAACTTCTTAACTCAGTGCCTCACACTCCCTGAGAGGTGAACACGGAACTGCTTGCTGCACTTGGCAAGAAAACGGAGGCTCTCTCTGTCTGTGTGCAGCAAGACGTCGGGATGGTTTAGTCAATTCTGCGCAAAAATTAAAAGTCCCGCTCTTGTCATTTGGAACAATGGTTTTCAAAGTGGGGGGTTAACATCATATTCACTCCCGGACCCCCACTCTCTCTCCCTGCCCACTTTTCATTTCCCACCCCCACCAGCCACCTCCACCCTAAGTCCCAGAATTTCTTGGCTATAAACTTAAAATAAAATCCTAACCCCTCCGCTGCCGCCACCACCAACCAACCGAACTGACACCCTTGCGGCCAAGAAGACCCCAGTAAAACCTTAAAAACTGAGTTCCGGCCGGGCGCGGTGGCTCACGCCTGTAATCCCAGCACTTTGGGAGGCCAAGACGGGAGGATCATATGAAGTCAGGAGATGGAGACCATCCTGGCCAACACGGTGAAACCCCATCTTTACTAAAAATACAAAAAAGAGCCGGGCGTGGTGGCGAGGGCGCCTGTAATCCCAGCTACTCGGGAGGCTGAGGCAGGAGAACGCCATGAACCCAGCAGGTGGAGGTTGCGGTGAGCTGAGATCGCACCACTGCACACCAGCCTGGGCGACAGAGTGAGACTTCTCAAAAACAAAAACAAAAAGCTGAGTTCCCAGCCATGATGGGTGGGGACATCAGGCTCGCCTCATAACACCCCTGCCCTTTTGCAACAATTGACCAGCATTAATGTTAAAATAGAGACCACAAGACTGGCAGAACAAACTCTTTGTGTCAACAAGATACTAAATTATCGACAGGACCCACAGCCATGCCAGGCAAGGGTTAAGTCACACACCCTCATACTTGAAGAATAAACTATGTTCTAACTGACACAGGGTTTTTCTTTTTCTCTAGCTCTGGCCTCCAGATAAGCAATATTAAAACAATCACAACTCATCCAGCTCACAGGCCGTGTCTAACTGACCCCCGTTCCATCAGCCATAGCTACAGCTTTGATTGGACAAGAGACTGATTTAACTTTCTCCTGATAAGAGATCACCTACAATGGACTAATTCTGGCCGGTGGACAGAGATTGTGTACTTGCATGCCTCAATGTCCTGAAAAGACCTTTTGATGCACAGGACCTAACTGTAACACATTTAAATGTGAAGTCTCCACCACAAAGTGAACGTGGGCTGTGTATTACATGGATGTTTGTTCAATACGCATGTGTCAGGACCACCTTCATGAATATCCATAGCTGTAACCTGTTGAATATATTTGTTTAGCCAACCTATCCAGTATAAAGCCCCTACCCCAACCCTCGTCTTTCCAAATGCCTGTCTCTGGTCTTGGCTGGCAGCTGTGCTTCCCAGCCTGTGGGATGGCCACCATGCAAGCTATGACTCTTTATATAATAAATAGAGGGCCGGGCGCTGTGGCTCACACCTGTAATCCCAGCACTTTGGGAGGCTGAGGATCACCTGAGGTTAGGAGTTTGAGACCAGCCTGACCAACATGGAGAAACCCCGTCTCTACTGAAAATACAAAATTATCCCGGCATGGTGGTGCATGCCTGTAATCCCAGCTACTCGGCAGGCTGGGACAGGAGAATCGCTTGAACCCAGGAGGCGGAGGTTGCGGTGAGCCGAGATGGCGCCATTGCACTCCAGCCTGGGCAACAAGAGCGAAACTCCATCTCAAAAAAACAGAAATAGAGTCTCATTATCTTTCTTTCTCAATTTATAACTTTTTTTTATGTTAATGTATCAACTGCCTCAGAGAGAGAATGCAGTTTATAAAGTCTCATAAATGATTCTGGTATGTCTACCTCCTGATGACCAATGGCGTCAGCCAATTTCTCCCTTTTCATCTGCTTTTCATCTAGATATAATTTCTCTCTCTCTCTCTCACCCACTCACCCACACCCACACATATACACACACACACACTCACAGCCATGCATGTTAACTCATTCATCAAAGAGGATTTTCTTTTTCTTTTTTTATTTTTGGCAGTTTAATCTATTTTATCCCATACCTCAACAAAAAATCTCGGGTGATTAAAATCTTTGCATTTCAAGGGTTTGCTCTGGTGCTGCATGAATGTGGCGGACATCTTATGGGATTAAGCTAGTGAGCCCTATCAGGATAGTGGTTTCACTTGACTTGTTGTACAACCCAGCTGGGTCTCTCAGGGACCAAAGGGGTCATCCCCACTGTAACTTCTATCCTTAGCACCTTCCCCAAGCAGAGAATCAAACTATAAAGCTGCAACCCCTCACCAGGGTTATTGCATCCCTCGAATCCCATTTCTCCCCAAATACATACCTTGACCTGAAGATGACTGGAAAGAATATAGCTCATCCACATTTAAAAAAAAAAAAAACCCTGCAGAAATGATGGGCTCCGTTATAGAGGGTTGTTACAGTGTTTTCATTTTTTCTTCTTCTTTCTTTCCTTTTTTTTTTTTTTTTTTTTTTTTGAATGAGATGTGGCTGTATCTGTTCAGGCTGGTCTCAAACTCCTGGCCTCAAGCGATCCTCCCACCTCAGCCTCCAGAGCAGCTGGGATTACAAGCACAAGCCTCTATACTTAGTCTGTATTTTCAAGATATTTGTCAAAAACCCACTTAATGGGCCAGGTGTGGTGGCTCATGCCTGTAATCCCAGCACTTTGGGAGGCTGAAGCAGAAAGATCACCTAAGGCAAGGAGTTCGAGACCAGCCTGTGCAACATGGCAAAACCCCGTCTCTACTAAAAATACAAAAAATTAGTCAGGCGTGGTGGTGGGTGCCTGTAATCCCAGATACTCGGGAGGCTGAGGCAGGAGAATCACTTGAACCTAGGAGATGGAGGTTGCAGTGAGCTGATATCACACCACTGCACTCTGGCCTGGGTGACAAGAGAGAAACTCTGTCTCAAAAATAAATAAATAAATAAATAAATAAATAAATAAATAAATAAACCACTTACTGCCATTTTAATTCTTCGTAGAGAGAAACATTCACCAAATCAAATGACAGAGTATTGCAATTCCCGAACGGGTGGAATGGTTATTCTTCTAACACATGGTTGGTGACATGAAGAATACAATCCAACATGCTATCCCCTCATTCTCTCCATGTCAGGCACAGCCAAATCTCCAGCCTTTGGAGCCCTACTATCCCCACCTCAGAGGCTGAGTGTTCATCACTGGCAGACCCCACTACATCCCAGATTCTAGAAGAAAACTCGACCTGAGGCACAGGGATTCAAGCGATTATAGTTCAACACTGCACTGTCTCTGATCTTCTGTGTAACCTAACAGTGAAACAAGAGACGTTCCTTTATCCTCCTCGCAGGACAGGGGGGTGGCTCCCTTCTTCAGTGCCCCGCTGATCAAACCCCTAGCAGGAGCATGCAGACAGGCAGGTGTAGAGGTCGTGGGGAATATTTTGGGGCTCTGGTGTCTAGGCGGTGAGTGTTTACAGCTCCCAAAGACCCAGTGGGCAGGTGTTACAGTGTTCTCTTTCAGTTTTGCCGTCTGCAGGCAGCTTTTGTTAATCAGCTCGGACCCTCTGTCTAATCACCAGGACCCAGGGCTTTCTGTATCCTGGGTTCTTGTCCTAGTGTACCAGAAAAATCAGATCACACATGGGCTTGGAGAATGAGTACAAGGTTTTATTGAGTGGTGGAAGTAGCTCTCAGCCAGATGAATGGGGAGCCAGAAGGGGGATGGAATGGGAAAGTGGTCTTCCCCTGGATTTGGACCCCCCAGTGGGCTGATCTCTTCCAACCGCCCCTGGCGGAATTCCCCTCCATGTCCATATCATTCCACCATCAATGTACTGAGGGTGTCTGTCCTTGTGTTCTTCTGTTCCTTCCTCTCAACATCCGGCCGCTTGTGTGTGTGTGCCTGCTATGGTCCCAGGTTTGGGTTTTTTTTTGAGACAGAGTCTGCTCTGTTGTCCAGGTTAGAGTGCAGTGGCGGGATCTCAGCTTACTGCAACCTCTGCCTCCCGAGTTCAAGCGATTCTCTTGCCTCAGCCTCCCAAGTAACTGGAACTACAGGTGCACGCCACCACACCTGGCTAATATTTTGTATTTTTAGTAGAGACGGGGTTTCGCCGTGTTAGCCAGGATGGTCTCGATCTCCTGACCTGGTGATCCACTGGCCTCGGCCTCCCAAAGTGCTGGGATTACAGGCGTGAGCCACCACACCTGGCCATAAACAACCTCAATTTTTGACCAATTGCTGCCTAAAGTACCCTAATATGCCTATTGCCACATTGTGCATTAATTTATATTCTATTAGTGTAACTGGAATTTCTTCCTGTGACTGCTAATGGATCTAGTTCTATCCAGCGTCAGCCTTAACTGATAAAAAAACTTAAGTCTAAAGGTTGGGTCAGTGGATGGTCCCTGTCTAGAGCAAGGTTAAGGCTAATGCAGTCAATAAGTTCCCTAAGACCTAGGCTAGAGAAGGGAGCTTCTTACAGAAAATTGCCAAGGCGGAGGTTAAAAGAAATCAGAGAAATGGACAGAAATAAGCATGGAATCTTAGCTAAGGGAGCTAGAAAGGGCCCCCCAAAATACATGGGGCTGTAAGAAGGATCTGAGAGCCAGAGTCTGTTGCCATGGAGATGGGCACAAAAGTAACAGGTTGAGAGTGTGCCACAGGACATTGCTGTCCACATCTGCCCCGCCCCTATGCCAGTAGCCTCTGCGGGAAGAGCTCACCTAAAGAGGGCCAAAGACAAAACCAAGCATCTCTTTGAATCTAACCATCCACTGCAGTTGGTGAGACTGCCCTACCCAAGCATGTCATGACCCTCTGCCTCTTTCTACTTTCCAAGACACACACGCACACACACGTATGTGCACACCTGCACACATATATGCAGGGGACAATACTGCTGTCCCCACTACTTTTCTGTTGGAGAGAACAGTGCTATCTAACAGAAGTCAATGAGAACCACATGTGTAATTCTTTTCTGAGACAGGGTCTTACTCTGTCACTCAGGCTGGAGTGCAGTGATGCCATTATAGCTCTCTGTAGCCTTGACCTCCTGAACTCAAAGAGTCGCCCTGCCTCAGCCTCCCAAGTAGCTGGGACTACAGGTGTGCAACACCACACCTGGCTAATTTTATATTTTTAAAGACTGGGTCTCCCGATGTTGCCCAGGCTGGTGGTTTCAAACTCCTGACCTCAAGCAATCCTCCTCCCTCGGCCTCCCAAATTGCTGGGATTACAGGCATGAGCCACCACACCCAGCCTATAATTTTCAACTTTCTAATAGCCACATTTAAAAAAAATTAAAGAAACAGGTGAAATTAATTTTACTAATATATTTTATTTAGCCCAATATATCCAAAACACATTTTAGTATGTAATCAATATAAAAATTACTAAGATAATTTATGCCTATGTCCGTTATATTCATCCAACATTGCTTCTTTTATATTAAGTCTTCAAAATCTAGTAGGTGTTTTACGTTTACAGCACATCTCAATTAAGACAAGGCACATTTTATAGGCTCAATAGCCACATGTGGCTAGCAGCTCCCATACTAAGACAGCGCTACCTCTGTCCCCATTACCTCTGTTGGAGCCATTAAGTGTCGTGGTTCACAAGCTGTGTACCTGCACTCTTCACCAAGCAAACCTGCAAGAAAATCCTTCCACTCTTCTGCAAACAATGCTCCGGTATTTCCCAAATCCTCGCGCCCATCATCAGGAAGTGCCGCGCAGCCACTCAGCACTGTTTAACATATTGCTCTGGGGCTCCTGTTCACATTCATCTTGAGGCAATCAGCATAACCATTATTGCAAATCTGTTCCCTGATGCTTGTCCTTCAGTCATTAACCTTACCAATGTCAACGATGAGCTGAACTCTGAACCTGAATTAACACACAAGGCAGGCTGCGCAGAGAGCAGAACGTTCAGGCCATCCTAACTTGTCCTGGGCACCCGTGGTCTGAACTGGAGTGTCCCCACCAGCAACGAGGGCTTGGGGAAGATTCTGTATAGGAAAACAGAAAGACGAAAGGACCTAGCTCTTTATGTAGCAGTTATGCTAACTTGATGCCGATATAGCCAGATGGAAACTAAAGCTTCCTAAGATAATGTGGTCAATGGGGAGTACAGTTCATTTAAAAATTAACTAAACTAGATAAAACAGTAGAGTCAAGTAGAATCAAGGAAAAGTGGGTATCAAAAGTTGACCACTGTCAGAAAATTGAGCGGCAAATGAAATAGCCACTCAATGGATGGGAGCAATCATTATACACTGGGCTGGGCTCGTGTTGGAGCTCTAACTCTCTAAAGAAGCACAAGAGTCAGTTTTAGTGTTTCAATTTTTTAGATACGGAAACCAGGTTCAGAGAAGTTAAGCAACCTACCCTGGATTGTACAGTGAGTAAATGGCCAGATGTGGAAAATAGGTTCAGGGAAGTCAAGCAATCTGCCCTGGATTGCACAGTTAATAAATGGTCAGATTTGGAAGCTGGGTTCAGAGAAGTCAAGCTACCTGCCCTCAGTTGAACAGTTAATAAATGGGCAGATGTGGAAACCAAGTTCAGAGAAGTCAAGCAACCCACCTTTGATTGCACAGTGAGTAAATGGCCAGATGTGGAAAGTCGGTTCAGAAAAGTCAAGCAACCTATTCTGGAACACACAATCAATAAATGACCAAACTGAGTTTAGGACCCATGACTTCAGTGGTTGATATGGTTTGTCTCTGTGTCCCCACCCAAATCTCATGTTTAATTATAATTCCCACGTGCTGGGGGAGGGACCTGGTGGGAGGTGATCGGATCACGGGAGCAATTTTCCCCATACTGTTCTCATGATAGTGAGTGAGTTCTCATGAGATCTGATGGTTTAAAAGTGTGGCACTTCTCCCTTCACTCTCTCTCTCTCCTTCCACCGTGTAAGATGTGCCTTGTTTTCCCTTCACCTTCGACCATGATTATAAGTTTTCTTTTCTTTTTTTGAGACAGAGTCTTGCTCTGTCACCAGGCTGGAGTGCAGTGGTGCAATCTCGGTTCACTGCAACCTCCGTCTCCCAGGTTCAAGCAATTCTCCTCCCTCAGCCTCCTGAGTGGCTGGGACAATAGGTTTGTGCCACCACGCCTGGCTAATTTTTGTATTTTTAGTAGAAATGGGGTTTCGCCATGTTTGCCAGGCTGGTCTCGAACTCCTGACCTCAAATGATCTGCCTGCCTCAGACTCCCAGGGTGCTGGGATTATAGGCGTGACCTGCCGTGCCCGGCTGATTGTAAGTTTCCTGAGGCCTCCCAGTCATGCTTCCTGTTAAGCCTGTGGAGCTGTGAGTCAATTAAACCTATTTTCTTTATAAATTACCCAGTCTCAGTTAGTTCTTTATAGCTTTGTGAAAACAGACTAAGACAATGGTAGACAGAAAAATGACCCTCAAAGATGTTCATATCTTAGTCCCCAGAACCGGTGAATATATTGCATTACATAGCAAAAGGGAATTAGGGTAGCAGTTGAAATTAAGGTTGCTAATCAACTGACCTTGAAATGCACCATTATTCTGGATCACCCTGGACGGTGCTGTGTGATCACAAGGGTCCTTTAATGTGGAAGAAAAAGGCAGAAATGTCATTGTCAGAGTGATGTGAGGTGAAACCCAACTGGCCATAGCTGGTATTGAAGACACAAAGAAGCCATGAACCAAGAGTGTGTGCAGCCTCACCGAAGTTGGAAAAAGCTAGAAAATAGATTCTTCCCTTGAATCTCAAGAAAAGCAACACAGCGCTGTCAACACCTTGATTTTAGCCTAGTGACATTCATGTCAGACTTTTGACCTCTAGAATAATAAGGTAATAGATTTGTGCTGTTTACAGCTATTGAGTTTGTGCTTATTTGTTACAGCAGCAATCGGGAACTAATACAACTACCTAAGTCCAAGTTCTTGTTCTGTTTGTTAAGATCACTGTTGGGCTGGGCCTTGTGTCTCACACCTATAATCCCAGTACTTTGGGAGGCTGAGCCAGGCTGATCACAAGGTCAAGGGATAGAAACCATCCTGGCCAACATGGTGAAACCCAGTCTCTACTAAAAATACAAATATTAGCTGGGTATGGTGGCACGCACCTGTAGTCCCAGCTACTTGGGAGGCTGAGGCAGGAGAATCACTTGAACCTGGGAGGTGGAGGTTGCAGTGAGCCAAGATCGCACCACTGCACTCCAGCCTGGCGACAGAGCAAGACTCTGTCTCAAAAACAAACAAACAAACAAACAAAAAAACACTGTTAGTTTTCTATTACTACATAATAAATAATCACAAATTTAGCATCCTAAAAACAGCACAGCACAATTTTCTTTTTTTCTTTTTTTTTTTGAGAGGAAGTCTTGCTTTATCGCCCAGGCTGGAGTGCAGTGGTGCCATCTTGACTCACTGCAACCTCCACCTCCCAGGTTCAAGTGATTCTCCTGCCTCAGCCTCCCAAGTAGCTGGGATTACAGGTGTGCACCACCACGCCCAGCTAATTTTTGTATTTTTTAGTAGAGACGGGGTTTTGCCATGTTCACCAGGCTGGTCTTGAACTCCTGACCTCAGGTGACCTGCCCACCTCAGCCTCCCAAAGTTCTGGGGTTACAGGTGCGAGCCACCGTGCCCGGCCAGCACAGCACAGATTTATTAGCTCCCAGTTTTTTAGGTCAGAGGTCTGGGCACAGCCTGCATGGGCTCAGGGTCTTTCAAGGTGTCAGCCAGACTGGGCTCCTTTCTGGAAGCTCTCAAGAAGAATCTACTTTCAAGCTCATTCAACTTGTTGATTGAATTCAGTTCCTTGCAGCTGTAGGACTAAAGTTCCCTTACTAGTCGTCAGCCAGGGAGAGGCCCCTCTCAGCTCTGAGACACCACTTGCATTTCTCCTCTCCTCTCCCCTCCCCTCCCCTCCCCTCCTCTCCTCTCTTTTCTTTTCTTTCTTTTTGAGATGGAGTCTCGCTCTGTCGCCAGGCTGGAGTGCAGTGGCGCTATCTCGGCCCACTGCAGCCTCCACCTCCCAGGTTCAAGAGATTCTCCTGCCTTCACCTTCCGAGTAGCTGGGACTATAGGCACCCGCCACCACGCCCAGCTAATTTTTTGTACTTTTAGTAGAGACGAGACGAGGTTTCACCAAGTTGGCCGGGATGGTCTCAATTTCTTGACCTTGTGATCTGCCAGCCTCGGCCTTCCAAAGTGCTGGGATTACAGGTATGAGGTACTGCCCCCGGCCAGCATTTCTTACCATGTGTTTTTTTTTTTTTTTTTTTTGGAGACAAAATCTCTCTGTCACCCAGGCTAGAGTGAAGTAGCATGAGCTCCACTCACTGCAACCTCTGTCTGTCGGGTTAAAGAAATTCTCTTGCCTCCCCTACTGAGAAGCTGGGATTACAGACATGTACCACCACACCTGGCTAATTTTTGTATTTATAATAGAGAAGGGGTTTCGCCATGTTGGCCAGGCTGGTCTCGAACGACTGACCTCAAGTGATCCTCCCTCCTGGATCTCCCAAAGTGCTGGGATTATAGGCATGAGCCACGGTGCCCAACTCCATGTGTTCTTCTCATCTTCAAAGTCAGCAGCAGAGAAGCTGCCTTGCATCAAATCCCTTGCACACATTGAATCTCTCTCACTTTAAGAAAGATTCTTGAGGATTCCTTGAGCCTGGAAAGTGAAAGTTGTAGTGAGCCGAGATTGTGCCATACCACTCCAGCCTGGGCTACAGAGCAAGATGCTGTCTTTAAAAAAAAAAAAAGAAAGAAAAGAAAAGGCCAGATTCTTTAAACGTTTAGCAGATTAGATGAGGCCCACGCAAGTAACCTCCTTTCTGATTAACTTAAAGTCAACGGATTAGGAATCTGAATTACATCTGCAAAATCCCTTTTGCCATGTGAAGTAACATAATCATGGCTGTGATATCCCAAAACACTCACAGGTCTCACTCTCACTTAAGAGGAGGAAATTAAGCATCAGGGGGCGGGGCGCTTGAGGGGTCATCTTAGAATTCGGCCTGCCAATTCGCAACTGATTCGGCCGGCCTTCTCTCCACTCTCACTTACCTTGTCAGTTCTGTTGCCTTTCTTAGGTAAACCACACCAATAAAAAAGACTTAAACAAACAAACAAAAGCTCAAATAGTGTCCTGCCTGCCTTAAACCCCATTCCCACCCAAATCTTCCTCTGCGTTTTCTACCTCTCTTCATAACATTATGCAAGCCCTTAGCTAGAAACCTAATAATAGTAAGAGCTTATTTTTCCTTTTTTTTTTTTTTGAGACGGAGTCTGGCTCTGTTGCCCAGGCTGGAGTGCAGTGGTGCAATCTCGGCTCACTGCAAGCTCTGCCTCCCGGGTTCACGCCATTCTCCTGCCTCAGCCCCCCAAGTAGCTGGGACTACAGGCGCCCACCACCACGCTCGGCTAATTTTTTGTATTTTTTAGTAGAGACGGGGTTTCACCATGTTAGCCAGGATGGTCTCAATCTCCTGACCTTGTGATCCACCCGTCTCGGCCTCCCAAAGTGCTGGGATTACAGGCGTGAGCCACTGTGCCCGGCCAGTAAGAGCTCACTTTTAGGGACTGGTCTAAAAAATATGCCTCCCTGTGAATCTATGAGGTGAGTATTATTACTAATCATATTTTACAGATTAAAGAAACCACACAGGGCCAGGAGCGATGGCTCACATCTGTAATCACAGCAGTTTTGGGGGCCAAGGTGGGCGGACCACTTGAGGTCAGGAGTTCGAGACTAGCCTGGCCAACATGATGAAACTTCATCTCTACTAAAATACAAAAATTAGCTGGACGTGGTTGCAGGCGCCTGTAATCCCAGCTATTTGGGTGGCTGAGGCAGAAGAATTGCTTGAACCTGGGAGGCGGAGGTAGCAGTGAGCTGAGACTGCACCACTGCATGCCAACCTGGGAGACAAAGCGAGACTCTGTCTCAAAAACAAACAAAACACAGGCACAGGGAGACAGGGAGGGTGAGTAACACAATTGTTCTTAGGTGTGGGTAAAAGCCAGGATTTGATGGCAGGTCATTTGATTCATGAACCAAGCTCTGGCCAGGCACGATGGCTCATGCCTGTAATCCCAGCACTTTGGGAGGCCAAGGCGAGTAGATCACTTGAGGTCAGGAGCTCGAGACTAGCCTGGCCAAAATGGTGAAACTCCGTCTCTACTAAAAATACAAAAATTAGCCAGGTGTGGTGGTGTGCACCTGTAATCCCTGCTTCTCAGAAGGCTGAGGCAGGAGAATCAATTAAACCTAGGAAGTGGAGGTTGCAGTGAGCCGAGATCACGCCACTGCACTCCAACCTGGGCGACAGAGCAAGACTCTGTCTCAAAAAAAAAAAAAAAAGAAGAACCAAGCTCTTATCATGGCACTAGAATTTCAGCTTCTAGCCAAGGCCACCTTCCAGGAAAAAGAGCACTAGAAGGTTCTCTCAAACAAAAACCCTGAAGAACAAAATGGGTAGTTGTATCTAGACCTACATTATTACAGTCATTAAAAGCAGGGAATGCAGCCAAGAAGGGTTTGCAAGAACAATACCATCCTACCAACAACAAATCTTTACTGAGTACCCATCTCCCTGGCACTGAGGAAGATAAAGAAAAGGCAAGGGCCAGGCACGGTAACTCATGCCTGTAATCCCAGCACTTTGGGAGGCCGAGGCGGGTGGATCACAAGGTCAGGAGATCGAGACCATCCTGCCTAAACATGGTGAAACCCCGTCTCTACTAAAAATACAAAAAATTAGCTGGGCCCTGTGGCGGGCGCCTATAGTCCCAGCTACTCAGGAGGCTGAGGCAGAAGAATGGCGTGAACCCGGGAGGTGGAGCTTGCAGTGAGCCGAGATCGAGCCACTGCACTCCAGCCTGGGAGACAGCATGAGACCCCGTCTCAAAAAAAGAAAAGAAAAGAAAAGAAAAAGCAAGACATAGCACCTGCCCTCAGGGAGTCCCCAACCCAGACCTAAGCAGGGGAGAAGTTAGGTTTGAATTCACTGAGTATGGCAATTTCTCCAGTGTGGATATTTTTCCCTCTTCACAGAAACCAAAGAGTTCACACTGTGTTCTAACAAGTTCCGGGAATTGGAAGAGGCGACATACATAGTCATTTACCCAAATGCAATGATCAGAGATTCCTCCTCCCCCCTCCCCTCCACCCCCACATTTCCACCAAGAAAAGAACAAGATCTGGTCACCCACTCTTAGTAAAACCCAGCTGTGAGTGTCACCCCACATGCAACCTGCTATGAAAGCAAAAAGGAACGGGGATTTTTGCCAGCAAATAATGTTTGGGCCTCACCCACACACAAGAGGTGGGAGCACAAAAGGAAATGTGTTAGCAAACTCTTTCTCCGGAAGCCGCGGTGTTGTATCCTTCAGGATCCAGGTATATTTAATATATGTAGAACATATTTAGAGGTTAATCTTGCATTGTGCAGAGACAATCCTGGTGCTAGTGAACTTCTGCCCTGTTAACCTTCCCGCTGTTTGGGTCTGGGTTGGGGACCCTGAAGGCAGGTGCTATGTCTTGCTTTTTCTTTATCTTCCTCAGTGCCAGGGAGATGGATGTGCAGTAAAGATTTGTTGTTGGTAGGATGATATTTTTCTTGCAAACCCTTCAGGCTGCATTTTCTGTTTTTAGTGACTGTAATAATGCAAGTCTAGATACAACTACCCACTTTGTTCTGCAGAGTTTTTGCTTGTTTGTTTGTTTTTTGAGACAGGGTGTCACTCTGTCACCCAGGCTGGAGTGCAGTGGTGTGATCTCAGCTCACCGCAACCTCTGCCTCACGGGCTCAAGCGATCCTCCCACCTCAGTAGCTGGAACTACAGGCACCTGTTACCACACCTGGCTAATTTATATATATTTTTTCTTTTTCTTTTTCTTTTTGCAGAGACGGGGTTTCATTGCCAGGCTGGTCTTCAACTCCTGGACTCAAGTGCTCTGCCCCCCTCAGCCTCCCAAAGTGCTGGGATTACAGGCATGAGCCACCACACCTGGCTGTTCTGCAGGGTTCCAATGAAGCTGCTCTCACAGGGTTAACAAGAATTCTGGACAGAAATATGATTATAATTAAGCATTGATCACGCTGCTCTTTGACCCACTTTCTCATAACCCAGAGGTAGCTCAAGATACTATTTGCACCCTCATTGTTCCTATAGATAGGGTTTCTGACATTAGATTCACGAGGCTTTTGTTAAAGAATTGCTTAAGCAGATCATGAATTCCAGCAGAAAATCTGATGCCAATATGTTTCTCCTTCTCCCTGTCCCATGATCTCACCCTGTACTCTTCAACCAGTCCATGATCTCCATGCTTTGGAACACTCCAAAACTCTTAAAAACCCTAGCCCCAAAATCCTCAGGAAGACAGATTTGAGGCTTCTTCCTGTCTCTTCATTCAGCAGCCCTACAATTAAACCTCTTTCTCTGCTGCAACATCGTGTCTTGGCTTCTAGATCTGCCATGTGCATCAAGCAACAAAGCTAGTATGGTTACATTAGAGCCACAGAGCCCAAGTCTCTCCTTTTCTGCTGACTATTCTTTGTTCTTGGGCAGCATCCATCATGGCATCTCAGACTCCTGAGAACCATTAAATTAAAGCCTTCAGGTGCCTTTTTTTTTTTTGAGACGGAGTCTCACTCTGTTGCCCAGGCTGGAGTGCAGTGGTGCAATCTCGGCTCACTGCAACCTCTGCCTCCCAGGTTCAAGCGATTCTCCCACCTCAGCCTCCCTAGTAGCTGGGATTACAGGCATATACTACCATGCCCAGCTAATTTTTGTATTTTTAGTAGAGATGGGGTTTCACCAGGTTGGCCAGGCTGGTCTTGAACTCCTGACCTCAGGTGATCCACCTGCCTCAGCCTTCCAAAGTGCTGGGATTACAGGCGTGAGCCGCTGCACCCAGCTCTTCACATGCTTTTGATGCTGCATTTCATAATAAGGGGATGGGGGCTCAAAGAAATCCATGGGCTCTTCCAGATAACTTTATCAAATGATGCATGCCCTCTGCCCCCATTATTTCCAATACCAATCTCTCCAATTTGGGAGTTTGACACGGAGATGTTTACAATGTGTAAAAGCTTCTAGATGATTCTGAGACACATTGCCAGCAACCTCCCCAACCCCCATCCCATGCACACACCTAAGCATACGCTTACCAGGTCAGTTATTCTAGAATCATGCCAAAGGTCATTAACAAAGAAGGACAGCATTGACACTTCCTTCCTGCCAAGGTCAAAGTGGAAATTAAATTTAGGAATCTGAGTCATATCCATCTGCACAAAACAATTGGAAAGGGAACTGTTAAATTTGCATAGTCTTAAATTACTTTTGAAAACGAGCCTAGTTGGTCGCCAGCCTTCTGAATTCATTCAATGGCTGTTCTTATAAATTTAGGTTTTGTCACTTTAATGGAATTGAACTTGTATTTAAAGACAGCTTATTTTTAAGAAGCACCTAAGAAGTTTCCAGATTTCTGTTAATATACAATGTAACTTTCCCACCCCTTCTCTGAATCCCAGACAGTTAACGTTTTTAAGATTTCTTGGATATAATGCATTAATCAAATTGGATATGTTTGGCTCTCTGTTACTTGCCAGTGGCCGAGGCTGTTGGTTGCCTCCCAATATCCTTTCTTTCCTTATTTCTTCCTGTATACCTATGTGTTACCAGGGCTCATTGCATTATGTAGAATGCAGATGTGATAGTTGCAGCTTTAGCTGCCATATTGTAACATGAGGGAAAGGGTCACATAATCGAGATAACAGCAATTTGGGCTAGAAGGAGTCTGGAGCTTGATGGCTTGGAGAACCTGCCACTGCAGCCCTGAGCTACCATGTCTGGACTATCTTTACCTTGAACAAGAAAGGATATCCTAGTTTATTTACGCCACTGATACGTTGGGCTTTTCTGTCATATGCAACAAACTCTAATCTTAACTGATACAGCAGATGACTTCAAATGTGCCTTCCAGCTTGATATTCTCAAATTCCCATGTGCTTTTCCTTATATTATCCTTCACTTATCATCAACCGTCAGAGAAATTTAAGCTCAGAGCAGTTAAGCGTCTTGGCCAAAATGACCAAAGAGCAGAACCTCGGTTCCCTCTGACAAGTAGGTGTTGCATGAGCCAATTCCTCTTGTAATAAGAAGCTTCAAATGTCAACCCACAAACACACTACCACTCACCTGGACCCTAATCCTGTAATGCTTTTACATGTGGTTTCTTAGAAAAGTACCACTTTCTAAAAGCTGAATTATCACAGCATACCATCAAGTAGAATAGCACTCAATGGTATTCCCATCCATCATCCCTTTTCCTTTAAACTGGTGTGCATCGACTGCCCAGTCTAGAGAATTGTGACAATCAATAACTTTTTCTCAGAGAAATCATGTGTGAGACTAAAGAAATCAGCTTATTTTGTAGGGAAAAGAAACAAGATGTCATTCAAACCCCCTAGAATCTACCTCAAGTAAGTGCAGATGCCAATACTGGAACAATATAAGTCACAACTGCCAAAGTCACCCTAATGGAAGAGGACAAAGGCTTGCACATTGGCTAGGCATGGAAAGGCAAAAAACACAGAAGCCATGGGGTTCAGAATACCCCATTGTAGCTGAGCATGGTGGCTCACACCTGTAATCCCAGCACTTTGGGAGGCCAAGGTGGGCAAATCACTTGAAGTCAGGAGTTTGAGACCAGCCTGGCCAACATGGCAAAACCCTGTCTCTACTAAAAATACAAAAATTAGCCAGGCGTGATGGTGCGTGCCTGTAATCCCAGCTACGTGAGAGGCTGAGTCAGGAGAATCGCTTGAACCCAGAAGGCAGAGGTTGCAGTGAGCCGAGATCCCGCCACTGCACTCCAGCCTGGGCGACAGAGCGAGACTCCGTCTCAAAAAAAAAAAAAAAAAAAAAACTATAATACCTGATATAGTTGGTTATGATAACACTTGCCTAGTAACAAACTACTCCAAAACTTAGCAGCTCAGGGGCTGAGCATGATGGTTCACACCTATAGTCCTAGTGCTTTGGGAAGCTGATGCAGGAGGCTGGCTTGAAGCCAGGAGTTTGAGACCAGTCTGGGAGATATAGCGAGACCTCATCTCTACAAAAATAAATTTAAAACAGCTGGGCCCGGTGGTATGTGCCTGTAGTCCCAGCTTCTCAGGAGGCTGAGGCTGGTGGAGTGCTAGAGACCAGGAGTTTCAGTTTGCAGTGAGCTATGATCACACCACTGCACTCCAGCCTGAGCAACAGAGTGAGACTCTATCTCGAAAAGAAAACAAACATAAACCTTAGCAGCTTAAAACAGCCATTTTATTTTGCTTACAATTTTGTGGATCAGAAATTTGGGAAAGGTTCACCTAGAAAGTTCTTGCTTGGGATCTCTCATGAGGTAACATTTAGATGCCACTTGGGGCTGCAGTCACTGTAAGGCTCAATCGGGCTGGACATCCAAGATGGTGCATGCACATGGCTGATGGTTGAAGCCAACAGCCATCTGGGTGCACAGTGGGGGCTGTTGACTGAAACACCTGCACATGGCCTCACCAGCATGAAAGTCTCATGCAGTCAGACTTCTTAGGTAACAGATGGCTTTCCCCAGGTAATAGAATGAGCCTCCCAAGAGAACAAGGCAGAAACTTTATGGCATTTGTGATCTAGCCTTGGAAGTTGAACACTAACATTTCCATTGCATTCTCTTGGTTGAAGGAGTCTTAGATGAGTCAGCCTGTCTAGCCTCAAAGGGAGGGTACTTAGACCCTATTTCTAAACAGGAGGAGCGTCAAAAATTTGCATTCTCTTTTGGACATCCCTTTGCAGACTGGAATGGAGGGCAGGGTGTGCATGGATTACAAATGGAGAAGTAAGGAAAAGGGCTTTCACAAAGCATCAACTTCCACTGGATGCTTTTATTTCTCGCTATGTTCTGCATTCTTCCCAGTTGACTTGTCCATTCTTTCTCTTCAACCTCAGTACATTCTGCTATGTATGGTCTCCAGTCCCTCTGATATCCACCTGAGTGGGCTTTGGTGTCTTTCTATGGTTTTTTTCATCACAACCCCACCTCGCACCTCACTAATCTTTTCTGTGTAGTATAAGCCCAGTCCCACTTCTTAGCTCCTGGTAGGATAGCTCTCTCCTTTAGTGAGCCACAGTTTTAGTAAAGCCTGACTCCAAAACATCTTCACAGGAGAAGTGAAGCAGATCCAGAATACAAAGGAAGATTATTAGAAAGTCTTTCTCAAGTTGTAAGAGTCAGCAGAAAGTTTATTTTTGATGGATGTTCCTGGTTGGCCACTGGATTTCCTCCATGCAGTGATTTGGGGATCCAAGCTCCTTCTAACCTATGGCTCAGCCAATCCTGAGTTCTTGTCTTATCTGTATCCAGCTGGCAGAAAAGGAGAGAGTGCATTAGAGAAAGCTTATCTGCTTCTTAAATGATATTAATCACCTCTGCTTACATTCTACTTATAAGAACTCAGCACATGGCTGCATGCAGAACCCCAAGCTGGGACCCCCAGGCTATGGAAGAGGAAACATAAATGTTACTGAAAAAAAATCATTCATCTCTGCCACACACTCTGCCCTTCCTCTACTCGGCAAAACAATATTATAAACATTATATTCAAACAAAATCAAAACCCAAGGAACACTAACTTCAAGGCAACCTCAAATGTGGGGAAGAAGTCACAGAAATCCAGTCTATCATTGATGGACATTTGGGTTGGTTCCAAGTCTTTGCTATTGTGAATAGTGCTGCAATAAACATACGTGTGCATGTGTCTTTATAGCAGCATGATTTGTAATCCTTTGGGTATATATCCAGTAATGCCAGCACACCAACATGGCACATGTATACATATGTAACAAATCTGCACGTTGTGCACATGTACCCTGGAACCTTTTTTTTTTTTTTTTTGAGACGGAGTCTCACTCTGTCGCCCAGGCTGGAGTGCAGTGCCGCGATCTCGGCTCACTGCAAGCTCCGCCTCCCAGGTTCGCACCATTCTCCTGCCTCAGCCTCTCTGAGTAGCTGGGACTACAGGCGCCCACCACCATATCTGGCTAATTTTTTGTATTTTTAGTAGAGACGGGGTTTCACCATGGTCTCGATCTCCTGACCTTGTGATCCACCTGCCTCAGCCTCCCAAAGTGCTGGGATTACAAGCATGAGCCACCACGCCCAGCCTAGAACTTAAAGTATAATAAAAAAAAAAAAAAAGTCACAGAAATCACATTATTGATGCAGGGTAGCTGAAGGCAGTTTGCAGGAATAGGAATTTATTAACCTTAATGTCCAGTTGTTTTTGTGTGATTGTTCCTCAAGTCTACTGTAGATAGAGTTGTGTTTCTCATCTGCTGCCTCCCTCATATACTCTTCAAATGCCAGCAGCAAAGATAGACCTACATTTTGAAGTTTGGGGAAAACTCTCCATTCACCTACCCACAAATGCTATTTTCCAGTCTACTTTGCCCCTAGGAAGGCAGACTCACTCCTGATGAAGAACATCTGGGTTCTCGCTGAATACTTGGAGAGATAAGTTCTAGGAACCAGGATAGAATATCATTAAGGGATTGAGCAGGGAGAACTTGCTTTAACATGGCAGAATCCTAACAGGCTTGACTAATGTCCCCCAGCACAGTCTCTTTGTAGGAAATGTAGCTTTCCTTTCCTTCTTCAATATGGCTCTTTGCAGATTGCAATATGACAATTCCAGGGTCATACAGGATCTTGGCAACCACCTATTCCAATGCCTTTATCTGTTTTTTTTTGGTGTTGTTGTTTGTTTTGTTTCATTTCATTTTTGTTTTGAGACAGGGTTCCATTGTCACTCAGGCTGGAGTGCAGTGACATGATCTCGGCTCACTGCAACCTCTGCCTCCCGGGCTTAAGGGATCCTCCCATCTCAGCCTCCCAAGTAGCTAGGACTACAGGCATGCACCAGCATCCCTACCTAATTCTTTGTAGAAACAGGGTTTCACCATGTTGCCCAGGCTAGTCTCAAACTCCTGAACTCAAGGGATCCACCTGCCTCGGCGTCCCAAAGTGCTGGGATTACAGGCCTGAGCCGACACATCTGGCCCCAATGCCTTTATCTGATAGATGAGAAAACTAGGGCTTAGAGGAGTTCAGTGAATTCCTTGAGGTCATACAGCCATTGAATGGCATAACCCAAGGATGAGCAAATAGTGGGTGTTACTGGCATGGGGTGTACACTCAAGTAAATATTAGTTTCTGTCTTTCCCAGGCCTATCCAACCTTCTCCCAGCCTTAGCTCATATTTCCAGCTTTGTAACCAAGTTGATAGCCTATGACCAACTCAGCCACACCAAACTGTCACAGAATCTGTGAACAGAAGTGTAAGGGTTCAGGCTGGGTGCGGTGGCTCATGCCTGTAATCCCAGCACTTTGGGAGGCCACGGTGGATGGATCACTTGAGGTCAGGAGTTGGAGACCAGTCTGGCCAACATGATGAAACCCTGTCTCTACTAAAAATACAAAAATTACCTGGGTATGGTGGTGGGTGCCTGTAATCCCAGCTACTCGGGAGGCTGAGGCAAGAGGAACTCTTGAACCTGGGAGGTGGAGATTGCAGTGAGCCGAGATCACACTTCAGCCTGGGCGACAGAGTGAGACTCTGTCTAAAAAGAAAAAAAGAAGTGTAAGGGTTCAGCTCAACTCACACACAACCTTCCTGTTGATTTCCTGGCAAGGGGGCAAACAGTAGATCCGGACAGTGCCAACTCTGTCCCTTACTGGGGTCGTTTGGAAGGATTGAATTCAGACAAATTACCAGCCAGATTGAGCCTCATTTCATTAAAGCTCCGAATCATTTAGTCCATGCGCACCCAGTCTCTGTAAGCGTTCGATCTGGTGTGGGCGGACACGACCACGATGGTTGGTGCGCACAGGACATTCATATGCTCAGAGGACATTGGCACAGCTGCTGGCATTTACCTGACCATTTTTCAGATAAACCAAAAGTTGGAGAACCACGTATTGGGCCCCTGTTGAATTAACAAGTCATCCCAGAGGAACCTCCGCCACAGTTTCATTACGACCACATTTGCAAAGCTTGGAGAGAGGCTGGTGGGGAAGAAAACCGGCAGCTGTTTTTCAAGAAATTAATTTCTATCCCCGCAGTGATCAGTCCTGGTTAAGTGAGAGAATCAAATTATCTAAGTTACTTCTGCTGGAAAGGTTGGCTGCTCTGAATCCTGATGAAAAATAACACAATGGTGCTACTTAATTTAAAACCTCCGTCTGCTTCACTTATAATTCATAATGATTATGCTTCGTGTTTATGTAACATCCAAGGATCTCAAAGAACTTTACAAGTATAAATGATTCATCCTTTGGACCCTACAGAGAAGCAATACCGGCCCGTTTCTCCATAGAGACAGAAAAGGGGAGATTGAGCTCAATAACCTGGGTTCCCAAATGACTTTTCAACACAAATCCCCACTCCCTCTCCAGTTGCTCAAGACTTGGCAATGCTGGTCAGACTCATATATTACATGGGCGAACATCATGCTCTCAAGAGCAGAAAAGAGATAAGGAGTTATGGCCCGCAAATGTAAATCAATAAAGACCATGGGCTTTCAGCCATTTCTTCCTGAGAAAAATGCTTCTGTTGCTTCCGGCAACCTGACCGGCATAAGGTAGCCTTCTACAAGAAAGTCTTAAATGTTTAGCTAATAGGTTCATTTATTACAGAGACAGAATGAACCGTGTAAAAATAACAATAGTCCAGGCACGGTGGCTCCGCCTATAATCCCAGCACTTTGGGAGGCTGACGTGGGCGGATCACCTGAGGTCAGGAGTTCGAGACCAGCCTGACCAACATGGAGAAGCCCCATCTCTACTAAAAAAAAATACAAAATTAGCTGGGTGTGGTGGCGCATGCCTGTAATCCCAGCTGCTTGGGAGGCTGAGGCAGGAGAATCGCTAGAACCCGGGAGGTGGAGGTTGCAGTGAGCCAAGATCGTGCCATTGCACTCCAGCCTGGGCAACAAGAACGAAACTCTGTCTCAAAAATAAAATAAAATAAAATAACAATAAGCCCATGCCCCACACTTGAAGTTTACAGCTTGCTTTTGCTTCTGTTACCTCATTTACATAAGCATCCCTTACATGACATTACGTGCTTTGCCCTCCTGGTTAGAGCCGAAGTTACTGTTCACATTCCTTTCTGGTAAAACGCATGCCTAGCCACCCTCACCATAATCAACTTGCATCCTGCAGCAGCCTGGACTCTGCAGAGAGGGTTGGCTTCGCCTGACTCAGTTACTAAGTCACCACGGGCCACACCACTAGCCCTTCAGTAAAAGATCAGATATTTCTCCTTCATCCCAAACCAAGAAAAGAATTAATAATAATATTCATGATTTTGAAGTGGCACTGTTTTCTGGGGTAAATATTCGGGGCTCATCTTCTTGCACCAGGAAGATTAAGGACATGGACTCATACAAGGAGTGAGTTTAGGAGCAGAGGTTTAACAGGCAAAAGAAAGAGAAGGGAGAACAGCTCTCTCTCTCTTGCCAGAGAGGGGGCACCTGAATGGGAATTCCAGCCCAAGCCTGAGTGCACCCGATTTTATAGGCAGGCTTGAGGAGGCAGTGTCTGATTTACATAGGGCCCACAGATTGGTTGGGCCAGGTGTGACATTTACCTAATTTGTGGGGAAGGCTGGCCACCCCACTCCAATGTTATTATGTAAATGGGCTTTCACTTGGCCGGCAGCCATGTTTTCTGCTCCTTACTGTGCACATGGCTGGCAAAGAGAAGGGAAGATGGAGCCGCCATTTTGAACATGCCTAGTCCCAGGTAGCCTTTTCCTATTGGCACAGCTGCCCCCGTGCAAGCTTCCAGCTTGCTTATCTATTCTGCAGCTCGATTTTGTAGGCTGCTCTTTGTTAGAAAAGAAAAATGATTTGGGGGTTGCTTTTTATTAAAAGGAGGACCTTACCGAGGACTTCCTTACCCTCACTATCTGCTTAAATAATTTCTCTTTAAGTCCTATATCACTTTGGTCCAACCTACTACATAGAAAGCAAATTGTCAGGGCTTCATACACATTAGCCATAATCTTTACCCCAGATGGGCCAAATGTAACACAAAAGAAACAGCTGAGGCTTAACCTTGCCTGGTTCAGAATTGAATAAAGAGGGGGAGTCATTCAGATCTTTCCCAATCTATAACCCACGTAATTCCCCTGGGGAAAATGAGGCCATCAAGAGCTATATATTTGAGGGAAATGTAGCTAGCAGATACAGACAGATATCCCTCAGCCAGCCATACTCCTGGGTAAGTGCTCCTGGACCCATGTTCCTCCTTTCTAGTGGTGGTGCCTTTGTTGAAGCCCTAGCCTCTTGTTACAAGAAAGGGGTCCCAATCCAGACTCCAAGAGAGGGTTCTTGGATCTTGTGCAAGAATGAATTCAGGGCTTAGTCCATAGAGTAAAGTGAAAGCAAGTTTATTGGAGAAGTAAAGAAATGAAAGAATGGCTACTCCATAGGCAGCCCCTCGGGGTTGCTGGTTGGCTATTTTTATGGTTATTTCTTGATTATTTGCTAAACCAAGCGTAGGTTCTTCATAAGTTTTCCAAGAAAGGGGCAGGGATTTCCCCAGAACTGAGGGTTCCTCCCCCTTTTAGACCATACAGGGTAACTACCAAGCATTGTCATGGCATTTGTAAACTCTCATAGTGCTGGTGGGAGTGTCTCTTAGCATGCTAATGTATTATAATTAGTGTATAATGAACAGTGAGGATGACCAGAGGTCACTTTTGTCACCATCTTGGTTTTGGTGGGATTTGGCTGGCTTCTTCACCGCATCCTGTTTTATCAGCGGGGTCTTTGTGACCTGTATCTTGTGATATCATTCCTGCCAATCTCTTGTCTCATCCCGTGACTAAGAATGCCTAAGCCCCGGGAATGCAGCCCAGTAGGTCTCAGCCTCATTTTGCCCAGCCCCTGTTCAACATGGAGTCACTCTGGTTCGAACGCCTCTGACACTGTTAGTGATAGAATTTTCAACTGACGATATGGTTGCATTCATAGGAGCAAGATATCCAGAATAAGGGAGAAGCTGGTTACTCTGTAAGTCCCGCTCTTCTGAACATACTTAAAATATCACATCGTTAGAGTAGGTAGCTAGGCAGACATAAGCAGGGCAGGGGACGCCCCTCCCATTTGACCCCATTAGGAATGGGGCAATCAGGTGATGGGCAGGCGGGTGTCTCTCTAAAATAATAGTTGATTGTAGCCAGTGCCAGGAAAAGGCAGTCTCCCAATAAGGAAACACCTGAAGCTGATGATCAGCAGCTTCTTGATCAGATCTCAGGAGTTGGGCCAGCAGGTTCAAACATGCGCACTAAGAGGCAAAATGGCAGAGTTTAACTGATACATGACCTTCTTCTAGGAACACTTGGCTGGGAAGGGGAAAACGCTTCAAATGAGCATGCACACAACTTCAGTACACACACTGTGCATGCAGCCCCTCCCAAGTGCTTGCAGGCCACTGTGCATGTGGACAGCCCACCCCAAGGGAAGAATCAGGGGAGAAGAAATGCAAACCCAGAATCATGCCAACGTACAAAACCCCAAGTCAAGAGTTGGACGGAGCACTTGAATCTCTCAAGTTGCCTGCTTGGCCCTCTTCTAAGTGGAGTTTACTTCCTTTCATTCCTGCGCTATAACTTTTTTGTTGTTGTTTTAGAGGCAGGGTCTCAAGCTGTCATCCATGCTGAAGTACAGTGGTGTGATCTCGGCTCACTGCAACCTCTGCCTCCTGGGCTCAAACGATCCTCCCATCTCAGCCTCCCAAGTAGCTGGGACCACAGGTGCACGCCACCACGTTCAGCTAATTTTTTGTATTTTTTGTAGAGACGGGGTTTCACTATGTTGCCCAGGCTGGTCTGGAACTCTTGGGCTCAAACCGTCTGCCTGCCTTGGCCTTCCAGGTTCAGCTAATTTTTTGTATTTTTTTGTAGAGACGGGGTTTCACTATGTTGCCCAGGCTGGTCTGGAACTCTTGGGCTCAAGCCATCTGCCTGCCGTGGCCTTCCAAAGTGCTGGGATTACGGGTGTGAGCCACTGTTTCTGGCCTAAAACTTTTAAATAAGCTGTCACTCCTAATCTAAAACTTGCCTTGGTTTCTCCCTGTACCTTACACCCCTTAGTCGAATTCTTTCCTCTGAGGAGACAAGAATTGAGTTTGCTGCAGGCCCTGTGGATTCCCACTGCTAACAATACCTGACTAAGAGCAGGCATCCTGCCACTGCACTCCAGCCTGGGTGATACAGCAATACTCTGTCTCAAAAAAAAAAAAAAAAATGCTGGGCATAGTGACTCATGCCTGTAATCTCAGCACTTTGGGAGACTGAGGTGGGTGGATCACTCGAGGCCAAGAGTTCAAGATCAGCCTGGCCAATATGGCAAAACCTCATTTCTACTAAAAAAAATACAACAACAACAAAATAGCTGGGCATGGTGGCACGCACCTGTAGTCCCAGCCACGCTGGAGGCTGAGGCAGGAGAATCGCTTGAACCTGGAAGGAAGAGATTGCATTGAGCTGAGATCATGCCACTGCACTCCATCCTGGGTGATAAAGTGAGATTCTGTCTCAAAAAAAAAAAAAAAAAGAAACAACCAACAAGGCATAGTAATCTGTTGGAACATATCCAGAGGGAAGGAACTAACCCAGCCAAATGTGAACCATTTGATATAAGGGCCAAAGACCAAAACGTGCTGTAAAAGGAATTTAGGCAGGCCTGTGATGTCTGTCTTCAACTACTTGATGGGATGCCTTAGGGAGAGAATAAAGCAGCCTCATTCTATAAGTGCCAAAGAATAGAGCTAAGTTGGAAATTACAGGCAAGCTGGTTCAAATCCCTGCAAGCAATGTAACCTCTTGGACCAGCTGCTATTAATGGGATAATATTAGCCTGTACTTCCTAGCATGGCTGTGAAGACTGAATGAGATAAAGTATGTAAATGCGAAGCCCAGCGTCTGAAACACTGTAAACATTTGGTATTGTTACAAGGCAGGATTCTCTGTCTTCAAGTGGGAGAAAGGGGCAATGGTGGAAAATGGGATTTCTTCTCAGGGCTAATTTCAGGCCAGGTGTTTTGAAAAACAGAAACAAAAGCAGGCAGCTGAGCTGTGAGCTCGATGCATTTGATTCCTTTTCTGCCTGCTCTGCCAATGGATTGGGGAACTAGCCCCCCCATGTTTCCAACATGAGTAAGGAATATGTCCGTCTTCTTTATTCTGGTTTCCTACCACAGGCTTATGAGGACTAAGCTCTAATTATTTTATCTTGCCCAAATTCCTGTCTAAGGGATCTGGGGAGTCATGCCCTACAAACCATAAATTCTCATCAGATGGGTTTTATTTAACACTATATATCGTGACTTACTTTCCAATCTGACTCTGGCATAACATTATGAGACAAAGAAGAAAGTCAAAATATTTTACCCCAAAACATGTTTCTTTGCCATATCTTGAAATGGCCCTGCAAAGCTGTCCTTTGTGGGGGAAAATTTGCATCTGTAAAGAATCTCTGACATAGCTAGGTCTTTTTCTTCCAGGCCCTCCCAATGCTAAAGCGATTAATTAAGAGTCTAGCACCTTTTAATGATCTGAATAGGAAACATTTGTCATCTGTTGTCTCTAAGGGCAGCCACTGTGAGACTTCAGAAGAAACTTGGTCTCCCTAATCTTTTATCTTAACCTGAACATTTCCTTTCTATTGATCCCAGATCTTTACACAAACTCAACCGATTGTCAACCTGAAAACGTTTAAATTTACCTATAGCTTGGAAGCCTACCTCCCCACCCTCCACTTTGAGTTGTCCCACCTTTCTGGACCAAACCAATGTATTTCTTAAATGTATTTGATTGATGTCTCATGCCTCCCTAAAATGTATAAAACCAAGCTGCACTCCGACTACCTCAGGACATCCTGAGGGCTGTGTCACCAGCCATGGTCATTCATATTTGGCTCAGAATAAATCTCCTCAAATATTTTACAGAGTTTGACTCTTCATTGACACTTACATGACTAAAGAAATTATGTGCCTCAGCCGGGCACAGTGGCTCATGCCTATAATCCCAGCACTTTGGGGGACCAAGGGGGACGGATCACCTGTGGTCGGGAGTTCAAGACCAGCCTGACCAACATGGAGAAACCCTGTCTCTACTAAAAATACAAAAGTATCTGGGTGTGGTAGCACAGGCCTATAATCCCAGCTACTCAGGAGGCTGAGGCAGGAGAATCACTTGACCCAGGAGGCGGAGGTTGCGGTGAGCTGAGATCGCACCATTTTGCACTCCAGCCTGGGCAACAAGAGAAAAACTGTCTCAAAAAAGGAAAAAAAAAGAAATTTTGTGCCTCTTGTAATTGCCTGATGGGTTCTTCCTGCCTACTGCACAGGCAAAAAACCAATTCACTGAGACCACCGCATTGCAATAAAGACAGACTTAATTGACATGAGGCCAGTCACGCCACGTGGGAGACGGAGTTGTTACGCAAACTAATCTCACTGAAAATTCAGAGGTTAGGATTTTTCAAGGGTAGTTTGTTGGGCCAGGGAGTCTACTTCTGGGTGGGTCCAGGGAGACATTGGTTGTCAGAAATGCAAAACTCTGAGAAGATACCTCAAAAAGTTGGTCTTAGGTTCTACAATGGTGATGTTACCTGCAGGAATCATTGGGAGAGTTGCAAATCTTGTTACCTCTGGAATAATGGCTAGTAATCATTTATGTCTACATCTTAGCAAAATTCAGGCTTCTCTCATTGTCCTAATCTGGTGGTCTTTCTTTCTTTTTTTTTTTTTTAACTTTTATTTTAGGTTCAGGGATATATGTGCAGGTTTGTTATATAGGCAAACTCCTGTAATGGGGAGTTGTTGTCCAGATCATTTCATCACCCAACTACTAAGCCTAGTACCCAATAGTTATTTTTTCTGCTTCTCTCCCTGCTCCCACCCTCCACCTTCAAGTAGGCTCCAGTGTCTGTTGTTCCCTTCTTTTTGTTCATGAATTCACATCATGTAGCCTCCACTTATAAGTGAGAACACGGAGTTTTGGTTCTGTGTTCTTGCATTCGTTTGCTAAGGATAATGACCTCTAGCTCCATCCATTTTCCCACAAAAGACATGGTCTCATTCTTTTTTATGGCTGCATAGTATTCCATGGTGTATATGTACCACATTTTCTTTATCCAATCTGTCGTTGATGGGTATTTAGGTGGATTCCATGTTTTGCTACTGTGAATAATGCTGCAATGAACATTCACATGCCTGTGTCTTTATCACTGAATGATTTATATCCCTCTGGGTATATAACCAGTAATGGGATTGCTGGGTTGAATGGTAGTTCTGTTTTTAGCTCTTTGAGAAATTGCTACCCTGCTTTCCACAATGGTTGAACTAATTTACACTCCCGTTAGCTTTATAAAGGCAATTGAGTTTTGGGGAAGGGCTATTATTATTTAAACTGTAAACTAAATGTCTCCCAAAGTTAGCTTGGTGCAAGCTCAGGAATGATTCAGGGCAGTTTGGAGGTTAAAGGCAAAGTAGGGGTTGGTTACATCAGATCTCTTTCACTGTCATCATTTTCTCACTGTTACAATTTTTGCAAAGGCTGTTTCACTTTCACCCTTTAAGTAATTGCACATTCCCCAGAACACAGAATCATTTGTCCGAAAATCACTTTGTCTTGTAGCCAAAAGCTCTCTGCCTAACATGGGCCAATTAAGATGGGAGCAGCCTATTTGGTGAGAGACTCTGGCAACTGCAAGAACCCAATGGCCAGATCAGACCTCAGAGGTGCACTGACCAGAATCCCTACTTAGTGTCTCCCACGTGTGGGGAAGGCATGGGCAGCCTCTAGAATTACAGCCTCAACAGGGGACTGTGTCCCTGGCCAGACAGAGTCTCCAGCACAGCGCTGCCAGACGCTGTTGGCTTCCACCCCATGACAGGGCAGCACGGATGGACGCCAGGACAAACTAGGGCATGGACTGATGGAGGGATGCTGGCTGACGGTCAGCCTGAGAAAAAGGCATCTGTGCCCACACCTCCCACCCTCCAGCCACAACAAACCTTCCACTTGTTCCCCAAACTCATTGGCCTTTTGATTGCCTCTGTATGGATCACCTTGTTCCTTTCCCAGCCTGACCACCCAGAAAGCTGCTGCTCTTCCTGTTAAGTCAAGCACATAGCTCTTCTCCTTTGTAAGAATTTCTCCCATCCTCAAGCAGAAATAATTCATTTCATCATCTGCAATTCCACGACATTTTGTCCATACTTTATCTGATGGCACTAAAAATATTGTCTTAGAAATAATTATCTACGTGTCTGTCTCTTCCATCAGACCTAGATCTCCTGGAGTTTACAGACACTGCTTAGTTGTCTCTGCATCTTCAATTTTAAGTATTAATATTGTGTGGTAATCTGATTACTTTTATTTTTCCTTTGTCTTCACCGCCAGGAGACTGTAAACTGTATGAAGGCAGGAGCTGTGTCTGGTTCTCTGCTTGTTCTCCAAGATCCAGAGTAGTATATGAAATTTACTTTTTTTAAGTGACTGTATGAATGAATCGAAGGATGAGTAGATGGGTAGGTAAATGCTTGGGTGACTGGAAGAGGATTGTAGGAAAGAAGAGGGAGAAGGAGGGAAGGATAAATGGATGGATGGTGGGTAGATGGATAAATGGATGGGTGGTTGAAAGGAAAGGAAGAGGTGGGTAAGGGGTAAGGAGGGATGGATGAATGGATAGATGGTGGGTAGATGAATGGGTGGGTGGGTGGATGGATGGGTGGGTGGTGGGAAGGGGGAAGAAGTGGAGAGAGGGGAGGGTGGGATAAATGGATAGATGGTAGGTAGACGGATGAGTGAGTAGATAGATGGGTAGAGGGATGGTTAAAAGGGAAGAAGTTGAGATGGAGGAGGGATGGATGGATAGATGGATGATGGATGGATGAATGGATGGATGATGAATGGATGAATGGATGGACAAATGGATAGATAATTGGTGGATGGATGGATGGAAAGATGGATGGATGATGGATGACTGGATGGATGGATGGATGATGGATGGATGAATAGATGAATGGATGGATGATGGATGGATAGATGGATCAATGGATGAT